>NC_000011.10:118687576-118990606 GCF_000001405.40 Homo sapiens | reverse complement strand
CGGTAGCTCATGCCTGTAATCCCAACGGGCAGATTGCTTGAGCTCAGGAGTTTGAGACCAGCCTGGGCAACATGGCAAAACCTCTTCTCTACTAAAAATATAAAAAATTAGCCAGGCAGGATTGTGTGTGTCTGTGGTCCCAGCTACCAGGGAGGCTGAGATAGGACGATTACTTGAGCCCAGGAGGCAGAGGTTGCAGTGAGCTGAGATCTTACCACTGCATTCCAGCAAGACTCAGTCTCAAAAAAAAAAAAGAAAAAAAAAAAAAGAAAAATTGTAAAAAGCAATTTCTTGTAAAAAACAAAAACTGTACAGAGGCTACAAACAATTGCCCCATTTATGTTGCCTACCCAGTCCTCAAAGATGGCCATTGCTCTTTGACACCTATATTGATCAAGATGTTTTCTCTGTTTAGACTTCATATATATGTGAACATAATTTCTGCCATATTTGGAGTAATTTTGAACACACTGTTCTCCTACTCTTTTTTAATTCCTCAAATTGTATTTTGGTTATCTTTTTTTTTCCTTTTGAGATGGAGTTTCACTCTTGTTGCCCAGGCTGGAGTGCAATGGTGCCATCTCAGCTCACAACAACCTCCGCCTCCCGGGTTTGAGCGATTCTCCTGCCTCAGCCTCCCGAGTAGCTGGGATTACAGCTATGCACCACCACGCCTGGCTAATTTTGTATTTTTAATAGAAGCAGGGTTTCTCCATGTTGGTCAGGCGGGTCTCGAACTCTCGAACTCAAGTGATCCACCCGCCTCGGCCTCCCAAAGTGCTGGGATTGCAGGCGTGAGTCACCGTGCCTGGCCTTGTGGATATCTTTCTATGTCAGTACATAGAACTTGATATTAAGTGCTATCTATATACTGATGACTCTCAGTGTATTTACATTTTCAGCTCAGACTTCTCTTCTGAACTCTAGACTTATAAATATCTACTTGACATTGACATAACCACCCTGATGTCTCACAGATTCCTTTTTTTTTTTTTTTTGAGATGGAGTTTTGCTCTTGTTGCCTAGGCTGGAGTGCAATGGCGTGAGCTCAGCTCACCACAACCTCCGCCTCCTGGGTTCAAGCTCAAGCAATTCTCCTGCCTCAGCCTCCCAAGTAGCTGGGATTACAGGCATGTGCCACCACACCCAGCTAATTTTGTATTTTTTTTTTTTTTTTTAGTAGAGACGGGGTTTCTCCGTGTTGATCAGGCTGGTCTCGAACTCCCCACCTCAGGTGATCCACCCACCTCGGCCTCCCAAAGTGCTAGGATTACAGGCGTGAGCCACTGTGCCCGGCCCCACCCCCCCGCTTTTTTTTTTGAGATGGAGTCTTGCTCTGTCACCCAGGCTGGAGTGCAGCTGTGTGATCTCAGCTCAGGGCAACTTCTGCCTCCTGGGTTCACGCAATTCTCTTGTCTCAGTCTCCTGTGTAGCTGGGATTACAGGCGCGTGCCACCACGTCTGGCTATTTTTTTTTTTCTTTTTCTTTTTTTGAGACAGTGTCTAGCTCTGTCACCCAGGCTGGAGTGCAGTGGCGCGATCTCGGCTCACTGCAACCTCTGCCTCCTGGGTTCAAACGATTCTCCTGCCTCAGCCTCCCAAGTATCTGGGATTACAGGCGCCCGCCACCACGCCCAGCTAATTTTTGTATTTTTAGTAGAGACAGGGTTTCACCCTGTTGGCCAGTCTGGTCTCAAACTCCTGACCTCATGATCCGCCTGCCTCAGCCTCCCAAAGTGCTGGGATTACAAGCGTGAGCCACCGTACCTGGCTAATTTTTGCATTTTTAGTAGAGACGGGGTTTCACCATGTTGGCCAGGCTGGTCTCAAACTCCTGAACTCAGTGATCCTCCCACCTCAGCCTCCCAAAGTGCTGGGATTATAGGTGTGAGCCACCGCCCCTGGCCTCACAGATTCCTTTTTTTTTTTTTTTAATTGGAGACAGGATCTTGCTCTGTCACTACTCAGGCTGGAGTGCAGTGGCACAATTATGACTCACTGCAGGCTTGATCCCCCTGGGCTCAAGCAATCCTCCCACCTCAGCCTCCCAAGTAGCTGGGACCACAGGCACACGCCACCACGCCCAGCTTATTTATTTTTTGTAGAGAGGAGGTCTCACCAGGTTGCCCAGGCTGGTTTCCAACTCCTGGGCTCAAGTGATCCACCCACCTCTGCCTCCCCAAGTACTGGGATTACAGGTGTGAGCCATCGTGCCCGGACTTGTCTCACAGATACTAAACACAGAACGCTCAAACCTGCTACTCCTGCAGGCTTCCTCTCCTCACCATTCACCTACTTGCTCAAACCAAAAACCTCAGAGTCATTCTTGCCTTTTCCTTCTTTTTTTTTTTTTTTGAGACAGAGTCCCGCTCTGTCACCCAGGCTGGAGTGCAGTGGCGCGATCTGGGCTCACTGCAGGCTCCACCTCCCAGGTTCATGCCATTCTCCTGCCTCAGCCTCCAGAGTAGCTGGGAATACAGGCGTCTGCCACCACACCGGCTAATTTTTTGTATTTTTAGTAGAGATGGGGTTTCACTGTGTTAGCCAGGATGGTCTCGATCTCCTGACCTCGTGATCCGGCTGCCTCAGCCTCCCAAAGTGCTAGGATTACAGGCGTGAGCCACCACGCCCGGCCATTCTTGCCTTTTCTTCTCCTGCAGTCACTACTATTGACTTGTTTTTTCGACCTCCACGATGCATCATCAAATTGTTCTTCTCCCTGTCTCCATCTCTACTGCCACTACTCCTCCAACCGGCCTGATTTACCGCAGTCACCTCCTAATGGGTGTTCCTGCTTCCATGTTGGCTTCTCCCCACAACAAGCCACTTTCAATGAATGGCTAATTGTGATTAACAACGACAACAACAAACAGTTATGTAAGTTACTTCAATTACTTTCCACCATACTGGAAAAAAATCCAAATGCCCTGTCATAGCCTAGGAAAGCCTACCCTGCCCCTCTCCCAGTTTTACCTTGGATCTTTCTGCCCTTGTTTAGTGTATTCTCTCTTCCATGGTCTTATCCCGTTTGCTCAAAAGGCCAAGGTATGTCTCTACCTCCAGGGCTTTGTCCATTCTAATGCCTCTATTAGAATGCTTTTCCTCCGGCCTGGGGCGGTGGCTTATGCTTGTAATCCCAACACTTTGGGAAGCCAAGGCAGGGAGATCACGAGGTCAGGAGTTCAAGACCAGCCTGGCCAACATGGTAAAACCCTGTCTCTACTAAAGGTACAAAAAGTTAGCCGGGTGTGGTGGTGTGCCCCTGTAATCCCAGCTACTCGGGAGGCTGAGGCAGGAGAAGCTTGAACCCGGGAGGCAGAGGTTGCAGTGGGCCAAGATTGTGCCATTGCACTCCAGCCTGGGTGACGGCACAAGACTCTGTCTCAAAAAAAAAAAAAAAAAGTAAAGGAATGCTTTTCCTTTCTGTTCTTCAGCCTGGCTAACTTCTCCTCATGCTACAGGTCTCAGTTAAAATGTCACTTTCTTAGAAAGGTCCTCTCTGATCTCCCCTCCAATCTAAATTAGATGCCAATATTGCTTTCTCTCAAAATAACTCCATCTTTTTTTTTTTTTTTTTTTTTGAGAAGGAGTCTCACTCTGTTGCCCAGGCTGGAGTGTAATGGCATGATCTCTTCTCACTGCAACCTCCGCCTCTCAGGTTCAAGTGATTCTCCCGCCTCAGCCTCCCGAGTAGCTGGGATTATAAGCACCCACCATCATGTCCAGCTAATTTTTGTATTTTTGTAGAGACAGGGTTTCACCATGTTGGCCAGGCTTGGTCTTGAACTCCTGACCTCAGGCGATCTTGCTTTGGCCTCCCAAAGTGCTGGGATTACAGGCATGAGCCACCATGCTTGGCCAATAACCCAATCTTTACTCAATATTACCATTGTGCATTATTGCACATAATTAGTGTATTGGTTTAGTATCTTTACATCTAGACTGAAAACTGTGAGGAACCATTTGGGTTTCTTTGCTGTATCCCTAACACCTGGCAAGGGCCTGGTATAGTGAAAATGCGTAACAAATAATTGTTGAAGTCTAGGCACGGTGGCTCACACCTGTAATCCCAACACTTTGAGAGGCTGACGTGGGTGGATCACTTGACCTCAGGGAGGGTACAAGACCAGCCTGGGCAACATGGTGAAACCCCATCTCTACTAAAAATACAA
Source organism: Homo sapiens (assembly GCF_000001405.40). NCBI lineage: Eukaryota > Metazoa > Chordata > Mammalia > Primates > Hominidae > Homo > Homo sapiens. The sequence goes on along the minus strand of NC_000011.10, from coordinate 118,986,434 downwards.
AAATTAGCAGGACGTGATGGCACATGCCTGTGGTCCCAGCTACTCAGGAGACTGAGGCAGCAGAATTGCTTGAACCTGGGAGGTGGAGGTTGCAGTGAGCCGGGATTGCGATCCTGCCTAAAAAAAGAAAAATAACAAAATAATTGATAAGTGAAAACTAGGTGCAAGTATAGGAGTTGAGAGCAAAGTGGGCAAAGGCAGATTTTTTCTTAGTAAACGCTGTATTGTTTTGTACTTTCTTTCTGATCTGCTGCATTTTGGGATCCACTTGCAACTTAAACCTGATGTTGGCCAGGTGTGGTGGCTCACACCTGTAATCTAGTACTGTTGGAGGCCGAGGCGAGTGGATTGCCAGAGCTCAGGAGTTTGAGACCAGCCTGGGCCACATGATGAAACTTCGTCTTTAGTAAAATACAAAAATTAGCCAGATACGGTGGTGCACGCCTGCAGTCCCAGCTGCTTGGGAGGCTGAGGCAGGAGAATCGCTTGAACCTGGGAGGCGGAAGTTGCAATGGGATGAGATTGCTCCATTGCACTCCAGCCTGGGCAACAGGGTGAGACTCCATCTCAAAAAACAAAAACAAAGCAAAAAAATCCCTGATGTTAACAAGAATGTGCACAGCGATAAGGCTGTATACGAAGTGCAGATGATGGGGACAAATTGAGGCCAAATCAGATGAAAGCAGAGCTTGGGACTCAGGACCCCTCCTTCCTGGGAGCTGAATAGACTCGGGTGGCAGGAAAGAGGCTCTGGCTGCCGGATAGCTCTGGGTGGGCCCAGAGCAAATGACCTGACCTGGTCCCCCTCACCCACTCCTGCAGTGGCTATCACTTAGAAATCAGCATCCAGGCTGGGTGCGGTGGCCACGCCTGCAATCCCAGCGCTTTAGGAGGCCGAGGCAGGTGGATCACCTGAGGTCAGGAGTTTGAGACCAGCCTGAACAATACGGTGAAACCCCATCTCTACTAAAAATACAAAAAATTAGCCGATGTGGTGGCGGGCGTCTGTAATCCCAGCTACTCGGGAGGCTGAGGCAGGAGAACTGCTTGAACCCAGGAGGTGGAGGATTGCTTGAGTCCAGGAGTTCAAGGCTGCACATGAACTGTGATTGTGCCACTGAAGGGCCCTATCTCAAAGACAAAACGAAAAATAAATAAAAATTTAAATGAGGAGGCGGGAGCTACATCAGATTGGAGTTACCAGCAAGGAAAGCAGGGAGGAAAAATGAAAAAGTGAGACTACCTCAACCCTGGTCAGTTGCAGAGACCTGGGAGCCCTCTGGACAAGGGAGCCACTCTCTCAAGAGTGAAGCACCACCCACTGCCACTTCAAGACAGGAGTTATGCCCAGCCCAGGTGGGCAGTGGTGGCCTTGAAGGCAGAGCTTTGTTTCTGTGCAGGCCTGTTGGGCAGGAGGGAAGAGCGGAGAGGGAGTGAGATCTGGCATCGTCTCTAAGCACTGAGTGTCTGTGGGATCCCTAAACAGCCCTGAACCTCACTCATTCCTTCCTTGTCCTCAGGCTTCTCCCTATTCCCCACAGATCTAAGGCTGCCAGCTGTCCCTGCCCTGAGGCTGTCCCCTGCAACCAGGGAGGCCACAGCCCCCCAGCTGGGACCTGCAGCCTCAAGGACTCTTATTCCACAAGTAGCTTTTCCTGAGGGTGTGCTGGAGACAAACAGCATGGCGAAGGGTAATGAAACTCAGGCCCTATTTTTCTTTTGAGACGAAGTCTCCCTCTGTCACTCAGGCTGGAGTGCAGTGGCGTGATCTCTGCTCACTGCAACCTCCACCTCCTGGGTTCAAGTGATCTTCCTGCCTCAGTCCCCGAGTAGCTGGGATTACAGGCTTGTGCCCCACGCCTGGCTAATGTATTTTTAGTAGAGACGGGGTTTCACCACGTTGACCAGGCTGGTCTCCAACTCATGACCTCAGGTGATCCGCCTGCCTTGGCATCCCAAAGTGCCAGGATGACAGGCATGAACCACTGTGCCCGGCCTGAGAGAGGAAGATTTTTCTACAGAAGTATTTCAGCTAATAAGCTAAGAAAATAGAAAATTAGGGCCAGGCACAGTGGCTTACACCTGTCATCCCAGCACTTTGGGAGCCCAGGAGTTTAAGACCAGCCTTGGCAACATAGGGAGACCTCATCTCTAAAAGAAATAAAAATTTTAAAAAGTTAGAAAATTAGGAATATGATTCCTAATACATTTTTAAAAATTTTGGATGTGATTTTTTTTTTTTTTGAGACGGAGTCTTGCTCTGTCGCCCAGGCTGGAGTGCAGTGGCACGATCTCAGCTCACTGTAAGCTCCGCCTCTCAGGTTCATGCCATTCTCCTGCCTCAGCCTCCCAAGCAGCTGGGACTACAGGCGCCCGCCACCACGCCCAGCTAATTTTCTATATTTTTAGTAGAGACAGGGTTTTACCGTGTTAGCCAGGATGGTCTCGATCTCCTGACCTTGTGATCCGCCCACCTCGGCCTCCCAAAGTGCTGGGATTACAGGCTTGAGCCACTGCGCCCGGCCTGGATGTGATGATTGTATCATGTTCAGTCTTTTTAGAGAAAAGAAATGATGTCTAGAAATTGATTCAAAATAATCCAGGGAGGCCAAGGCAGGTGGATCACTTGAGGTCAGGAGTTCAAGACCAGCTTGGGCAACATGGTGAAACCCTCTATTAAAAATACAGAAATTAGCTGGGCGTGGTGGCGCTCACCTGTAATTCCAACTACATGGTAGGCTGAGGCAGGAGAATTGCTTGAACCCGGGAGGCGGAGGTTGCAGTGAGCCGAGATAGTGCCACTGCATTCCAGTCTGGGTGACAGAGTGAGACTCCGTCTCAAACACACACACACACACACACACACACACACACACACACACACACACACACACACAATAATTCCAGGAAAGGGGAATGAATGTGTTAATAACATTGCCTGTGGGGAGATGAAGCTGGATGACAGATATGTAGGGTTCATTAGACCGACTTTGTATGTGTTTGAAATCTTCAGTCAACAAAATATCAGTTGGCTAGTGCCTGTAATCCCAGCACTTTGGGAGGCTGAGGCAGGCGGATCACAACGTCAGGGCGATCGAGACCAACCTGGCCAACATGGTGAAACCCCGTATCTACTAAAAATAGAAAAATTAGTGGGGCCTGGTGGCCATGTGCCTGTAATCCGAGCTACTTGCTAGGCTGAGACAGGAGAATCGCTTGAACCCGGTAGGCGGAGGTTGCAGTGAGCCGAGATCGTGCCACTGCACTCCAGCCTGGGCAACAGAGCACGACTCCCATCTCAAAAAAAAAAAAAAAATCAAACCAAACCAGGTGGATTGCTTGAGCCCAGCAGTTCAAGACCAACCTGGGAAAGAGTGAGACTCCATCTCTACAAAAAATTTAAAAAATTAGCCGGGTGTGGCCGGGTGAGATGGCTCACACCTGTAATGCCAGCACTTTGGGAGATAGAGGCACGTGGATCACCTGAGGTCGGAAGTTTGAGACCAGCTTGACCAACATGGAGAAACCCCATCTCTACTAAAAATACAAAATTAGCTGGGTGTGGTGGTGCATGCCTGTAATCCCAGCTACCTGGGAGGCTGCAGCAGGAGAATGGCTTGAACCCAGGAGGTAGAGGTTGCAGTGAGCAGAGATCGTGCCATTGCATTCCAGCCTGGGCAACAAGAGCAAAACTCCGTCTCAAAAAAAAAAAAAAAAAAAAAAAATTAGCCTGGTGTGGTGGTACGCACCTGTAGTCCCAGCTCCTTGGGAGGCTGAGGTGGGAGAATTGCCCGAGCCCAAGGAGTTCGAGGCTATAGTCAGCTCACACCTTTAATCCAGCACTTTGGGAGGCTGAGCAATTGGACATCTACAAGCCAGAAATGAACCTTGACCATACAGAAATTAACTCAAGAGGCCAGGTGTGGTGGCTTACGCCTGTAATCCCAGCACTTTGGGAGGCCAAGGCGGGTGGATCACCTGAAGTCAGGAGTTGGAAACCAGCCTGGCCAAGATGGCAAAACCCTGTCTCTACTAAAAATACAAAAATTAACTGGGCCTGGTGGTGCATGCCTGTAATCCCAGCTACTAGGGAAGCTGAGGCAGGAAGATCGCTTGAACCTGGGAGGCGGAGGTTGCAGTGAGCCAAGATTGTGCCACTGCACTCCAGCCTGGGCAACAGGGTGAGACTCCGTCTCAAAAAAAAAAAGTCACCTGCTGGGTGTGGTGGCTCACACCTGTAATCCCAGCACTTTGGGAGGCCAAGGCAGGTGGATCACCTGAGGTCGAAAATTCGAGATCAGCCTGACCAACATGGAGAAACCCCGTCTCTACTAAAAAATACACAAAATTAGCTGGGCTTTGTGGTGCATGCCTGTAATCCCAGCCACTTGGGAGGCTGAGGCAGGAGAATCGCTTAAACCCAGGAGGTGAAGGTTGCGGTAGGCCGAGATTGCACCATTGCATTCCAGCCTGGGCAGCAAGAGTGAAACTGTCACACACACACAAAAAAGTCATCTGTAAGCTTTAAAAACAAAACAAAACAAAACAAAACATGGCGCCTCCCCAAAGCACCTTTCTATGCTCCCTTAGCAAATGCCCTCAACGCTATTGCAGCTAAGAGAATGCAGCGCAGTTCTCCCTGGCACCTGTATTCTATCCTGAGCTTGGTACACAGTAGCCACTTAAGGAGTATCAATTGAATGAATGTGTGGTGCTTACAGAATTGGCTGCTACAAACGGGCATCTCCCAGAATAATTTTTACAGATGGAGTCTTGCTGTTGCCCAGGCTAAAGTGCAGTGGTGTGATCATGGCCGACTGCAGCCTTGACCTCCTGTGCTCAAGGGATCCTCCTGCCTCAGCCTCCCAAAGTGCTGGATTACAGGTGTGAGCCACTGCATCCAGCCAAGATTATCTTCATAATCCAGAAAAATGGAAATTGCTCCAAGATGCTTTAGAAGGCTGTGCATTTTCCTCCTTTGAGGAAAGAAAATTACGGACTCCCTTTGCTGCACGGCAGGCACCTGCCCCATTGCCTCAGGAGCATCTGTAAGCTGAAGGCATTCCATCTCCAACCTTGGAGTTGATCTCCACCTCCACCCTTAACCCCATCCTTAGAGACCCCACCTCCACAGACACACACAGAAGGCTAGTGAGGGTAATTTTAATAAAGCATTAGCTGGCTGTTGCTTCTTGGGGTTAAAGATCAAAGAGGAAGGGCATCACATCTGTAAGAAAAGGAGAGAGTTCAGGAGTTTATACTTCACAATTGCTGTTTCCTAGGCCTGGGATGCTCTCTCATAGCAGGTCATCTGCTTCTTTCACTCAAGGCTCAAATGCTGCCTCTTCTCTGAAGCCTCCCTGCACTGCTCCAGGGAAAGTAGAAGTACTCTTTGTACATAACCTCTATTAACTGTGCTTCTCATGTTGTGTGCTCACTATTGCCTAGACTGCTGGTCTTGGTAAGGCCAGTTGCCCCTTAGTTGTTTGCCCATGGATTCCTGGCACATCACGCCCCACACTGGTGGGGGAGGTCTCACCTCAGGCAGGCATCACCTGAGGGTCTCAGATCACTGTTAATCTCCCTGTTTCCTATAGAAGATGCATTCCCCCACCCCCACGGTGTGACCCAGGCTTCCACACTTGGCCTTGGGTCAGGATCCTCAGGTCTCTTCCCCTTGGGCCCACGCACAACAAGTCTTCACACCTGGCTGGCTCATGCACTGTTGGATACTTTCTAGCCGAGTGGAAGCCAAGGCGCGGGCCTCCTCCGCAAAGCGGCGGTGTCCCTCCTCGGTCAACTTCCAGAGGCAAGATCGAGGCCGTGTGCTGGCCCCGCCCTGCATGCTGACAGGCACTTTCTCAAAGCTGTCTCGAAAACAGAGATTGTGACGGACAGTATTCTTCCAGCCTTCCGGGGCCGTCCGGAAAAAGGGGAAGTGCTTTCTATGGACAGGGAGGAGAGGTAAGGAAAGGCATGTTATGTCTGGGGAATGCCCTTCTCTGGGGCATGTTCTACCCAGGGGCCAGGGGCTTTAGCCCTTCTCTCCAGGGGGATAGTAGCAAGTTGGCCTGGAGTTGCTCTTTGCTAACTGAGCACGTGGCAAAGCATCCACGTGGTGCGTGGCTCACCTGAACCCTCCCTCCCTCTGAGGGCCCAGGGCTTGGACCACAGCATGAACAAAGCAGAATCAGGCCAAGCAGCTCCTGTAAGAGGAATCTTGGTTGAGGACGGACACCACTTGAAAATTCCTGTCCTGAGACATTAGGCACTTCTCCTAACACTGGGAAAGGGCCCAAGAAACTCCCTTCCTCACCCTCCTGTGAGCAGGACTATCTGAGCTAAATGGAAAATCCTTCTCAACTGGGTTCTCTGCACCCCTGGGGGTGCAGGGAGCTGTGCCAGGCAGTCCAGTCCTAGCAGAAGCAGGTGGGAACCGTTGGGGAAACCTGACTTTAGACTGGCTGATCTTCAGAGGATGGTGGGGAAACTGTTACCTGACCCAAGTGAATGTATGTTTTAAAGGAGAACTATACCCAAAGAACACTGAAAACTTGTTAAAAAGAAAAAAAAAACTAAAGCCATAAAATGTGGGCACAATGTGGGCACAAATGCACCTGGGAAAAGGGAACTGGGAACATACTTGTCCTCTCAGACCCAGATAGGGAAACCAGGTCAGCAACCCAGGGCCTGGGATGGATTGGAAGGCATCAGCCCGGGGCCCTGGCCCCCACTTCCCCCTCCTCGCAGGGCCCCCGGCACATACCGAGTGAAACTGTAGATCTGTTGCACGTTGAGGCCACAGGGGGAACTGTTTCTTAATGCCAGGGCAATTAGGTGGAAGTAATTGAGAGGGGGCCGGGACCAGAGCCTCCCCGCCTGGCTGCTGGCTTGCCGAAGCCTCCGACTCTGGAGGGGGGCCCTTTTGTGAGGGGATGGGAGAGCCATAGAGGAGCTGTCTTCCTGGTCCTCAGCCTCCTCCTCTTCTGTGAGCTAGAGGAGCACAGAGTAGGAACTGGTCCTGACTCCTCAGCCTCTACTCCAGGGTGCAGTGGCAGGAAGGGGGGGTGGTCTAAGGCCACCATTTGGGCTTCTCCCCAACCCAAGCATGTAGGTAATTTCTGAACCCATTCACCTTTTGCTATGGCTAAGAGAGCAGAACTGTAATGGCTCTTCCCCATGCCCCTCGCCTACTGCCCAAGTCCCACTCCCATCCCCAAAAATGCATACCTCCCAGGTGCTGGGGGAAAAGGCAAACCGCTTCCGAGGGGGAGACCGCTTGCTGGAGGACTGGGACAGTGATTCCACCCCTGCGGCCTCTGAGCAGCTGGCATCTTCCTCCTTCTGGGGTGGCTGAGAGGAGGGGAGTGTGCTTGTCAGGTCCTCCCTCTTCCTACGTCCTGAGACCTCCAGCTTTCCAGGGGGATACACAATGTTGGGATTTACCCACATCCAGAGGTTGGGCTCATAATCTGGACCTGTGCAGAACAAAAGATTGTGTGCCACAGCCCACTGGCTTTGGGTGCCCCTGGTCTCCAGCCCAGGCCACAGAAACAGGTCAGAGAACTCAATACGTACCATCCTTATCAGGGTTGGGTTTTTTCTCTAGGGGTAATTTTGGTGGCTTAACAATTCGGAGTTTATACCTGGCAACTGGCAAAAAGAAAGACAGAGAGAGTCAAAACATCCTAGAATATCCCTTTGTGACCCTAGGATCCTAGGCCTTAAGGCTTCTCTGGGAGAAGGTTGTGGGCCCTGCCTTGGGAGTTAACATCACATTCTACTTCTACGGGTTTTCCCTTTACCTCTCTGACCTTCTCATTCCCCTCTGCATTCTTTTCTTCTCACTCTACGTATACTATCCCTGAATGATCTCATGCATGTCCGTGGCTTCAGTTAACATCTATAAAAAAATGTAGAGCTCTCAAATCTTCACCTCTAGCCTAGCATTCTGTGCTAGCCCTTAAGGAGAACTACCTACTGGATGTCTTTACTTGGGTAGCCCACAGGCACTTCAAACGCACTTCTAAAACTGAATTCCATCTTCTTGCTCTTCCTCCTGTATTCTTGTATTTTTTTTGAGACAGGGTCTTGCTCTGTTGCACAGGCTGGAGTGCAGTGGTGTGCTCAAGAGATTCTCCCACCTCAGTCTCCCAGGTAGCTGGAACTACAGGTACATGCCACTGCACCCCACTAATTTTTGTATTTTTTTTTTTTCAGATGGAGTCTCGCTCTGTCGCCCAGGCTGGAGTGTAGTGGCGCGATCTTGGCTCACTGCAACCTCTGCCTCCCAGGTTCAAGTGATTCTCCTGCCTCAGCCTCCCAAGAAGCTGGGACTACAAGCGCACGCCACCACACCCGGCTAATTTTTGTATTTTTTAGTAGAGACGTGGTTTCACCATATTGGCCAGGCTGGTGTCGAACTCCTGACTCATGATCTGCCTGCCTCACCCTCCCAAAGTGCTGGGATTACAGGCTTGAGCCACCGCGCCCAGCCCAATTTTTGTATTTTTTGTATAGATGAGGGTCTATGTTGCCTGGGCTGGTCTCGAACCCCTGGGTTCAAGCAATCCTCCTGCTTCGGGCTCCCAAAGTGTTGGGATTACGGGCGTGAGCTACCATGCCTGGCCTTCCTGTATTCTTTGTCTTAGCAAGTGGCACCACCATTAATGGTTGTTCAGGACAAAAACTATTTTTGCCCCCTCACTGTCCCTATGAGTGTCATTATATTACAGATGAATCTAGGCTTTTGTTTGAGAAATGATATACTTATCGGAGAGCTCAGTAATTAGAGAGGATGCCTATTATGTTGCTAATATTCAACATAGTATTCAAAAAAGGAAAAAGTAGCAAAAGATAGAAAAATTGGGGTTTTTTTGGAGACAGGGTCTTGCTTGGTTGCCCATGCTGGAGTGCAGTGGTGTGACACCGGCTCACTGCAATCTCCACCTCCCAACTCAAGCAATCTTCCCATCTCAGCTCTTAAATAAAGAACTTAAAATACTTGAACAAAGACTTATAATACATACTATTAAGATGCCAGTTACCCTCAAAATGAATCTGTAAGTTTTATGCACATATTATAGCACAAAAATTAAAGTTTGGCCAGGTGCGGTGGCCCACACCTGTAATCCCAGCACTTTGGGAGGCCGAGGCAGGTGGATCACTTGAGGTCAGGAGTTTGAGACCAGCCTGGCCAACAAGGTGAAACCCCATCTCTACTAAAAGTACAAAAAATTAGCCGGGCTTGGTGGTGTGTACCTGTAGTCCCAGCTACTTGGGAGGCTGAGGCAGGAGAATCACTTGAACCTGGGAGGCAGAAGTTGCAGTGAGCTGAGATCGTGCCACTACACTCCAGCCTAGGTGACACAGCAAGACTCTGTCTCAAAAAAAAGTTCTAACATAGTAAAAATCACCATAAGCAAAAAACAAATAGACAAACAAACAAAATAGCAAAACTTCAATCCAAATTTCTCAGTTCTCTGATACATAGAGAGCTCCTACAAATCAATATGTAAAAGGTCAACACAAACTTAGAAATGGACAAATGATATGAATCAGCATTCACAAGGAGGGGATAACTGAATGGCTAACGAGATGATCAGCATTATTAATAATACGAAAAACACTGTAAGATAATGAGATAATCAAATTGACTGGAATTATAAAGATAATACCAAGTGTTGAGAAACATGCAAAGAGACAGAATCTCTTATTTTACTGCAGTTCTGTGTATCAACTGGAGCAGCCCTTGTTAAGAGCAATCAGGCAGGACCACAATTTACTCGACCTTACTGTCTGCTCCTGGATGTATATATTCAAGTTAATACAGGAACTTATATACTAATCAATCTCCATTGTTACTACCATCTACTGACCTCCTGGTTTAGCTGTCACTCTCCAACACTACTCCTGCCTTAAATCTTGGCTGCTGGCCAGGTGCAGCGGCTCATGCCTGTAATCCCAGCACTTTAAGAGGCTTAGGCAGGCGGATTGCTTGGGCCCAGGAGTTTGAAATCAGCCTGGGCAACATGGTGAAACCCCATCTCTATAAAAAATACAAAGATAATAATCTAGCCGAGTGTGGTGGCGTGAGCCTGTAGTCCCAGCTACTCAGGAGGCTGAAGTGGGAGGATGGCTTGAGCGGGAAAAGGGAGGTTGCAGTGAGCCAAGCTTACGCTATTGCACTCCAGCTTGGGCAACAAAGCCAGACCTTGCTTCAAAAACAAAAACATGATCTTTGCTATTTATTGAACTCTTCTCCAGCGAGTTTGACTTCTACTCTACTGTGGACACTCCCTCAGGCATAACCTAAACCAACAACTGCAACCTCTCCGTAACCTCATTTATGCACCACATAAAAACGCACCACCTCGTGTCTTTCTGGCTAACTCCCTCAACCCCAACTATGATCCCACTGAGGTCACCAGTCCACTGAATTATGGTTTTGGCGCACTCGTTTGGCAGAGGTGGATTTAGTCAGGGTTGTGGTTTGGCCAACAAAGTGCTCCAAAGCCACAGATGATCCAGGGAACCTGCGTAATATCTGACCATGGGATTCAAGTTAGTTAAATAAGGGTGGACATATCAAGTGATTGAAACAGTGAAAAGGTGATAGGATCAATGGACTGGTGATCTCATTGCGACCCAAGGATAGCACCTTTGTATGTCTGTGTCTCTCTTTGGCACAGATCCCCCATGCTTTTTCAAGGATGTTGTTCCACAAATCTTCCCCTCTCTTTCCTGTGTCACTAATTTTTTGTCTTTGTTGGGTCATTCTCATCAGCATGCAAACATGCTGTTAATTCTCCCATTTTAGGGACCAGGTGCAGTGGCTCATGCTTGTAATCTCAGCCTGCTTTGGAAAGCTGAGGCAGGAGGATCACTTGAGCCGAGGAGTTCAAGGCTGCTCAAGGCTGCTCAAGGCTGCTCAAGACTGCAGTGAGCTGTGCTGGTGCCACTGCAGTCCAGCCTGGGCACCAGATAGAGACCCTGTCTCTAAAAAAAAAAAAAAGAAGAAAGAAAAAGAAAAAGATTATCCCATCTTATTTCCTGTTGAGGCATAACACATTGCCTCTACTTCCCCTCCTTCTACTCTTAAACCCCCTTCAGTCAGGTTTTTTGTTCTACCACTTACTAAAACCACTAACCAGGGACCTCTGCTTTGTTAAGTCCAATCATCACTTACATTCCACTCATCCAACCCCTCCCTCCTTGAAAGGCTTTTTCCACTTGGTTTCCAGGATACCACAGACGCCCTAGTTTTGATTCTCAATAGTCTTTTTTGCTAGTTATCTCTCTTCTCTCCAATCTCTTTACAATGGACTGCCCCCAGGGCTCATTCTTGTTCCTCCTCTATTCTTACTCCTTAAGTTCCACCCATATACCAAAAGACCCAAAATTTACATCTGCAGTCCCCACTTCTCTCCAGAACTCCAGGCTCATGTATCCAACTGCAGACTCAATGCTTCTACTTGGATGTCTAAGGATCTCCAGCTCAGCATATCCAGAACAGAATTCCTGATCTTCCTTCCTAAACCTGTCTCCCACTCAGTACAAGGCAACTCTATCCTTCCACTAGGTCAAAACACTTTGAAGGCTCATACTCAATTGTCTGTCTTATACGCCATATCCAATCCATCAGCATAGCCAGCTGGTTCTCCCTGCTACTACCCTGGCCCAATCTACCATCATCTCTTGTCTGGATTACTACTGCAGCCTCCTAGACTCTGTACATCCACAGTCTACTCTCAACACAACAGCCAGAGTGATCTTTTCAAATCTAGATCATGCAGGACTAGCCACATAATTTGTAGGGTCCAGTAAAGAAAACATGAGGCTCCTCGTTGAAAAATTATTAAAAATTTCAAGACAGTGACAGCAGTGTATTAAACCAAACACAGGCACCTAGGCAACTGCACGGGTCACACACTCATGAAGCAGACCCTGAGAGCATGTCACTCCTCTGCTCAATTTGGGAGGTAGGAGGATTGCTCGAGTCCAGGAGTTCAAGACCAGCCTGGGCAACATAGGGAGATCCCCATCTCTACAAATAGTAAAAAAGTTAGCCAGTGTGGTGGCCTGTGCCTGTGGTTGCAGCTACTTTGGGGACTGAGGTGGGAGCATTGCTTGAGCCTGGAGGTAATTGTGCCACTGCACTCTAGCCTGAGCAAGAGCAAGAGTCCATCTCAAACAAAACCTTACAATCAATCCTCATCTGACTCAAAGTCAACCCTAAAGTCCTTAGAGGACAGGCATTCCTGCTCTCAACCACACCCTTTGGAGCTCTTTATTTACTGTCATCCAGCCTTACTGACCTTACCACTTTCCCTTCAAGTATCCTCTGGGCTCACTCCACCCCTCCTATCAACTATTTGCTCAAATATTATGTTCCTAATTGAGTTCAACCCCACAATCTTATTTAAAACTGTAGCTGTGGCCTGGCGCGGTGGCTCACACCTGTAATCCCAGCACTTTAGGAGGCTGAGGGAAGCGGATCACTTGAGGCCAGGAGTTTGAGACCAGCCTGGCTGGCCAACATGGTGAAACCCTGTCTCTACTAAAAATATAAAAATTAGCTGGGTGTGGTGATGCATGCCTGTAATCCCAGCTACTGGTGAGGCTGAAGCACAAGAATCGCTTGAACCTGGGTGGCAGAGGGTGCAGTGAACTGAGATTGCGCTACTGTACTCCAGCCTGGGCGACAGAGTGAGACTCCATGACAAAAAAAAAAAAAAGAAGGCCGGGTGCGGTGGCTCACACCTGTAATTCTAGCACTTTGGGAGGCTGAGACGGCGGATCATGGTCAGGAATTGAAGACTAGCCTGGCCAACACAGGGAATCCCCGTCTTTACTAAAAATACAAAAATTAGCTGGGCATGGTAGCGCGTGCCTGTAGTCCCAGCTACTCGGGAGGCTGAGGCAGGAGAATCACTTGAACCCGGGGGGCAGAGGAGATCGCACCACTGCAGCGTGGGCAACAGAGCCAGACTCCATCTCAAAAAACAACAAAAACAAAAAAAACAAACTGTAGCTGCCACCACACCCTTCCCCTATTCCTGAGTCTCCTTCTCCTGTTCTTTCCCCATTGCAGATTATCACTTTATAGCATACTATATGATCTACCCATTTATTATACTTCTGTGGATTATCTGTCTGCCCCCAGTAGAATGTAAGGTTCCTTGTCTGTTCTATTCACTGTGTATCATGAGTGTCTAAAACAGTGCCAGGTCAGTTGGAGGTGCTCAATACATATTTCTTGAATGAAGAAACAAGAAAGAATGTTCATTAGCATTAATTATGGTGGCAAAGAGTTGGAAGCAATCTAGGGTAAAGAAAATTAAAATGTAAAAGGTGGGACACCCAGCCGATAGAATACTAACAACAATCAGAAATAATGAATCAGGTCTGAATTTAGCAACCTAAAACAACAGCTCTCAAAAACAATGAGTGGAGAAAACAGACGTTAAATGGATTAGGGTTGGTAATGGGAGCAGCAGAGGTAATGGAAGGAGGGGTGGAGACTTAAGGGGCAAAAGGAAGAGTTAAGGCCGGGGGCGGTGGCTCAGGCCTGTAATCCCAGCACTTTTGGGAGGCCGACATGGACAACATGGTGAAACTCTGCCTCTACTAAAAATAAAAAAAATTAACAGGGCGTGGTGGCGCACCCCTGCAATCCAGGCTACTCAGGAGGCTGGGGCGGGAGAATCGTTTGAACCCGGGAGGCGGAGGTTGCAGTGAGCCGAGATCGCGCCACTGCACTCCAGCCTGGGCGACAGAGCAAGACTCCGTCTCAAAAAAAAAATTTGGAAAAAAAAAAAAGAGTTAATCCAAGGGTCTTGCAGGCGAAAAGGTACCATGAATGTGGGGAGTAATTATGTCAACTCTCCACACTTGACGTCCAAAGAAGAAAAAGAAAACCTAAAAGATCGCGATGGTCAACTAAGCATTTGGCAAGTACGGAGCACTTGTAGGTGTCAGGCAATATGTTAAGAGGTGAGAATACAGCCATGGATAAAACGATGAGGCCTGTTTTTTTAAGAGACGGAAAAGTAACTGAAATATACAGTATAGCAAATGGCGACCAGCGCCAAGGAGAAGACCCAGAAGAGGCCTTGGAATGTTCTGGGAGCCTGGCGGGTGACGTAGAGTGGAAAGCCTCCGTTTTTAGGTGAGACCAGCTGTCCTCCGGGAGCTTCCAATTGAGTCAGGCGCGAACCCCCCCACCCCCCAAACCACTCCCGAGTAGAGTTCGCGAGTGGGGGTGGAGCGGGGGCGGCGGAGCTAAGCCGTCGGGGGGGGGGGGCGCGGGGCGCTCGGCCCCCCAAGCCTCCCCGGGAGGTGGGGGCGAAGGCTGGGGAGCCGTCTGCCCCGGGGTCCCGCGAGCCCCTAGGCCACCCTCCGCCACGCCCAGCCCCCCACCTCACCCCACCCGCTACTCACGTTTCTGCTCCGCTAAGGGGAGGTGAGATGTGGTGAAGGCCAGAAAGAGCTCGTTCCCCATGTCCCAGTCCAGCAGTCCCGGGACCTGGCCATGGAGGCGGGCCCAGAAGTCGAGGTGTTGGAGCTTCACGTCCACCTTCGGGGCTGGCAGAGGCGCGGCGGCGCGGAGTGGGGACGCGGAGTGGGAGCGCGGCGGCTGAGGAGCGACCCTCACAGGCGCCTTCTCAAATGCGCCGGCTCGGATTGAGTTAGCTTGGCGGCAGCTCAGGTGTGGAGCGGTCCATTTGACGCCTTTAATCTCTTCAGGACCGCGCCGAGGAACGCTTAAGAAGACCCTCCTTGACTCTACCCTTACATGCCGGGGGTCGAGGACCTGGGGATCCGGAAGGGACCCCAGATCATCTTACGCATCCTCGTTTGCCCAAGCCCCTTGCCCCTTATTTCATTGAAAAGGCGCCATGGTCAAGTGATCGTATTTATTTATTTTTATAGTTTTGCTTTAACATTGATCCTTTCTACCATAATAGTATTAGTAGTTACTTTCTAGAAGTTATGAAAGGTTTATGGTTTATCCACGATCACATCTGTAGTAGATGGTGGAGATGGAATTACATTGGATGGTGATTTGATTAAAAAAATTTTTTTTTGTCTTTTGGCCGCATGCGGTGGTTCACGCATGTAATCCCAACACTCTGGGAGGCCGAGGTGGACGGATCACCTGAGGTCAGAAGTTTGAGACCAGCCTGACCGATGGTGAGACCCCGTTTCTACTAAAAATACAAAAAAATTAGCAGTGCGTGGTGGCTCACGCCTGTAATCCCAGCTACTAGGGAGGCTGAGGCAGGAGAATCGCTTAAACCCGGGAGGTGGAGGTTGCAGTGAGCCGAGATGGTGCCACTGCACTCCAGCCTGGGGGACAATAAAATTAAAATAAAAATTTTGTTTTTAATAATTTCAGATTTGCAGAAAAATCCCAAGAATGCTACAAAAAATTCCTGTATACTTTTTCACCCAGATTGACCAATTACACCAATTATTATCATTTTATCACATTTATATTTTTATTTCCATATATACTACAAATACATTATGTTTTGCTTAACAATTTGAGAGTAATTTGCAGACATCGTGTCCCTTTACCCAAAAATATTTCTGTATTTCCTAAAAACAAGGATATTGTTTTATGTATCCAGAAAATCAGAAATCAGAAAATTTAAGATTGATTCAATGTTATATTTAATATGCAGTTCTTATTCAGATTTTACCAATTGTCCCAACAATGTCATTTATGTAAATTTTTTTTTCTGGCCGTTATCCCTTTTAGCACTATGCAATACATTTAATATCCATGTCTGTTTACTCTCCATTAATCTGGAACAATTTCTTTCTCTTTTTTTTTAAAGCCAAATTTAGCAATAGGGGGTTGTATACCAACTTTAGTGACACTAATGTTATTAATAATAAGTTCTGATAACCCACTACCATCAGACAAGCCATCTTTACTTTTTTGTTTTTTTGAGACAGGGTTTCACTTTGTCACCCAGGCTGGAGTGTAGTGGTGCAATCGGCTCACTGCAGCCTCAACTTCCTAGACTCCAGCAATCCTCCCACCTCAGCCTCCCGGGTAGCTAGGACCACAGTTGTGCGACACCATGCCCAGCTAATTTTTGGTAGAGTCAGGGTTTGCCATGTTGCCCAGGCTGGGTCTCAAACTCCTGACCTCAAGTGATCCAACTGCCTCAGCCTCTCAACGTGCTGTGATTACAGGCATGAGCCACCGCACCCGGGCTCTCTGTCTTTATAATCTTTCATAACATTGACATTTTTGAAGAGCACTGGCCATTTGTTTTGTAGAATGGCCCTCAGTTTGGATTTGGCTAATGTTTCCTCTTAATTAGAGTATGCATTTTTGGCAAGAATACTACAGAAGTGATGTTTCTTCTTTTTTTAACTTTTAGGTTCAAGTGTACATGTGCAGGTTTGCTACATATGACTCATGTCACGGGGGTTTGTTGTACAGATTATTTCATCACCTAGGTACTAAACCTAGTACGCAAGAGTTATTTTTTTCTGCTCCTCTCCCTCTTCCCATCCTCCACCCTCAAGTAGGCCCCAGTGTCTGTGTGGTTCCCCTCTTTGAGTTCATGAGTTCTTATCTTTTAGCTTCCACTTACAAGTGAGAACATGTGGCATTTGGTTTTCTGTTCTTGCATTAGTTTGCTAAGGATAATGGCCTCCAGCTTCATCCCGGTTCCCACAGAAGACATGATCTCATTCTTTTTTATGGCTGCATAGTATTCCATGATGTATATGTACCGTGCTGTATATGTACCCCTTCTCTCTTTCTTTCTTTCTTTTTCTTCCTTTCTTTCTTTCTTTCCTTCCTTCCTTCCTTCCTTCCTTCCTTCCTTCCTTCCTTCTTCCTTCCCTCCCTCCCTCCCTCCTCCCTTCCCTCCTCCCTTCTCTTCCCTCTCCTCCCTTCCCCTCCCCTCCCCTTCCCTTCCCTTCCTTTGCTCTTGTTGCCCAGGCTGGAGTACAATGGCGTGACCTCAGCTCCCAGGTTCAAGCGATTCTCTTGCCTCCACCTCCCTAGTAGCTGGGATTACAGGCGGCCCCAATGATGCCCAGCTAATTTTTGTATTTTTAGTAGAGACGAAGTTTCACCATGTTGGCCAGGCTGGTATCGAACTCCTGACCTCAAGTGGTCCTCCTGCCTTGGCCTTCCAAAGTGCTGGGATTACAGGCGTGAGCCACCGCGCCTGGCCATGCATATGTCTTTATGGTAGAATGATTTATATTCCTTTGGGTATACACCCGAAAATGGGATTACTGGGTTGAATGGTAATCACCAAACTGCATTCCACAATGGCTGAAGTAATTTACATTCCCACCAGCGGTGTATAAGGCTTTCCTTTTGTCCACAACTTTGCCAGCATGTGTTATTTTCTGACTTTGAATAATAGCCATTCTGGCTGGGCGCAGTGGCTCACGCCTGTAATCCCAACACTTTGGGAGGCCGAGGCGGGTGGATCACCTGAGGTCGGGAGTTCGAGACCAGCATGGCCAACATGGTGAAACCCCGTCTTTACTAAAAGTACAAAAATTAGCTGGGCATGGTGATGCGCGTCTGTAATCCCAGCTAATCAGGAGGCTGAGGCAGGAGAATCTCTTGAACCCCGGAGGCATAGGTTGCAGTGAGCCAAGATCGTGCCACTGCACTCTAGCCTGGGCAACAGAGAGAGACCATCTCAAAAAAAAAAAAAAAAGCCATTCTGACTGGTGTGAGATGGTATCTCATTGTGGTTTTGATCTGCATTTCTCTAATGATTGGTGGTGATGAGCATTTTCTCATGTACGTGTATATCTTCTTTTGAAAAGCATCTGTTGGCTGGTCACAGTGGCTCGTGCCTGTAATCCCAGAACTTTGGGAGGCTCAGGCGGGTGGATCACTTGAGCTCAGGAATTCAAGACCAACCTGAGCAACATGGCAAAACCCCATCTCTGCAAAAGCTACAAAAATTAGCTGGGCATGGTGGCGTGTACCTGTTGTCCCAGCTACTCGGGAGGCTCAGGTGGGAGGATTACTTGAGCCTGGGAGGCGGAGGCTGCACTAAGCTGAGATTACACCACTGCACTCCAGCCTGGGTGACAGAGTGAGACCCTCATCTAAGAAAAAAAAAGAAAGAAAGAAAAGAAAAGTGTTTCATCCTTTGTCCACTTTTTAATGGGCTTGTTTTTTTCATTGTGAATTTGTTTAAGGTCCTTGTAGATTCTGGATATCAGACCTGTGTCAGATGTGTATTTTCTCCCATTCTTTAGGTTGACTGTTTATTCTGTTGATAGTTTATTTTGCTGTGCAGAAGCTCTTAAATTGAATTAGATCCCATTTGTCAAATTTTGCCTTTGTTGCAATTGCTTTTGGTGTCTTTGTCAGGAAAGCTCAATGTTAGATTATTTGAATGCTAGTCAATAATGTTCATTGGCAATTTTTATTTTATTTTGTATTTTATTTTATTTTATTTTTTTTTGAGACGGATCTTGCTATGTCGCCCAGGCTGGAGTGCAGTGGTGCGATCTCGGCTCACTGCAAGCTCCACCTCCCGGGTTCACGCCATTCTCCTGCCTCAGCCTCCCGAGTAGCTGGGACCACAGGCGCCCGCCACCACGCCCAGCTAATTTTTTGTATTTTTAGTAGAGACGGGGTTTCACCGCGTTAGCCAGGATGGTCTTGATCTCCTGACCTCGTGATCTGCCTGCCTCGGCCTACCAAAGTGCTGGGATTACAGGCGTGAGCCACCGCGCCCGGCCTAGTGATTTTTGTAAATTGATTTTGTATGCTGAAAGTTTGCTGAAGTTGTTTACCAGCTGAGGGAGCTTTTGGGCCAAAGAAGTGATGTTTCTTTCTTAGTGCATGGCATCAAGAAGCAGATGGTGTCAGTTTGTCTCGTTATTCGTGATGTTTAACTTCAATCACTTCATTTAGTGGTATCTATCAGATTTCTCTACTGTAAAGTTATCTTTCTTCCCTTTTGTAATTAGTAAGTAATTTGTGGGGAGATATTCTGAAATTATCTAAAATCCTGTTCCTTATTAAACTTGGACTCAATAACATTCATTTATGATTCTTGACTGAATCAATCATTAGTATGATGGTTATAAAATGATAATTTTTCTAAATCTATCATTCCTTCTCCATTTATTTAGTCAGCATTCTATTGTAAAGAAGAGCTTTTTCTCCTCTCGTATTTGTTAGAATGTACTCGACAGGCACGGTGGGTCACTCCTGTAATATCAGCGTTTTGGAAGGCTGAGTTGGGAGGATGGCTTAAGCACATGAGTTTTGGACCAGCCTGGGCAACATGACAAGACACCGTCTTGACAAAAAATTTAGAAATTAGCTGGTCATCAAGGCTGCAGTGGGCTGTGATCATGCTACTGCACTCCATCCTGGGCAACAGAATGAGACTCTGTGTCAAAAAGTAAAAAATAAGAATAGACTCAATGGATTTTTTTTTTTTTTTTGAGACGGAGTCTCGCTCTTTCGCCAGGCTGGAGGGCAGGGGGCAATCTCGGCTCACTGCAACCTCCACCTCCCAGGTTTAAGTGATTCTCCTGCTTCAGCCTCCCAAGTAGCTGGGATTACAGGCATGTGCCACCACTCCCAGCTAATTTTTTTTTTTTCTCATAGAGACGGAGTTTCACCATGTTGGGCAGGCTGGTCTCGAACTCCTGACCTCAAGTGTTCCACCTGGCTTAGCCTCCCAAAGTGCTGGGATTACAGGCGTGAGCCATCGCGCCTGGCCCAACTCAATGGATCCTTATTTTGTTGATTAGGTTATAATTCATTACTGTTATTCTTTTAGTCCTAAAACTGTCCCAGACTTGCCCAGGGGGTGAGGCATCCTCCTCTGGTTCCTTGGTGTGGCATCCCGGGTTCCCCTAGCAGAGACCATCCACCCGGTACTGTGTTGCTTGTTGCCTGTGTCCTAGACCAGAAACTTTGCATAGTATTTTAGGATTTGGTACATAGGAGACCCTCAATAGATGTTGATTTAACTAAAGTGAAATCAGCAGTTTCCTCTCCCACTCTGCAAATGCTTGTGATTGGAAACAGCTTATTTTTTATTTTTTAAAATTTGCTTTATTTTGAGACAGTCATCTCCTTTCTTGCCTAGGCTGGTTTCAAACTCAAACTTGAGCCCAAGTGTTAGAGACCAGCCCGAGCAACATAGCAAGACCTCATCTCTAATAATCATAATAAGAAAAAAAGTTTGGCTAGGCATGGTGGCTCACACCTGTAATCCTAGCACTTTGGGAAGCAGGGGTGGGCAGATCACCTGAGGCCAGGAGTTCAAGACCAGCCTGGCCAACATGGTGAAACCCCGTCTCTACTAAAAATATAAAAATTAATTGGCCGGGAGCGGTGGCTCACGCCTGTAATCCCAATACTTTGGGAGGCTGAGGCGGGTGGATCACGAGGTCAGGAGTTCGAGACCAGCCTGGCCAAGATGTTGAAACCCTGACTCTACTAAAAATACAAAAATTAGCCAGGCGCGGTGGCATGTGCCTGTAATCCCAGCTACTCGGGAGGCTTAGGCAGGAGAATTGCTTGAACCTGGGAGGCGGAGATTGCAGTGAGCTGATATCGCATGACTGCACTCTAGCCTGGGCGACAGAGCAAGACTCCATCTCAAAAAAGAAAAAAAAATTAGCTAGGTGTGGTGGCACGCATCTGTAATCCGAACTACTTGGAAGGCTGATGCAGGAGAATCCCTTGAATTCGAGAGGTATAGGTTGCAGTGAGCTGAGATCGCATCATTGCACTCCAGCCTGCACAACAGAGCGAGACTGTCTCAACAACAAAAAAGTTTGCTGGGAGTCTACCTTTAATTGCAATAACAATAATCTTTTTTTTTTTTTTGAGGTAGAGTTCCACTCTGTCGCCCAGGTTGGAATGCAGTGATATGATCTTGGCTCACCGCAATCTCTACCTCCTGTATTCAAGCGATTCTCCTGCCTCAGCCTCCTGAGTAGCTGGGATCACAGGCACCCGCCACCACGCCTGGCTAATTTTTTGTGTGTCTATATATATATATTTTTGAGATGGAGTCTCGCTCTGTCGCCCAGGCTGGAGTGCAGTGGTGTGATCTCGGCTCACTGCAACCTCCGCCTCCTGGGTTTAAGCGATTCTTCTGCCTCAGACTCCCGAGTAGCTTGGATTACGGGTGCCTGCCACTGCCACACCCAGCTAATTTTTGTATTTTTATTTTTTATTTATTTTATTTTATTTATTTTTTATTGTTTTAGATGGAGTTTCGCTCTTGTTGCCCAGGCTGGAGTGCGGTGGCACAATCTCAGCTTACTGCAACCTCTGCCTTGTGGGTTCAAGCGATTCTCCTGCCTCAGCCTCCCGAGTAGCTGGGATTGCAGGCGTGTGCTACCACACCCAGCTAATTTTTGTATTTTGGGTAGAGATGGGGTTTCACCACACTGGCCAGGCTGGTCTTGAACTCCTGACCTCAGGTGATCTGCCTGCCTCAGCCTTTCAAAGTGCTGGGATTACAGGCTTGAGCCACCGTGTCCGGCCTATTTTTTATTTATTTATTTATTTATTTTTTATTATTTTTTGAGTTGGAGTCTCGCTCCGTTGCCCAGGTTGGAGTGCAATGCCGTGCTCTTCGGCTTATTGCAACCTCTGCCTCCCGAGTTCAAGCGATTCTCCTGCCTCAGTCTCCCGAGTAGCTGGGATTACAGGGGCCTGCCACCACGCCTGGCTAATTTTTGTATTTTTAGTAGAGACGGGGTTTCATCATGTTGGCCAGGCTGGTCTTGAACTCCTGACCTCAAATTATCTGCCCGCGTTGGACTCCCAGAGTGCTAGGATTACAGGTGTGAGCCACTGCGCCCGGCTGGTACTATACTTTTTTTTTTCCCTTCTGCCATCAAAGTTGTTGTATTTTTAGTAGAGACGGAGTTTTACCGTGTTGGCCAGGCTGGTCTTGAACTCCTGACCTCAGGTGATCCACCTTCTTCAGCCTCCCAAAGTGCTGGGATTACAGGTGTGAGCTACCACACCTGGCCAACAATAATAAGTTTAATGATAATTTTTCTACCCTAATTATACAAATATATGTTTGGTATGGGTACCAAGGCTCAAGCCTGTAATCCCAGCACTTTGGGAGACAAAGGTAGGAAGATCTCCAGAGCAAGACCTTCTCTCTATTGTTTTATTTTATTTTTTTTGAGACAGTCTTATTCTGTCACCCAGGCTAGAGTGCAGTGGCGTGATCATGGCTCACTGCAGCCTCAACCTCCAGGGCTTAAGCAATCCTCCCACCTCAGCCTCCTGAGTAGCCGGGACTACCTGAGCACCACCATGCCTGGCTAAATTTTGATTTATTTATTTTTTTTATTTTTATTTTTTGAGACAGAGTGTCACTCTTGTTGCTCAGGCTGGAGCGCAATGGTGCGATCTCGGCTCACCGCAACCTCTGCCTCCCAGATTCAAGCAATTCTCCTGCCTCAGCCTCCCAAGTAGCTGGGATTACAGGCATGCACCACCATGCCTGGCTAATTTTGTATTTTTAGTAGAGACAGAGTTTCTCCATGTTGAGGCTGGTCTTGAACTCCTGACCTCAGGTGATCCGCCCGCCTTGGCCTCCCAAAGTGCTGGGATGACAGGCGTGAGCCACCGCGCCCGGCCAATTTTGATTTATTTTTGTAGAGATGAGCTCTTACTATGTTGCCTAGGCTGGTCTCAAACTCCTGGACTCCTGCAATCCTCCTGCCTCTGCCTCCCAAAGTGCTGGGATTACATGCATGAGCCACTGTGCATGAATCCTGTCTCTAAAGAAAAAAAATAATGTGCACAGAACTTGAATTGACATTTATCCAAAGAAAAAATATACAAATAATCAATAAGCACAGGAAGAGATGTATATATCATTAGAGAAATGCAAATCAAAACCACAGTGAGATACCACTTCATACTTCATAGGATGGCTTCATAGGATGGCTGTTAGAAAAAACAAACAGGCTGGGTATGGCGGCTCACACCTGTAATCCCAGCACTTTGGGAGGCCAAGGCGGGTGGATCCCTTGAGGTTAGGAGTTCCAGACCAACCTGGCCAACATAGCAAAACCCAGTCTCTGCTAAAAGTACAAAAATTAGCCGGGAGTTGTGGTGGACACCTGTGATCCCAGCTGAGGCAGGAGAATCACTTGAACCCAAGAGGCAGAGGTTGCAGTGAGCCAAGATCACGCCACCGCACTCCAGCCTGGGTGACAAGAGTGAAACTCTGTCTCAAAAAAAAAAAAAATTAAAAACAAGAAAAAGAAAAGTTTGGCAGTCCCTCAAAAAAATTACGCATAGGATTACCATATAATTCAGCAATTCTATTTCTGATTATATACCTAAAAGGACTGAAAGCAGAGACTTGAACCAATATTTGCATCCCATGTTCACAGCAACATTATTCACAATAGCCAATAGCCAAAGAGTGGAAATAACGCAAGTGTTCATCAACAGATGAACAGATAAACCAAATGTGGGATATCCATATGATGGAATATTATTCAGCCATAAAAAGGAATAATGCTGCTAGGTGCAGTGGCTCACACCTGTAATCCCAGCACTTTGGGAGGCCGAGGTGGACAGATCACTTGAGGCCAGGAGTTTAGACCAGCTTAGCCAACATGGCGAAACCCCGTCTCTACTAAAAATACAAAAATTAACCAGGCATGGTGGTGCACGCCTGTAATCCCAGCTATTCTGGAATCAGCCTTTTTTTGAGGCTCGGTCTCAAAAAAACAAAAACAAAAACAAAAACGAATGAAATTCTGATACATGCTAGGACATGGATGAACCTTGAAGACATTATCCTTAGTGAAATAAGCCAGACACAACAGGATAAATTTTATATAATTCCTCTTATATGAGGTACCTACAGTGACCCAAATTCATAGTAAAATGGTAGTTTCCGGGGGCTGAAGGGATTAGTAGTAGAGGGTTATTGTTTAATGGGTATAGAGTTTCTATTTGGGATGATGAAAAATTTGGGAATGGACACTGGTGATAGTTGTGCAATGTCAATATACTTAATGCCACTGAAATGTCCATTTAAAACCGGTTAAATTAGTAGTACTTTTTTTTTTTTTTTTCTTTGAGACAGAGTCTTGCTCTGTCGCCTAGGCTGGAGTGCAGTGGCATGATCTCGGCTCAGCTCACTGCAACCTCCGCCTCCCAGGCTTAAGCAATTATCATGCCTCAGCCTCGCAACTAGCTGGGACTACAGGCGCGCACCACCACGCCCAGCTAATTTTTTGTATTTTAGTAGAGATGGAGTTTCACCATGTTGCCCAGGGTGGTCTCGAACTCCTGAGGTGAGGCAATCTGCCCGCCTCACAAAGTGCTAGGATTACAGCTGTGAGCCACTGCATCTGGCCAAAGTAGTACATTTTATGTTATGTATATTTTGTCACAATTTTAAATAATGTGTAGGTGGGTGTGGTGGCTCACATCTGTAATCCCAGTGATGGCCGTGGCTGCTGGCATCATGTCAGCTGCAGCAGGTAACCGCGGCTGGGTCTGCATACTCTGTGGGGCCAATGGGAGCCCTGCCCCTTCTGAGTTGGGAAGGGAGCTCCCCGAGCCGCTGCAGCCACCCAAACGCAGCTGCAGACCCAGACCTCCTGCTCTATGGAGCAGGCAGGAGCCCTGCCCAGGAGGCTACAGCTGCCCAAACCGCAGCTGTGGATCCTTGCCTTCCTGTGCTTTTGGGGGAGCCCGGAACAGGCAGGATCTGCCTTCCTGGGTGCGGCCGCAGACCTCGGCCTCCTGCTCCAGGAAGCAGGCAGGAGCCAGGGAAAAGCAGGAGCCCTGCCCCTTCTGAGTTGGCAGGGTGGGAGGTCCTGGGTGCAGCTGCGGCCCCCCTCCCAGACACAGGACCCTGGTGTCTCTGCACCTTCAGGGGCCCCAGGAAGAACCCCCCACCCTGAGCCCCCATCCCTGCAGGCTTATGGGTGTCTGCTCCCACTGCCTGGCCTCTCTCTGCTCCCAGCACCTGCTCCGATCTCAGAAAGGAGCGGGGTTGGGGCCAAGCCCAGGGGTCATGAATGGCAGTGGGAGGCAGACAGAGTCCTGGGTGGGAAGGGGTGGGGCCCTCAGTAAGTCCCCACCCTCAGGCCAGGGAGGGCCTGAAAGCTGGGGGCTGGGCTGCCAGTCCCACTGACCGGAGTGGGGACTTGTGATGCCTCTTATGGGCTTGCCCACGGCTGCCTATGGACTTTTCTCCCCTCTGATGTCCATAAAAGCCCTGGGCTCAGCCAGAGCAGGGCAGAGGATGGCCAGAGGATGAAGAGGGCAGAGAGACAATGGGATTTGACGACCAGCTGCAGAAAGGAGTACCCTTTCTGCTGATAGCAGGTGACGATGGGACAACCAGCTGCGGAGGGTGTACCCTCTCTGCTGAGAGCCATAGAGACGACCTGCTGGTGGAGAGGAGCTACCCTCTCTTCTGAGAGCTTCAGAGACCTGCAGAGACATCAGAATGACTTGTCTGCAGAGAGGAGCCACCCTCTCCAGGGCCTCCTCTCTGCTAGGAGCTGAGCACTCCTCCAAGCTGTCCGAACTCTAAATAAAACTCTTTGGCCTGGCGCGGTGGCTCACAACTGAATCCCAGCACTTTGGGAGGCCAAGGTGGTTGGAGCACCTGAGATCGGGAGTTTGAGACCAGCCTGACCAACATGGAGAAACCCTGTTTCTACTAAAAATACAAAATTAGCCAGGCATGATGGCACATGCCTGTAATCCCACCTACTCAGGAGGCTGAGGCAGGAGAATTGCTTGAACCTGGGAGGCAGAGGTTGTGGTGAGCTGAGATGGCACCACTGCATTCCAGCCTGGGCAAGAAGAGCGAAACTCCGTCTCAAAACAAACAAACAAACAAACAAACAAACCCTTTTCTTCACCCTTCACTTGTCTGCATACTTCATTCTTCCTGGATGCATGACAAGAACTCAGGCAAAGACGTCATGGCCACAGAGGTTTCCAGCCAGAAAAGTTGACATCCCAGAGATCCCGTAACACCAGCACTTTGAGAGGCTAAGGCAAGAGTGTCACTTGAGCCCAGGAGTTTGAGACCAGCCTAGGCAACATAGTGAGATGCCAACTCTACAAAAACATTTAAACGTTAGCTGGGTATGGTGGTACACACCTGTATTTCTAGCTATGCAGAGACCTGAGGCGGAAGGATTGTTTGAGCCCAGGATTTTGAGGCTGCAGTGAGCTAAAATTGAGACACTGCACTCCAGCCTGGGTGTCAGAGCGACAGAGCGACGGGGTTTTGCCTTGTTGTCCAGGCTGGTCTCCTGGGCTCAAGCAACCCTCCTGCCTCAGCCTCCCAAAGTACTAGGATTACAGGTATGAGCCACTGTGCCCGGCTTGCTTGCTTGCTTGCTTGCTTGCTTTCTCTCTCTCTTTTTCTTTCTCTCTCTCTTTACCTCTCTCTTTCTTCCTTTCTTCCTTCCTTTCCTTCCTCTTTCTTTTGGGCACTTTCCTAGCTCTGTCCTTCTCTTTAGAGGCTGGTTCATTCATTTGTGCATTTGTTTGTTCACTTATTCAGCAAGCATTTATTGAGTATCTGCTGTGTCCCAGGCACTGTGGAGCAAAGATACCATATGCCCTTGGGAGCAAAGCAACTGCTTACAGTCTGATGGGAGAGACAACCAAATAATCACACAAACCCATGGTTATAAACCGTGGTAATGCTATGAAAGACAGGAGAGTGGAACCCAACCAAATAGGAGAAAATGGAGGTCAGAGAAGGCTTCCCTGGAGAAGGGACAGTAAGCTAACTATGAAAACCGGAATGGAGGTGTTGGGGGGTGGTGCCAATATCAGTGTGGCTGTATGGAATAGTTGTGCAAAGGCCCTGAGGCAAGAGGGAGCCTGGGAAATTGGAGGGAATCTGGTAAGAGCTGAGGAACAGTTACGGGATCAGGCCTGGCCTTGAAGGTCTTTACCCTAAGTACAATGCAAAGATCACTGATCCTTAAAAAGAATATGTTATATACTGCAGAGGACAAAAGTGAAGGAATGTGGCCACTCCTGCCTTTTTCCCTCAGTACTAGGCTGTTCCACTCTTGGCCCACTCCAACCAGGGTTCTTCTGCTTTCGTTCTCACCTCCTAGAATACTTTTAGCCTGTTCTTCTCTCTCCTGACCCCAATGCCCCATTCTTGGGTCTCAGCCTGGTGGCCTCGTCTTTGTCTTTTTTTTTTGAGACAGGGTCTCACTCCATCACCCAGGCTGGAGTGCAGTGGTGTGATCTTGGCTCACTGCAACTTCCACCTCCTGAGTTCAAGCGATTCTCATGCCTCAGCCACTGGGATGAGAGCTGGGATGTAGCTGGGGTTATAGGCACCTGCCCGAACACCTGGCTATTTTTTTTTTTTTAATATTTAGTAGAGACGGGGTTTCATCATGTTGGCCAGGCTGGTCTCAAACTCCTGACCTCAAGCCAGCTGACCGCCTTGGCCTCCCAAAGTGGTGGGATTACAGGCATGAGCCACTGCACCTGGCCTGTCTTTTCCCAGACAGATCCTCTCCTCTTTTCCCTAGCACTTCCCTTGCTCTGCCTGCCCCCCACCCCCACCCCCAGGCCTCCAGGCCTCCACATGGGGCACCAGCCCCAGCTTCTGCCCTGACCTGCACCCCTAGTTGAGTGGCCCACTGTGTACTGTGGATGCTGCCAAACCCACAGCCCCGGTGTGTCTCTGAGAACTCTGACTGCTGGGCTCTTACTGGCCCCTGCCTGCCTCATGGGAAAAGTAACTCTGGGCTGTGGGGCAGGGAGGGGACCAGGAGCACCTGCAGCTTGGACATAGATTCCACAGGTTTGAGCCAAGGTAGAGCCCACTAAAGGGAAACACATGTGGCAGATGCAGCCTCAGCCTTTATTATAGGGACTTAGTTCACTGAAGGATGGGGGAATTGTTATGGGGGTGTTTAAAGTGGTAAAATGGGAGGAAAGTCAACTCTGACAGGAGTGGGGTGAGAGGAATAATGGAGTGTTGGAAGGTGAGGCACTGGGGGCAAGGAGAGGGACAGAGGGAGGAGAGGGCTCTAGGGGAGAGGAGGGCAGGAGGAGGAGGCGAGGGCACCAAGGGAGCCACAGGCCTGGGGCCTGGGAGCAGGTGGGCTGGGGAGCTGGATGGTGCCCTGGGCTTCCTGGAGAAGCTGCTGCTCCGGGCAGACCTCCTTACTTGCGGGAGCCCAGTGCCAGGGCAATGATGAAGCCCAGCACCAGCAGGAACATGGCGACAGAGAGCAGCACCGTGATGACCACCATGCCCCCTGTGCGGGCCATACCCAGCCCAATGGATTCCATGTTCCTTCCTGTCAAAAGAGAGGGGAGACCACTGTGGGCGGGAGAGACCCCCAGCCTGCCTGAGGCTCACGGCCTCACACTCATCCAGCCAACAGACTGCCCAACCAACCAGCCAGCCAGCCAGCCAGCCAGCCAGCCAACCAACCAACCAACCAACCAGCTGATGGATCCAAACACCCATCACATAGACATTTATGAAGCATCTCCTATGTCAGCCGCTGAGGAAAAGTTAAGAGGACACAGTCCCTGCCCACGAGGAACCTTTAGCTGAGTGTGCAGTAGCCATGCCGAAGGTTCCGTGCTAGGATAGAGGTAAGCAGGGGCCCCGAGGGCGCACGGGGAGGCACAGGCAACCCAGACTGGGGATGAGGCAGGAATGGTCAGGGAAGCGTTTGTGGCCGCTGAGATGGGAAAGGGAGGCGGGAGTGTTACTTACGAGGGAGTGTGGACATTGGGATCTCTCTGCTGGACTCAGTGGCTGTCCCCTTCTTCACTAGGTAGGAAATGCTTTTGTGGTTTGGGAGAGAGTAGAGAACCCTCAGTGAGTATTGGGACTTACAGGAAGAGGGGCTCCAGCCTGGGCCACCTACCCTCACAGCTGTGTCTCCCCTATGTGCACTCCTCCAAGAGGCCCAGCTTTCACCCCCTTTTGCTGTGCCCTCACCCTCTCCTCATGCCCACCAGATCTCCCCCACACTAGCTTCTCTCTCTTCCTGCACCCCCTTCCCTAGGTGCCTCAGGCTGGACCCAGTACCTACTAGAATTTGGTTCCTGGCACGAGGTTTGTCACCTGGTATGCACTGAGCCGAGTGACTGTGAAGCCAGCACCACTGTCCACCACACTCACCAGTTCCCTGCGCCCACGGCACGGAGGCACCACAAAGCTGGACGTCACCACTGGGCAGAAGTGGCGGGAGGGGAAGACTGGGTCAAGTTTCTGGAGGCCCCAAGGAGAAGGGGCAGCTTTTAGAGTGTGGGTACCCCAGGAGACGGGTGGACAGGAAGGCATGAATGGGGAAAAGGGTGCAGAGGGTGTCGCAGGAAGGGGTCTTTGGGGACTAGAGGGATGCCTTGGGAGAAGGTAGCAGACCTTTGCTGTCATTGGCTCTCCGGACCATCAGTGTGGCATTGCCTCCTGTGAGGTGACAGGGGGGCAAGGCAACCAGCAGGCTCTCCGTTAGCGCCGGGGACAGCAGACCAGAGAGGCTTGAGATGTTGAAGTCTGATGGGAGGCAGGAGGGAGCTCCGATGGGGACTGACCCCTCCTGGCCAACAGATCTGGCCCGGTCCCATTGGAGCCATCTCCCTTTCCACTCTGTGAACCCTGGGCAGAACAGCCAGGCCTGTGCCAGTATGACCACCAGGTGGCAGGCTTGGGCTGCAGAAGCTGCACCCTCCACCAAGCGGTCCCCAGAGCCAGAACCTGGATGCCAGGAGTCGGGCAGCGCCCAACCTCACCCCTCCCCGCAGCATCGGATCCTTGCCCACACCTCTCTGCCTCCTAGGTCTGGAGGAGGATCAGGAGTGTACCCTGAGCCCAGTGTCTGATACCCAGTCACTGCCATCACCAGCCCTGACTCCCAACTGTCCAGACCTCTCTTTGAGAGCCCTGGAAGGTACAGTGCTCCCTGTCCAGGCCCCCAGCCCCCTTCCCACCCCTGCCAGAGATGGAAGAGACCTGCAGCCCCTGGGGACAGCAGAGCCAGCAGAATCAGGATCAAGGGCAAGGTCCGGATGGGCAGCAGGGGTGCCATGCTGGGCTGGGAGGTGGAATAGGTGCTGGCAGGCTGGGGTTCCTGAGGCAAGTGAGGCCCTGCCCCTGGGGTGGCTGATTTTGTCCTGGGGGTGGGAGGGGCTGGAGGGGAATCCAGTCCAACCTGCCCCTTGGGCCCTATAGCCTCAAAGGGGTGGGGAGAGCAGACAGGTTTTTCAGGATGGGGAGCTGGCCCTCAGGCCAGGAGGGGGGATGCCCTGGCTGGGTCTTGATGGTGTAACTAAGGTGGGGAAAGAAATCACCCCTTCTTCTGGGACTCCCGTGCATAAGGCAGTGTTCCTGTGTGCACGGGCATCTGGAGACTGGCCAGTCCTTGGAGGACTGCTCCCCCGATGTGGTGGGGGTCTTTCCCCCACCCCTCAGAAGGGTGATGAGTTTGGAAGTTGCCCTGATATGTAGGAAGAGAATACTCCAAGGGGCTACTGAAAGGGCCTTGAGTGGGTAAGAATGGGAGAGAAACATTCTGGTGGGGAGGGGCAGCAGACTGAGGGTTTCAATTCTTGGAGTGCACTGAGGCTTAGGTACTGCTGCTCTGGGAGAGGCAGGGGCTGTGGGGGCCAGGGAGCACATGCGGTTTCAGATTCCTCTGGAGGGTGGGGACGAAGGTGGCCATGGAAGACTTCTGGAGAGACCAGAGAGACAGACATTGACCCTGGCCAGCAGGGGTTGGGGGTGGGCACAGTCAGCCTTGGGCAGCAACCATTTGTTGAACTGAGAATGGAGAAAAGAGACCTCGTAAGATAACATGAAAAAGAGACAGAACTTCCCTGACTGCCTCCTCCAGCCCTGGGCTACATCAGAAAGAAGCAGAGGAGTTCTGAGCAGAGGGAGGGGAGAGGAGTCAGGACGTCTTCCGGGCCCTGGGTAGGGGTTCTGTGTGCTCCATTGTAGCCCTACAGCCACCCTGGGTGGTAGCTGGTACTGGCTTCCTTTTGTAGTAGAACTGAGGCCAGGCACAGTGGCTCATGCCTGTAATCCCAGCACTTTGGGAGGCCAAGGTGGGAGGATCACTCGAGGCCAGGAGTTCAAGACCAGCCTAGGCAACACAGAGAGTTTGATCTCTATTAAAATAGAAAAGAGATCAGCCGGGCGTGGTGGCTCATGCCTGTAATCCCAGCACTTTGGGAGGCCGAGGTGGGCGGATCACCTGAGGTCAGGAGTTCGAGATCAGCCTGGCCAATATGGCGAAACACCATCTCTACCAAAAATACAAAAACTAACGCGGTGGTGTGTGCCTGTAATCCCAGCTACTCGGGAGGCTGAGACAGGAGAAACACTGGAACCCAGGAGGTGGAGGTTGCAGTGAGCCGAGATTGTGCCCCTGCACTCCAGCCTGGGCAACTAAGTGAAACTCTGTCTCAGAAAATTGAGAGAGAGAGAGAGAGAGAAAAGTGGAAACTGAGACTCAGACACATAGAGTTACTTGTGGAAAGTGGAATACTTTGTCGGGAGAGGCTGTAGAACTTCCAGAAGCCTGAGAGCTGTACAGAGACTGTTGCTGTATATCTGTTTGCTCCACGAACTATTCTATCTTCCTCAGTCCCAGGGAAGCTTAGGGTCCTGGTAGGAATGTGAGGGAGGTTGTGTCCTTACCGCCAAGGTGGGAAGGGTAGGCTCAAAGTTTGGGGTGAGTGGAGAATGACAGTAAAGGAAGAACTCATGGGCCTAAGCAGAGAGTAGGAGGGTCTTACGCCAGTGCATCTCCAAATTTAATATGCGTATGAATTACCAGGGATCTTGTTAAGATGCAGCTTCTCATGCAGTCATGCAGTGGGTCTGGGGTGAAGCCTGAAATTCTGCATTTTTTTTTTTTTTTGAGACAGAGTCTCGCTGTGTCACCCAGGCTGGAGTGCAGTGGCGTGATCTCGGCTCACTGCAACCTCTGCCTCCCAGGTTCAAACGATTCTCCTGCCTCAGCCTCCTGAGTAACTGGGATTATAGGCATGTGCCACCATTCCCAGCTAATTTTTGCATTTTTAGTAGAGATGAGGTTTCACCATGTTGGCCAGGCTGGTCTCAAACTCCTGACCACAAGTGATCCACCCGCCTTGGCCTCCCAGAGTGTTGGGATTACAGGTGTGAGCCACCGTGCCCAATCAATTCTGCATTTCTAGTGACTTCCCCGTAACACTGATGATGCCGGTCTGAAAGGCCCACACTTGAAGTTGCCAGCTGCTCTGTATTGGTAAACAGCATCCCCACCCCCAGCTGGATCCTCTTCCACGGACATCAGGGATCAGGGCAGGTGTTCCTTCCCAATCTGCCCGAACAGGCTGCTTTTGGGTGAAGAATTTGGTTCTGTTTTTCCTGCACCTTGGCTTTTGATTCCACCACCACTGCACAAATGGAAAGAGGGTCTCTTGCACATTAAGGACAACTTGGGAGAGAGGGGACAGATTAAATGGTGGAATGCCAGGGTGAGGGGATCTTCCTGGTACTCCTCAAAACCTGTCACCCACCAGTAAGTTGTTTACACTTGAACTGGGAGGTCTTTCTCCTCATTCACAACCAAGAAGCAGAAAGAAGAGGTTGGGTTTATTGCAGGGTGGGTTGAGTTGGGTCCACTCTTAAGCCCCCATCCCCATCTAAAATTATGAGTGGTACAGAGTGGAGTAGGGGAGGGCAGATCTCTGATCAGATTTTAAAGGGATAAGAGGGCCCTGTGCCTTTAAGCTCTCCCTTCTCCCTCCAATCCCCCCCCCCCACCTTCCCCACCCCAGCCCTCCCCAGGTTTCTGGAGGAGCGGGGAGTTGCGTCTTCTCCCTGCCCTGCCGAGCTGCTCACTGGCTGCTCTGGAGGCTGTGCTTTGCGGTCTCCATGGAAACCATTAGTTGCTAAGCAACTGGAGCATCATCTGTGCTGAGCTCTCGCATCTAATTATCCCATCACAGCAGCCGAGAAGGGTTTGGGGAGCTGAGAGGAGGGGGAGGCCAAGCCCAGGAGCAAGAGGATAACTCTTTTAGCAGAGCAGATTCATTGACAATGCTGAAGTCAGTTAAAGCCACAGCACCATGTTCCTCTGGAGGATTTCCCAATGGCTTGGAGTAAGGGAACCAGGGCCACATGCCTGAAGTCTCTGTCTTGGACCCACTCTTTCTAGGCTGTCTCCTCCTTGGATTCTTGATTCTAAACTCTCTTGAGTTCCCTCCCCTGCCTCCTCTCTTCCAAATCTCCTATTCAAGCACTCCTATTGCGTACCAACTATGTCCTTGGAACTGCACTAGCCACCAGGGATATAAAGGTAAGATAAGTCTCTGCCCTCAGGGAGCTCTTAACAGCTCTAGTCTGCTCAGCCTAGAAGACTATCTCCTAAAACAAACTTCTTTCTGGACTGTGGCACCTTTTTTTTTTTTTTTTTTTTTTCACTTGAACTATGGCAGTTCTTCAACCAGGAGAGCTGGGATCAGAACCCAGGTCCGTCTGACATGCCCAGGGTTCTCCTTCCAGAGTGCCACTCTCTGCCTCCCAGTCAATTAGAAAAACATGTCTACTTGGCTGCATGGCCATGTCAGCCTCTGATGGCAGCTACTGTCCTCTTGTTGATGAGATACCATGTAACTTTAGGTGGACTTCAATGTTCTCACATTTAAAATGGAAGACTTGGCCAGGTGCGGTGGCTCACGCCTGTAATCCCAGCAGTTTGGGAGGCCGAGGCGGGTGGATTACCTGAGGTCAGGAGTTTGAGACCAGCCTGGCCAACATGGTGAAACCCTGTCTCTACTAAAAATACAAAAATCAGCCGGGTGTGGTGATGCATGCCTGTAATCCCAGCTACTTGGGAGGCTGAGGCAGGAGAATCGCTTGAATCCAGGAGGTGGAACTTGCAGTGAGCTGAAATCATGCCACTGCACTCCAGCCTAGGCAACAGAGTGAGACTCCATCTCAATAAAATGAAATAAAAAATGGCAGACTCACCAGGCACAGTGACACATGCCTGTCATCTCAGCACTTTGGGAGGCTGAAGTAGGAGGATCACTTGGGACCTGGAGTTTGAGACCAGCCTTGTGACGCAGCAAGGCTCCATCTCTACAAAACTGAAAAAAAAATTATGGCCAGGCGCTGTGGCTCACAGCCTGTAATCCCAGCACTTTGGGAAGCCAAGGTGGGAAGATTGCTTGAGCCCAGGAGTTCAAGACCAGCCTGGGTGATATAGTGACATCTCTTCTCTATTAAAAAAAAAAAAAAAAAAGCCTGGGCACGGTGGCTCACGCCTGTAATCCCAGCACTTTGGGAGGCTGAGGCGGGCAGATTATAAAGTCAGGAGTTCGAGACCAGTCTGGCCAACATAGCGAAACCCCGTCTCTACTAAAAATACAAAAAATTAGCAGGTATGGTGGTGTGCGCCTGTAATCCCAGCTACTTGGGAGGCTGAGGCAGGGGAATTGTGTGAACCCGGGAGGCGGAGGTTGCAGTGAGCCGAGGTCCCACCATTGCACTTCAGCCTGGGTGACAGTGCGAGACCCCGTCTCAAAAACAAAAACAAAACAGGCCAGGGTGGTG
Organism: Homo sapiens; assembly: GCF_000001405.40. Lineage (NCBI taxonomy): Eukaryota > Metazoa > Chordata > Mammalia > Primates > Hominidae > Homo > Homo sapiens. Next base: position 118,951,830 of record NC_000011.10, on the reverse strand, counting down.
GCTCACACCTGTAATCCTAGCACTTTTGGAGGCTGTGTTGGGTGGATCACCTGAGGTCAGGAGTTCAAGACCAGCCTGACCAACATGGTGAAATCCCCTCTTTACTAAATACAAAAAAGAATCACTTGAACCCGGGAGATGGAGGTTGCAGTGAACTGAGATCATGCCATTACACTCCAGCACGGGCAGCAAGAGCGAAACTCCATCTCAAAAAACAAACAAACAACAACAACAAAAAAACAATGAGCTGGGCATGGTGGCACATGCCTCCAGTCCCAGCTACTTGGGAGGCTATGGCGGGAGGATGGCTTGAGCCCAGGAGTCTGAGGCTTTGGTGAGCCATGATTGCACCACTGCACTCCAGCCTGGGTGACAGAGCTGGAAATAAAGTATATAAAGAGAAGACCCCTTCCTTACTCAGGAGGTCAAACTATGTGACAGGTGTAAAAATGGTTTAAAATAAAGGTGTGGAAGAAATGCTGGAGATCATTGTCATAATCCTAGGAACAGCCAGGGATGGGGGAGTCCTGGAGGATTGGATTTGGAGGTAAGATGCGGTGCTCACCAAATGTTGGTCCATTGGGAAGTGGTGGCACCTCTATCCTTGAGACCTGAGGCTGGAAAATGCTGTGAGGATGAGAAAATACCAGTCATTCAGGGTTGGAGGAGACTTGAATGCTCCATTTTAAAAAATGTAGCCGCCCTGCGTGGTGGCTCACGCCTGTAACCCCAACACTCTGGGAGACCGAGGAGGGTGGATCACCTGAGATCGGGAGTTCGAGACCAGCCTGACCAACATGGAGAAACCCTGTCTCTACTAAAAATACAAAATTAGCCAGGCGTGGTGGCACATGCCTGTAATCCCAGCTACTTGGAAGGCTGAAGCAGGAGAATCGCTTGAACCCGGGAGGTGGAGATTGCGCCATTGCACTCCAGTCTGGGCAACAAGAGTGAAACTGTCTCAAAAAAAAAAAAAAAAAAAAAGTAGCCTCTGATACAACCACTTACCCCAAATCTTCTTCCAGCTTTGTGACTTTTGCCAAGTTACATACCTCACTAACTGCTCTGAGCTTCAGCTTCCTCTGCTGTAAAAAGGGTATAAAACCAGGCCAGGCATGGTGGCTCATGCCTGTAACCCCAGCACTTTGGGAGGCTGAGGTGGGCAGATCACGAGGTCAGGAGTTCGAGATCAGCCTGGCCAACATGGTGAAATGCCGTCTCTACTAAAAATACAAAAAATTAGCTGGGCATGGTGGCAGGTGCCTGTAATCCCAGCTACTCGGGAGGCTGAGGCAGGAGAATTGCTTGAACCTGGGAGGCAGTAGTTGCAGTGAGCCGAGACCACGCCACTGCACTCCAGCCTGGGCAACAGAGCCAGACTCCGTCTCAAAAAAAAAAAAAAAAAAAATTAAAGGGTATAAAACCTGTCTCACAACCATCTGATCTTTGACAAACCTGACAAAAACAAGAAATGGGGAAAGGATTCCCTATTTGATAAATGGTGCTGGGAAAACTGGCTAGCCATATGTAGAAAGCGGAAACTGGATCCCTTCCTTACACCTTATACAAAAATTAATTCAAGATGGATTAAAGACATAAATGTTAGATCTAAAACTATAAAAACCCTAGAAGAAAACCTAGACAATACCATTCAGGACATAGGCATGGGCAAGGACTTCATGACTAAAACATCAAAAGCAATGGCAACAAAAGCCAAAATAGACAAATGGGATCTAATTAAACTAAAGAGCTTCTGCACAGCAAAGAAGCTACCATCAGAGTGAACAGGCAACCTACAGAATGGGAGAAAATTTTTGCAATCTACCCATCTGACAAAGGGCTAATATCCAGAATCTACAAAGAACTTAAACAAATTTACAAGAAAAAAACCCCATCAAAAAGTGGGCAAAGGATATGAACAGACACTTCTCAAAAGAAGACATTTATGCAGCCAACAGACATGAAAAATGCTCATCATCACTGGCTATCAGAGAAATGCAAATCAAAACCACAATGAGATACCATCTCACACCAGTTAGAATGGCGGTCATTAAAAAGTCAGGAAACAACAGATGCTGGAGGGGATGTGGAGAAATAGGAACACTTTTACATTGTTGGTGGGAGTGTAAACTAGTTCAACCATTGTGGAAGACAGTGTGGCGATTCCTCAAGGATCTAGAACTAGAAATACCATTTGACCCAGCGATCCCATTACTGGGTATATACCGAAAGGATTATAAATCATGCTACTATAAAGACACATGCACACATATGTTTATTGCAGCACTATTCATAATAGCAAAAACTTGGAACCAACCCAAATGTCCATCAATTATAGACTGGATTAAGAAAATGTGGCACATATACACTATGGAATACTATGCAGCCATAAAAAAGGATGAGTTCACATCCTTTGCAGGGACATGGATGAAGCTGGAAACCATCATTCTGAGCAAACTATCACAAGGACAGAAAACCAAACACCACATGTTCTCACTCATAGGTGGGAATTGAACAATGAGAACACTTGGACACAGGGCAGGGAACATCACATATAAGGGCCTGTCATGGGGTAGGGGGCAGGGGGAGGGATAGCATTAGGAGAAATACCTAATGTAAATGAACCTAATGAGTTAATGGGTGCAGCAAACCAACATGGCACATGTATACGTATGTAATAAACCTGCACGTTGTGCACAACTACCCTAGAACTTAAAGTATAATAATAAAATTAAATAAATAAAATTTAAAAACCTGTCTCGTTTGGATATTGTGACTCTCCCTAAGGCAATTTTTTTTTTTTTTTTTTTGGAAATGGATTTTGGCTCTGACGCCCAGGCTGGAATGCACTGGCATGACTCGGCTCACTGCAGCCTCTGCCTCCCAGGTTCAAGGAATTCTCCCACCTCAGCCTCTTGAGTATCTGGGATTACAGGCACATGCCACCACGCCCAGCTAGTTTTTTGTATTTTTAGTAGAGACAGGGTTTTGCCACGTTGGCCAGGCTGGTTTTGAACTCCTGGCCTCAAGTGATCTGCCTGCCTCAGCCTCCCAAAGTACTGGGATTACAGGCATGAGCCAATGTGCCCGGCCCCTCAAGCGAATTTATTTATGAGTGCCTAGCACAGTATCTGGCTCAATAAACATTAATGTAAGTAATTCACTTTATCTTTTTATTAACCTTCATTGCAGAAGAAGACTAGAGACAATAAATGACTTTCCCAAGGTCACAGGGAATGAAGTTGGATATGATTCACAATTTGTTTTTCCAGCTGTGTTACTGATGCAGAGGGAGCTATTTGGACAGGGAAAGGTAGTCCGAGGGGGAAAGTGACTGAGCTGTGGACCTGCTCTTCCTGTGTGCCAAGCATGCCACAGGGGTGCCAGGCACACAAGAACTGCCCGGTCATTTGTTCACTCATCACACATTTGTTGAGCAATTCCTCTATGGTGGGTACTGTATTAGGGTCTGAGATACAGAGAGGACAAGACACAGTTTCTGCTCTCAAAACTTGCTGGGCTTTGAAGAATGAATCAGAGTTAGCCTGGTTGAGATAAGTGGAAGGGCATATTCCAAAAAGAGGGAGCGGCCTATGAAAAAGCTTAGGGATGTGAATTATGCTGACACCCTCTGGGAACTGCAAACAATACATCTTGGCTGGAGAGAAGTATTCAAAGATGGGCATGGTGGGAGCTACAGCCACTGGCTTTGTATCCCACGCTAAGGAGCGTGTTTCTTAGCAAGCCTTAGAGGAGTTTAAAATGTGTAAAGATCATTCTGGCAACAGTGTGGAGAATGGATTGGCAGCAGGTAAGACATAAAGCAGGGAAACTAAGTGAGAAACAAAATGATCCAGGTGAAAAAGTTCATGGCCAAGCAATGAACATGGGAGTGGAGAGAAGCAGACAGACTGCAGTGATTTTAGGGAAAGATTGACTGGAATCAGTGACTGACTGCAGAGTAATTTTAGGATGGAAGAATCAAGAACAATTTCCAGATGTATGGCTTGGAGCAGATTTGAAGGGAGGACTGGGGAGAAGGAAGTTCATTTGTGGGCTGGGCACAGTGGCTCACACCTGTAATCCCAGCACTTTGGGAGGCAGAGGCGGGTGGATCACTTGAGGTCAGGAGTTCCAGACCAGCCTGACCAAGATGGTGAAACCTCGTCTCTACTAAAAATACAAAAATTAGCCAGGCATGCTGGCACGTGCCTGTAATCCCAGCTACTTGAGAGGCTGAGGCAGGAGAATTGCTTGAACCTGGGAGGCGGAGGTTGCAGTGAGCAGAGATCGCGCCACTGCACTCCAGCCTGGGCAAAGAAGCGAGACTCCATCTCAAAATAATAATAATAATAATAATAATAAATAAAAAGAAAAAGAAAAAAAATAAAGTTCACTTGTGGATCTGATAAGTCTGAGGTATTGTGGCTGCCAGCTTCCCACATGGCTCTGAATGATCCCTGCTTCCTTGTATTCGTGTCCTCATATGGTTCCCTCCCACATCACATCAGGATTGGTTTGTGTGGCCAATAAATACAACAGAAGTGATGACACATCACTTCTGAGGCTAGGTAGGGTGCCTTCCTCCTCATCCTCTCTTGGGGTGCTCACTCTGGAGGATGTTGGAGCTCCTCTGTGGGGAGGTCTGTGTGGCAAGGGACTGAGACCTCCTGCCAAAGACCTATGAGGTTGTGAGACTTCCAGGCAGTAGGTATGGGAATGAGCAAGATTGGAGACCGATTCCTTCAGCCCAGTCAAGTCTTCAGATGACTGTGGCCCAGGTTGATATCTTCACTGCAGCTTCCCAAAACACTCTGAGCCCAAACCACCCAGGTAGGTCTCTCCCAAACTCCTGACTCTCAGGATAAATTCTTTTTTTTTTTTTTTGAGACAGAATCTCGCTCTGTTGCCCAGGCTGGAGTGCAGTGGTATAGTCTTGGCTCACTGCAACCTCCACCTCCTGGGTTCAAGTGATTCTCCTGCCTCAGCCTCCCAAGTAGCTGGGATTACAGGCACCCACCAACACACCTGGCTAATTTTGTGTTTTTGATAGAGACAGGTTTCACCATGTTGGTCAGGCTGGTCTCAAACTCCTGACCTCAAGTGATCTGTCTGCCTCAGCCTCCCAAAGTGCTGGGATTACAGGCATGAGCCACCGCACCTGGCCAAATGTTTATTTTTATAAGCCACTAGATTTGGGGGATAATTTACTATACAGTAAAAAATAATGAATACAAATATCTTGGGCAACTCAACATTGAGCATAGGATTCTGGAACATGGAGGAGAGGTGTGGGATGCAGACAGGGGAGGTGGCACTGGTTAAAATCATGCCTGTGGAAGAGAGTCCTTGAGGGGAGCAGTGGAAGGAGAGTGGGAGAAGGCAGCCAAGGACAGAATTCTGGGAAATAAAGCATTTAAAGGACAGATACAGCAAGAGGAGCTGATGAAGGAGGAATGAAAATTATGAGGTAGCCAGATGTAGTGGCACAGGTCTGTACTCCCAGCTTCTCAGGAGACTGAGGCAGGAGGAGCACTTGAGCCCAGGAGTTCAAGGCTGCGGTGAGCTCTGATCATGCCATCACACTCCAACCTGGATGACAGAAAGAGACCCTGTCTCCAAAAACGAAAAAGAAAAAGATAAGAGGAAAATCAGGAGGGAGTGGATGGAGAGTTTCAAAAAAGAGGTGTCAAATAGTATGAAGATCAGGATTGAAGGTAAGAACTATTAAAATGTCCGCTGGGCCTAGTATCTTGGGGGTTATGCATATAGAGCAGCTGCTTACGGGTGAGGAGGCAGAAGCTGCCTGTAAGAGTGCAGAGGTAACTGGGAGTTGAGGCACTAGAGTTAGTGTAGACAGCTCTTTGAAGAAGCTTGCCTAGGAAAGGAAAGAGACGGATAACTTGAGGGGAAATTGGAATACAGGAAAGGCTTATCTTTTTAAAAATATATATATTTTATAACTCTTTTCCAGATTTTATTTTCATTGATTTTCTCTATTGATTTCCTGGGTTTTGTTCTGTTTTTTAGAGATGGGAGTCTCACTATGTTGCCCAGGCTGGACTCAAACTCCTAGGCTCAAGTGATCCTCCTGCCCTAGCCGTCCAAATGTCTGGGACTACTGGCACACCACTGCGTGTTTTATTTTTAAAGTTAAAGATGCAGGAGAGAGATGAGTAAAATTCACTGAGAGACTTCTGAAAGAGGAAGAAATTGGGGTTCAGGTTAGCCTTTGGCCAAAACGGTGACATTTCCAAGCAGAGAGAAGAATGGGGGCAATGATGCAGAAAAATGCTATGCTTTTTGGGGGGCTGGGGTGGAAAAGTCAGGAAGATGGGAGAAATAAAGGAGCTCCCTTCTGGAGGCCTCTGCTTTCTCTGAGAAATAGGAAGCTCAGTAGGGAGAAGGGTTTGGAGGCCAGAGAGGAGCAAGAGCTTGAAATAGTTGTTGTTAGGAGGGGATGCAGCTACAAATAGCCTTGAGGAAGGCTGTATTTGATGGTGATGGCCCAGCTGAGCTTGGGGACTACTGGGGCACCAACTGTATTAGGGTTCCCCAGAGAAACAGAGCAAACAGGATGTGTGTGTGTGTGTGTGTGTGTGTTTGTGTGTGTGTATACATATATATGGAGAGAGAGAGAGAAACAGAGAGAGAGAGATTTTAAGGAATTAGCTCACATGATTGTGGAGGCTTGGCAAGTCCAAAAATGTGATGGGGAGGGCAGCAGGCTAGAGACTCAGAAAAGAGTTGCAGTTTAAGTCCAAAGGCAGTCTGCTGGCAAAATTCCTTGTTTCAGACAGGTGCAGTGGCTTACGCATGTAATCCCAGCACTTTGGGTGGCCGAGGCAGGCGGATCACCTGAGATCAGGAGTTCAAGACCAGCCATGGCCAACATGGTGAAAACCTGTCTCTACTAAAAATACAAAAATTAGCCGGGTGTGGCGGCATGCGCCTGTAATCCCAGCTACTTGGGAGGCTGAGACATAAGAATCACTTGAACCTGGGAGGTGGAGGTTGCAGTGAGCTGAGATCGGGCCACTGTACTCCAGCCTAGGTGACAGAGCAACGACTCTATCTCAGGAAAAAAAAAAAATTCCTGGCCGGGCGCGGTGGCTCACGCCTGTAATCCCAGCACTTTGGGAGGTTGAGGCAGGCAGATCACGAGGTCAAAAGATTGAGACCATCCTGGCCAACATGGTGAAACTCTGTCTCTACTAAAAATACAAAAAAATTAGCTGGGCATGGTGGCATGCACCTGTAGTCCCAGTTACTCAGGAGGCTGAGGCAGGAGGATGATCTCTTGAACCTGGGAGGCGGAGGTTGCAGTGAGCTGAGATTGCGCCACTGCACTCCAGCCTGGTGACAGAGCGAGACTCCCTCTAAAAAAACAAAACAAAACAGTAGCAGTAGAAACCCCGTCTCTACTAAAAATACAAAAATTAGCCAGGCGTGGTGGTGGGCACCTGTAATCTCAGCTACTCAGGGGGCTGAGGCAGGAAAATTGCTTGAACCCAGGAGGCGGAGGTTGCAGTGAGTGGAGACAGTACCACTGCACTCCAGCCTGGGCGACACAGCGAGACTCTGCCTCAAAAAAAAAAAAAAAAAAGGAAAAAAATTAGTTGGGTGTGATGGCATGCGTCTGTAGTCCCAGCTACTTGGAAGGCTGAGGCGGGAGGATTCCTGGAGGCCAGGAGGTCAAGGTGCTGGGATTATAGGTGTGAGCCACTGCGCCTGGCCCCTTTACATATATTTTCTTGCTTAATCCTTATAACAACCTCTGTGAGGCAGGCAATGTTATTATCCTCATTTTATTAATGAGGAAGTTAAGGCACAAAGAAGTTAAATAACTTGCTAAAGAGGCTTCTCACCAGGCCAGGCGCGGTGGCTCACGCCTGTAATCCCAGCACTTTGGGAGGCCGAGGCGGGCGGATCATGAGGTCAGGAGATCAAGACCATCCTGGATAACACGGTGAAACCCTGTCTCTACTAAAAATGCAAAAAATTAGCCGGCCGTGGTGGCGGGTGCCTGTAGTCCCACGCTACTCGGGAGGCTGAGGCAGGAGAATGGCGTGAACCTGGGAGGTGGAGCTTGCAGTGAGCCGAGATTGCGCCACCGCACTCCAGCGTGGGCGACAGAGCGAGACTCTGCCTCAAAAAAAAAAAAAAAAAAAAAAAAAAAAAGAGAGGCTTCTCACTAAAGGGCAACTTACACGAGCTTGAGTAGTGTGGAAGAGCTACCTGGAGGAAGTGGTAACTAAGTGGAGACCTAAAATTTAAGTCCGAGTTAGGAAGGTGAAGAGAGGGGAGAAAGAGGGAAGACTGTTCTAGGCTGAGAGACCTGCAAAGGCACAAGGTCAGAGAATGGGTCTGCTGGAGGGTCAGAGTAGAATTTGGGGAAGTCACTGGAGAAGTAGCTGGGAAAAGATGGAAGGCTTTTACAGTCCCTTTAAGGAATTTTAATTTTGATCCTAAGGATAAAAGGAAGCCCTTGAAGGGTTTTAAACTGGAGAGTGTGCTGATCACATTGTATTGAATACAGATGGCTCTTGCTGCAATGTAGAGATTGTGTTGGATGGATAGCTGGGAGACATTTTAAAGGCTGTTAAAATCAGATTCTAAGGCCAGGCACGGTGGCTCACGCCTGTAATCCCAGCACTTTGGGAGGCTGAGGCGGGTGGACCACGAGGTCAGGAGTTCGAGACCAGCCTGACCAACATAGTGAAATCCCATCTCTACTAAAAAATTTTAAAAATTAGCTGGGCGTGGTGGTGCGCACCTGTAATCCCAGCTACTTGGGAGACTGAGGCAGGAGAATTGCTTGAACCTGGGAGACAGAGGTTGCAGTGAGTGGAGATTGCGCCATTGCACTACAGCCTGGGCGACAGAGCGAGACTCCATCTCAAAAAAAAAAAAAAAAAAATCAGATTCTAGGCTGGCGTGGTGGCTCGTGCCTGTAATCCCAGCACTTTGGGCGGATCCCTTGAGGTCAAGAGTTTGAGACCAGCCTGGCCAATATGGCAAAACCGTCTCTACTAAAAATAACGAACGTTAGCCAGGCATGGTGGCACCTGCCGGTAATCCCAGCTACTCGGGAAGCTGAGCCAGGAGAATTTCTTGGACCTGGGAGGCGGAGGCTGCATCATGTCCCTGCAGCCAGGGTGACAGAGTGAGACTTTGCCTCCAAAAAAAAAAAAAAACAAACAAAAAGAAATCAGATCCTAGGCAAGAAACGATAGAAGAGGAGATTTGGGGAGAGGGCTTTTTTTTTTTTTTGAGAAAGGGTCTTCTACTGTTGCCCACAATGGAGTTTAGTGACATGATCATAGCTCACTGCAGCTCAAGCTTGGGCTCAAGTGACCCTCCTGTGTCAGCCTCCCAAGTTAGCTGGGACTATAGATGTGCACCATCATGCCTGGCTAATTTTTAAAATTTTTTTATTTTTTTGAGACAGAGTCTTGCTTTGTCGCCCAGGCTACAGTGCAGTGGCATGATCTCAGCTCACTGCAACCTCCACCTCCCAGGTTCAAGCAATTCTCCTGCCTCAGCCTCCCAAGTAGCTGGGACTACAGGCACACACCACCATACCCAGCTAATTTTTTTTTTTTTTTTTTAGTAGAGACAGGGTTTCACCATGTTGGCCAGGCTGGTCTTGAACTCCTGACCTCGTGATCCACCTGCATTCGCCTCCCAAAGTGCTGGGATTACAGGCATGAGCCACCGCGCCCTGCTATTTTTTTAAACTTTTTATTTGTACAGATGGGGTGTCAATGTGCTTCCCAGGCTGGTATTGAACTCCTGAGCTCAAGAGATCCTTCCGCCTCAGCCTTCCAAAGTGCTGAGATTATAGGCATAGGCTACTGCTCTAGGCAGAGGGCAAAATTGACAGGGTCTAGTGATGGTTTGACAGGGACAGTTGTGTGCGGTTTGGGGAGCAGAGTTAAGGAGGATGCTCCCAGGTCCTGGTTTGGGCAGCAGGGTGGATGACAGAACCGTCAGGGGCTAGAGAACACAGTGGGGGGTGGGAGGGGCAGGCTGTGGCGAGGGGCTGGGTGGAGATATTTGGGTCTTGAACTTGCCAATTTACGTGCCTGAAGGACACCCGGATGGAGGTATGTTGAGGGTGGCTGGATGTGTGGTCTGGAGCACAGGAAAGGTCAGCACAGGCGCAACAGCTGAAGCCTTGGAGAGGAGCAAGTGGATGCTGAGTGAGAAGACAAGGTGAAGGACAGAGCCTGGGGAGCCCCAACATTTATGGGCAAAGGAAAAGAGGAGACTGCAAAGGAAACCGAGAAACTTCCCTAAAAGGAAAAAGAATAGCCAGGAGGGAGCAGTATCCCAGGTGCCCAAGGAAGATGCTTGTGGGAGGCACAGCGAGCAGCATCAGGACCACAGGGAACCGAAGAGATGTGCTGAAATGTGCTCCTTGGATTTGGCAAGTCGGAGGAGTCACTGGAAATCTCTTCAAACTGGAGGGCATGCGAATCAGAGGGACTAAGCTGGGCAAGAGGATGCTGAAGGACTAAATGGCTGTGTGGAGGTTCTAGGACTCAGTGAAAGGGTAAGAGACCAGAGGGCCTCGGGAGGGCAGGAGGAGGAAAGAGAAGGATCCAACCCCCCGACCCCGCCACCCCATGCACTTCCTTAGATCTTTTTGGCTCCTGCTGGGCCCCCTTCTTAGTTGTCTGAAAGAACCTCTGATGGGCACAGGGAAATAGGGTTAGGAGGGCCTCCCTGGGATGCTGGTGGAGGGTGGAGGGTGGAGGAGAATGTATGAATGAAGCACCAAAGCAAGCCGATCCTGGGACGCCCTTCCCTCCAGGCCTTCGGAGGAAGGAGCCCTATCCTCCTTTGGAGAGGTGGGGCAGAGACCTGGCCTCTCCAGCCCAGTGGCCAAGGGACCCAACAGAATTGTGACCTTTAACCCCTCTTGGAGTCCAGGCATTTCTGACCCCCCACCCACCCCAACAGGGACTTCCAAGTTGGGGTGTGGCTCAGGCTGGTCCCCTGAGAGAACAGTGGGGGATGTTTCATGGTCACCAGAAGGAACAGCCAGGTATGATGGGAAGGGGTGGGAATGCTTTGGAATCCTATCCCATCCTCCTGGGGTTGGGGGGTGGTCTTGGCACAGCTGCCCAGGCCGCAGCCCTGAGCTTGGCCTTCTCCCGCCTCCCCAGGCCCTGTTTGATATGCACATCAGATACTGGTGCCCTTTGCAAAACTGTTACTTGTACAGAAACCTGAGGGAAGACGAAGGAGGGAAACTGCTCCCCTCTCTTTCCTCCCTCCAGCCACTTCCACTTGCAGGGACCTGCAGGGAAATGCCCACCCCCAGCGCTCTCCCTCACCACTCCGAGACTTGCAGCTTCCCCAGCTCCCCACGTGGCCCATGCTGGGAGTTTCTGCTCTGCCGGAAATGGCTGGGCCTTGGAGCTTCCCCCCACCCCCCGGGGCCTCTCTACCTCAGCCCTTCCTCCCCATTTCCCCAGCCCTGAGCTCAGCGCTGCCCTGCACCTCCTCCCCAGCCTGGAGTCTCGCTGGCTGTGGCATATTTGCCTCAAGCCTCCCCAGTTCCCTTCATCTCCAAGAATGGAGTTAGAGCCTCACCCTAGTCTGTCCGCTGAGCAGCTCCCGAGATGCCCACTGTGCCCTAAGGGTGCAGGAGATGGCAGCAGGGGATGGGAAGCAGGCCATGTGAGGCAGGCCAGGGCTAGGAGAAAAAGAATGGGCTTTGGAGCGGATGGGCCAGGATTACATGCCCTCTGCCTGCGGCCTTCCAGCTTGTGTCCTGGACCCGCTTCCTGTCTATGAATGGAGGTGGTAATACCACCCCACAGAGCCCTGGTGGGGACCAAATGAACAAGGAATGAAGTGCCCAACACGCTGCTTGCCACATAGCAAGTAGGTGCTTAAAACAACATCCTCCTCTCCTCCTCGGGATGCTGATGAAGAGGGTCTGTGCAGAGGACTCTCCAAGAGGCTAGGGGCACCTGGTGTGGGGGTGCAGGGCTCTTTTGTATCACTGAGGGGCCTTTGGGGGAGGAGGGGAGGGAATGCTGAGCCCTGGGCCACTCCAGTGCCTCTGCTCACTGCATTCCTTGGCCTGGCCTGGGGAGGACCTCTGGGAAAGGCTTCTCGCAGTGGAAGATCTCGTGGGGAGGGCCTGGTGTTGGGGGGACAGCATCTGGGTTTTGAACACCCTCGGCACATACAGACTCCCCCAACTCATAATCCGATTTATATTCCTACTCCCTCCTCTGGACCCATCACCATGGCAACAGTTTTCTCAGTTGCACTTCATCAGCTTCCCAGCGAATCTTTTCTCCTGCCCCCTCCTTAAGTCTCTTTTTCTCCTCCTCTGTCAGTCGGCCTTTTGAGGTACTCACAGCGCTCCCCTCCCCTTTGTCCCTCAGCTTCTGTTTCTCTCCTGCTCTTCACGAAGGTGTCCCTGCCTGCCTCTGTCCACATCTCTCTCTGTGGCATCCCTCCTGCCTCTCCCTTTTCAAGTGCACGATTGCAGCAACAAGCTGGGGTCTGTTGATTAGACAAGAACTTGTGTCCTTTCTGATATCAGGACAGAAAAGCAGAGTCCTGGAGGGTTTCGATTCCAGTGGGCTCTGCACAGATTTCTGTCTGCAGTGATGCAGTGGGTGGGTGGGTGTCAGCTTGGGTTGATCTTTGCAACTCTGACCAGGAGGCAGAGAATGGTGGGGAGGGAAAGCAGTGTGGGGCAGTTTCTTCTCCAGCCCTAAGTCATGGCTCCGGATGTGTCCTACAGGGTCCTGTCCTTGGTTCGCTTCCCAGCTCACCCTCAGAAACCTCACCCAATGCCTGCAGCTACCACTGGCATGCGGTGCTTCCCAGGAACATAACTTTGGCTCTGACTTCTCTTTCTCTGAAGTTCTAATCGAATCGCTTCACCTCCTCACTGGTCATGTCCACTTGGTATCCTACTGCCATGCCTAATGCAGTGACTAACCATGAACCATCTTCCCCAAGCCATCACCCCCTTCGTACTTCCCTGTCACTACCCAGAGTAAAAACCTTGGTGCTACGTGTGACTCCTCTCTCTGTCATCCTCCACACCTCACTTGAGTCCAAGGTGGATCAATTCTCCTTTGGAAATGTCATTCAGATCTGCTTCCTTCCCTTTGCCATTCCATACATATTATCCTAGACCAAGCCCCAGCCCCAGTGAGTCATCTCAGGCCCTCACAGTAGCCTCAGAGGTGGACTTTCCACTTGGGTTTACCACAAGTGTAGTCCCTCTTCAGAAACCAGACCTGGCCAGGTGCCATGGCTCATGCCTGTAATTCTAGCACTTTGGGAGGCCAAGGCGGGTGGATGACTTGAGGTCAGGAGTTCAAGACCAGCCTGGCCAACATGGTGAAACCCCCACTAAAAATACAAAATTACCTGGACATGGTGGCACATGCCTGTAATCCCTGCTATTCAGGAGGCTGAGGCAGGAGAATCACTTGAACCCGGGAGGTGGAGGTTCCAGTGAGCCGAGATCGTGCCACTGCACTCTAGCCTGGGCAATAGAGTGAGACACTACTAGACCTGGGCCTGTCCTGAGCATGACTTTCTTCTCCTCCTCCTCACCCTCCCATTTTTCTTCTTCATTTATTGAGCACCTGTTATGTACTAGGCTTGTCATATATGCTATCTCTTTTAATCTTCACAATAAATCCTAAGGTAGTTGTTATCGCATTTTACAGGAGAAGAAACAGATGCTCAGAGCGGTTAATTTGCCCAAAGTTCTACAGCTAATAAGCAATAGACCTGGAATTGTAGATCAGATCCAGATCTGTTGAGTTCCAGGGTTAGTGTTTTGTTTTTTTGCTATACCAGATTGTTCCTTGTATCACTCTTCACTCAAAAACCTTCTGAGCCTTTCTATTTTCTTCTTTTGAGGCTCATTTTGATCTGACTCCATCCCACCTACAAAACCATTTATTCTTGCTACTTCTCAGTGTGACATGGATTGGTACCAAGCGGAAGAACATTTGCATACTTTAGGGTTTTGTCTCCATCTCTTTCCTGTTAAATATTTTTATTAACAGCTTATATGAAAATATAGTATCACATTTCACAGATATAACCCTTGAGGGATAGTAAACATTGAAAGATAAGGATCCAAGAATCATCTCCATGTATAGAATGGTTAGGTAAACCTAACAGAATAAAGTGATCAGAGATCTATGTAAGACCTCAGCAATACACAGTGGGCCAGACATGGCTTAGAAGAAGTTCAGGTGAAAAAGAATCCGGGGTTTTAGTAAGTTCAGTCTAAGACATCAGCACTGGTGGGGCAGAGGGGATAGGGAGAAAGAAAAAGGGACATCAAGCTGGGTGCGGTGGCTCACATCCGTAATCCCAGCACTTTGGGAAGCTGAGGCGGGCAGATGACTTGAGGTCAGGAGTTCCAGACCAGCCTGGCCAACATAGTGAAACCCCGTCTCTACTAAAAATATAAAAATTAGCTGAGCATGGTGGCAGGCGCCTGTAATCCCAGCTACATGGGAGGCTGAGGCAGGAGAATCGCTTGAACCCGGGAGGCTGAGGTTGTGGTGAGCTGAGACCAACCGCGCCATTGCACTGCAGCCTGGGCAACAAGAGTGAAACTCCGTCTTAAAAAAAGAAAAGAAAAAGGGACATCAGGCCGGGCGCGGTGTCTCACGCCTGTAATCCCAGCACTTTGGGAGGCTGAGGCGGGCGGATCACCTGAGATCGGGAGTTCGAGACCAGCCTGGCTAACATGGTGAAACCCTGTTTCCACTAAAAATACAAAAAATCAGCCGGGCGTGGTGGCGTGCACCTGCAATCCCAGCTACTTGGGAGGCTGAGGCAGGAGAATCACTTGAACCTGGGAGGCGGAGTTTGCAGTGGAGCCGAGGTCACGCCATTGCACTCCAGCTTGGGGAACAAGAGCAAAACTCTGTCTCAAAAAAAAAAAAAAAAAAGAAAGAAAAAAGAAAAAGGGACATCAGCATAACATGACTGCCAGGAGCAAATCCAATGTTAAGTCACGTTACTGGAGATATGGTATTTGGAATAAAGGAGAAGACAGATAATCTTGCTTTATTGTAAGTTGGCCAGGTGTTATGATGGGAGCCATTGTTTTGTGACCTGGGAATGTTTAGGCAAAAGTAAAGAGTGGATCGTGAGGTCAGGAGTTTGAGACCAACCTGGCCAACATGCGGAAACCCTGTCTCTACTATAAATATAAAAATTAGCTGGGCGTGGTGGCGGGCGCCTGTAATCCCAGCTACTTGGGAGGGTGACGCAGGAGAATCCCTTGAACCCAGGAAGTGGAGATTGCAGTGAGCTGAGATTGTGCCACAGCACTCCAGCCTGGGCAACAAGAGCAAGACTCTGTCTCAGAAAAAAAAAAAAAAAGAAAGAGTAGGGACCACTAAAGCTCAAATACCTGAAGGGCTATCATGGGGAGGAAGAATTAGATTTACAGTGTGCACCCCCAAAAGGTAGTGCACGGACCACCAGGAGATAAGAGATTATCTCAAAATGAAGTTTAGTTCCGTGGAGACCACTGGTAGATGAAGTTCAGCTTTGAGGAAGGAAAAACAGATGTCCATAAACGGAGTGAGCTGTCTTGGGAGTAACAGTAAGCTCCCTGTTACTAAAGGTGTTCAAGAAGACGCTGATGGACAGGGGCCGTGGCTCTCGCCTGTAATCTCAGCACTTTGGAAGCCCAGGCGGGTGGATCACGAGGTCAAGAGATCAAGACAATCCTGGCCAACATGGTGACACCTTGTCTCTACTAAAAATACAAAAATTAGCTGGGCATGGTGGCGCACGCCTGTAGTCCCAGCTACTAGGGAGGCTGAGGCAAGAGAATTGCTTGAACCTGGGAGGTCGAGGTTGCAGTGAGCTGAGACCACCCCACTCCAGCCTGGTGACAGAGCAAAATTCCATCTCAAGAAAAAAAAAAAAAAAAAAAAGAAGAAGATGCTAATACACTGCTGGCCAGAGATGTTGGCAGGGAGGTAACCATCAGAAAGAGTTTGAAGGCTGGGTACAGTGGCTCACACCTATAAGCCCAGCACTTTGGGAGGCTGAGGAGGGAGGGTTGCTTGAGCCCAGGAGTTAGAGACAAGCCTGGGCAACATGGCAAAACCCCAGCTCTACAAAAAATACAAAAATTAGCGGGTGTTGTGGTACGTGCCTGTAGTCCCAGCTACGCAGGAGGCTGAGGTGAGAGGACCACCCAAGCCCAGGAAGGCTGAGGCTGCAGTGAGCCGTGGCAACCGCACTCCAGCCTGGGCAACGAAGTGAGACCCCGTTTCAGAAAAAAAAAACAAAAAAACAAAAAAAGAGAACTTGAACTAGGTAGTTGGTCTTTGAGATTCACTCCCTTCCTATTGACATTAATCCTGCTTTTGCTCTTTCCCTGCCCCTCACCGAGCCCTCTGTGTGACTCTGTCCCTGGCCTGTCTTTCCAGCTCCAGGTCAGTTTTCTCTTTCTCCACCAGGTCTACCTGAGGATGCAATTTGCACTGACTGCATAAACTTCATATGATTTAATTACTCAGCATCTTTTTTTTTTTTTTTTTTTTGAGATGGAGTCTTGCTCTGTTTCCCAGGCCGGAGTGCAGTGGCGTGATTTCGGCTCACTGCAATCTTCGCCTCCCTGGTTCAAGCGATTCTCCTGCCTCAGCCTCGCAAGTAGCTGTGATTACAGACGTGCATCACCACGCCAGGCTAATTTTTTTTGTATTTTAAGTAGAGATGGGGTTTCACCATGTTGGCCAGGCTGGCCTTGAACTCCTGACCTCAGGTGATTTGCCTGCCTAGGGCTCCCAGAGTGCTGGGATTACAGGTGTGAGCCACCGCGCCCGGCCTATTCAGCATCTTTTATTGTTCTCTCACTGTCCCCATCTTATAAGCCCCTTGAAGGCAGGTACCTGTATTATTTGTACAATGACTAGTAAGGATAAGAACTTGGGGCTGGGCAATATAGTGAGACAACCACCTCTGGGGAAAAAAAAAAAAAAAAAAGCAGCACCCTAGTCCCTGCAGATAAAGCAGATGTATTCCTGAGGTTGTGAGACCCTACAGGAAGACAGAAGCATTGGGCTTATTCCCTTATCTCAGAGCTATGTCTTTTTTTTTTTTTTTCTTGAGACAGAGTCTCGCTCTGTAACTCAGCCTGGAGTGCAATGGTGCGATCTTGGCTCACTGTAACCTCCGCCTCCCAGGTTCAGGTGATTCTCCTGCCTCAGCCTCCCAGGTGCATGCCACCATGCCTGGCTAATTTTTGTATTTTTAGTAGAGACAGGGTTTCATCATAATGGCCAGGCTGGTCTCAAACTCCTGACCTCATGATCTACCCGCCTAGGTCTCCCAAAGTGCTGGGATTACAGGCATGAGCCACCGTGCCCGGCAGAGCTATGTCTTTTAAAAACACTTCCTGATTTGGGATTTCAGAGCTGAGATTACAAATGCCTTAGGAGTTAGAATAGGTTGGCCTATTTTTGAGATGGAGTCTCATTCTGTAGCCCAGGTTGGAGGGCAGTGGCACGATCTTGGTTCACTGCAACCTCTGCCTCCTGGGTTCAGGTGATTCTCCTGCCTCAGCCTCCCGAGTAGCTAGGACTACAGGCGTGCATCACCACACCCAACTAATTTTTTTTTGGTATTTTTAGCAGAGACAGGGTTTCGCCATGTTGGCCAGAATGGTCTCAATCTCCTGACCTCGTGATCTGCCTGCCTTGGCCTCCCAAAGTGCTGGGATTACAGGCATGAGCCACCGCGCCTGCCTAATATTTGTATTTTTAGTAGAGACGGGGTTTCACCATGTTGGCCAGGCTGGTCTCAAACTCCTGACTTCAAGTGATCCACCCACCTCGGCCTCCCAAAGTGTTGGGATTACAGGCGTAAGCCACTGTGCCCCGCCAGGTTATAGGTCTTGACAGATGGAGAACACAAGGCCCAGGGAAGTGAATCAGTTTGTTTTAAGTCACAGAGCAGGTTTTAGATCTGGCTGGGATTGGGACTGTGCCTGGCCCAGGGCTTTGTCAACAATCCAGGGAAGGCTTTTTAGAATGAGTAAGAGAGCTACATAAATATAAACAGGGTCATGATGAGAGAGAAAAGGAGGGCCTGGGAGATGGCAGGTTCTGAGCACCCCTCCAGGCTCTGGGGGATGTCCAGATAAGGAGGCTGAGCCTGCCTTCCCAGATCGTATGGCCTCACAGGGAAATGAGCCAGACACAGGAAGAAGTCCAATGGAAAGTTGGATCAAGTGCTGCCGTGGTGTCGTGGAAAGAGTCTGGACACGGAATCAGGAGGCTCTTCCAGCTATCAGCACCAACCCTATGCTTTTAGGCGAGTCCTTTCACCACTCTGGACCTTCACCAAGCAGTTTCCTCACCTGAGAACATTCCCTCTCTCAAAAATAACAGTCCTATAGTGCTACATATTAGAGCAGATTAATACAGTAACTAAATATATTGTGGGCATGCTCTCCCCTCCAGCACAATCTCGGAAAGCCTCTTGCCTTCCATTAGCAGCAAGAATGAAATGTTCCCAGGACGCAGAACTGCCAGACCAAGGGGGCAGTGGGCGAGACACAGGTGACTGACCAACTGGCTTTCTCTGAGGTCCTGCCTATGACAGCTTCTCCTGGGTTTATGAGCTCTGGTAGCCCCATGCAGATGAGAGCTAAGTGAGGGTTTTTCTGTCAACAAGCCAACTATTTAATCGCTATCTATAGGATAAAGAAGGGCATGAAGATAAAGGCACCTAAGCCTCTTGTTTTACACTTGAAGAAGCTGCAACCCAGAGACAGGAAGTGACTAGGCCAAGGTCTTGTACTTTGGACTCTCAGAACAAAGTTCTTTTGGGACTTGGAGAATTAGAAATGGGTTGTTTGGGGCCGGGCGTGGTGGCTCACGCCTGTAATCCCAGCACTTTGGGAGGCCGAGGCGGGCGGATCACAAGGTCAGGAGTTCAAGACCATCCTGCCTAAAACGGTGAAACCCCGTCTCTACTAAAAATACAAAAAATATTAGTTAGCCAGGCGTGGTGGTGGGCGCTTGTAATCCCAGCTACTCGGGAGGCTGAGGCAGGTGAATGGCGTGAACCCAGGAGGTGGAACTTGCAGTGAGCCGAGACCGCGCCACTGCACTCCAACCTGGGTGACAGAGCGAGACTCCATCTCAAAAAAAAACAAAAAACTAAAAACCAGAAATGGGTTGTTTGGGTCAGGCATGGTGGCTCATGCCTGTAATCCCAGCACTTTGGGAGGCTGAGGTGGGCAGATCACAAGGTCAAGAGTTTGAGACTAGCCTGGCCAACACGGTGAAACCCCATCACAACTAGTAATACAAAAATTAGCCAGGCGTAGTGGCACATGCCTGTAATCCCAGCCACCAGCTACCAGCTACTTGGGAGGCTGAGGCAGGAGAATTGCTTGAACCTGGGAGGCAGGGGTTGCAGTGAGCAGAGATCACGCCACCGCACTCCAGCCTGGACGATAGAGCAAGACTCTGTCTCGGAAAAAAACAACAAAAAAAGCATTGTTTGGGAACGCCGCCTTAGAGGCCTCTCATAACAACTGGTGGAGAGCCTTTGGTGGGATGCTATTTTTTTTTTTTTTTTGAGACAGGGTCTAACTCCAATTGCCCAGGCTGGAGTGCAGTGGCACGATCTCGGCTCACTGCAGCCTCGACCACCCCTGACTCAGGTGATTCTCCCACCTCAGCCTCCCAAGTAGCTGGGACTACAGGAATGCGCCACCATGCCTGGCTAATTTTTTTTTTTTTCGTACTTTCAGTAGAGACAGAGTTTTGCCATGTTGCCCAGGCTGATTTTGAACTCCCAGACTCAAGCAATCCACCCACCTCAGCCTCTCAAAGTGCTGGGATTACAGGCATGAGCCTCCACACCCAGCCTCCTATTCTATCTTTAGAGCTCTAGTGAGATGTACTGTTTGCCTGGACAGAACCATACCTGATGCTGGAAGTTCCAGCTCAGACAGTTGGTCCCTGCAGGAAGCTTCCCCAAACTCTCAAGTCTGGGATTGGTGTCCACTTCCCCTAAATGTGCCCACACTGAATTGAAATCACCCACTCACTTGTTGTCTGACCCCCACTAGGCTGCAGGCTGTGTGAGGAAAAGGACAAACATCTATGTCACCAACATGTACCAACCTAGTGTCTAGTCAAGTGCCAGGCACATAGCAGGTCCTCAATAAATATCTGTTGGATGAATAAGTAGGTGGGGTTGGTCAGAGAAGGATTCCTGAAGGAAAAGACTTTTTTTGTTTGTTTGTTTGTTTTAAGAGACAAGGTCTCATCTGGTTTGAGTTGGTGTTTGAAAAAATAAATAAAGAGACAGGGTGTCCTGGTGTTGTCAGGCTTGTGTGCCCAATCCCACCATGATCAGCACCAGAGTTTCAATCTGTTCCATTCTGACCTGGGCCAGCTCACCCTTCCTTAGTCAACCTGGCGGTCTCCCACTCCTAGGAGGTCACCATATCGATGCTGAACTTGGTGTGGACACCCATCAGCATAATGCATTGCAGCCCAGAACTCCCGGGGTCAAGTGATCCTCCTGCCTGCTAGCTGGGACTACAGGGCTTGCCACCGAGCTGGGAGAAAAGGCAACTATTGAGGTATCACAGGGTACAAGGAGGACAGAATTGTCCCCAATTGGGTGAACTGCCCATGCAAAAAGAAGTCTTGAAAGGAAAGTAGTGGGAAATAAGGACAGGGAGAAAAGTAAGGCAATTGAAGGGGAGGGGGGGAAGGAGCCCTTCAAGATGATTGGCTTTGCTAATCAGGGAGGGCTTTGGGTAGATGGGAGGAAGGGTCTCAGCCATGTTGGGGATAAGAACACCTGGAATCCCTCAAGTGGAGTCTTTTTACAGGGAGGGTCCTAGAAATCAGCTTGGCTGGAGGGGAGAGAAGCTGAAGGGGGTTGGGGTAGCTGGTAGGAGCTTTGAAGCCTGGCTGGTTTGTATTTGATGCTGGGGTCTGGAGGGAATGGGTGCTCTGGGAAGGCCTGAGGCACGGAAGGAAAAGGTAGGAGCAACTTCCTCCTACAGACCCTCTCTATTAGATGGAGACCCTGGGAGGACAGGGCCTGTATCTTCTGTTTTTTTCCTACCCTCCTCCAGGTGTTTGGGACCCACAAGTAGAGCCCCTAGGGCAAGGATCTGGAATTGGCTGAGGCAGCCTACTGAGCGGGATGGTGTGGCAGGGACTGTGGGAGCTCCCTCCTTCCATCAGCCTTCCCAGAACGATCTCCTTCCCTAGGAAGGTGCTGTTCCCGCAAGAGGCACACTCTACTGTCGTCGCCAGTGTTCTTCTTCCGCGAATCCCCATGTGAGCGTATTTTTTCCAGCGGCTGCTAAGCCAGATTTAGCCACCAGGGGGCAAAAAAGCAGCCCTTAAGGTCAGTGTCCCTCCTCTTTCCCCACCCACACACCTGAAGGCCAAGATGGGTGGTGCCTCACCTGGCGCTCCATTCGAGCGCAGTAGCTGCGTTAACCCCTTCCTGCCTAGTCTGCGGTATTCCCTCGGCAGAGTCATCCACAGCAGAGTTGAGGGTCACAGAGGACGGGGGAGGGGCTGTTCGCTAGGGGAGGGGCTAGGGTAGAGGTGAAGTCAGGTTTCCAGCTACTCAGGTCCTTAGTCCTCGCTGGAGCTAGGGGAGGCTAGCGTTCCCTGCCTCCGTTGGGTAGTTAGCCCCCCAGATGGGTGAAGCAGCCCCTCTGGGGGCAAGAGAGGCATGGGCTGCGGTCACCTGCGCTGGGCCTCAGAAGTGGGATGTAGAGGAGAGCGCTGAGGCAGCTACAAAACCCAGACTTCCGGGCTCCCCTGCTTCAATCTGGCAGGGACCTCGGCTGTCGGCTGCAACTTGGAGATGGGGGTGGGGTGGGGGAAGGGTAGCCAAAAAGTGGAGGGAGAGTCCCTGAGGCGGCGGTGGGGAGGGGAGGCAGGGAAGATTAGGCAAGAGAGCGGGCGATTCCCGAACCGTCAGGTGCCTTGTTTTGCGTGTGGCGACTCCAGAACCAAGCAGCCTTTCAGGGCACTGGAACCCAACCAGTTCCGGGATTGCGTTCCGGGGCACAAGGTGTTAAACTGTGGGTGGGAGTGGGGTCCGGAGTCCCTCCTCCTTCCCTCCCTCACAGCGTCACCACCACCGAGTCCACCAGGCTGGCACTCAAGGAGTTAAGTCTGCCCGCAATCTGCAAGACTGGAGCCGCGGAGGGGGAGGAGGGGGAAGCGGAGGGGGTAGAGGAGAAGGGGGAAGCAGACTGCAGGGAGACAGCGCCAGGAACCCCCTCCCCAGGGTCCGGCCCCTGGGCCCCCAGCCCCAAAAGAGGCCCTGTCCTCCCCGGGGTCGTGCTCTCTCCCCCCGCCCTGCCCCCGCCCTCCAGCTTTGTGTCCCCAGGAGGGTGGGCTGCAGGATTTCCAGCCAAGCCTTGCTGCCTGCTCAGTTTTTCCAAACCCTCCAGTCGGGGAAGGCGGCAGTGGTGAGGGATAAGAGTCCCTCCCCCCTGCCCCAGCCGGCCCCCTCTCTCAGCCTCCCTTTCCTGCCCCCACACCTTTTCCAAACTCCTTCCCGTTCCCACCCTGGCCCCTGCTCCTCTATTGGCTCCCAAGTTGCAAGCTCAGGTTGGAAGGGGCCAGGCGGGTCCCACTATCCTGAGAGGCGCTTGTGAATCCACACTCCTCAGGCCGACCCTGAGACCCGCGGGGCACCCGCCCTGCTTCTCTCCGCTTGGCGCCCGCCCCATCCCAGGACCTTGTCCTGGGGTCTCCCACCCCGAAATGGAGGCGTTGCTGGGGGGCGCCGGCAGAACCCGGCAGCAGGCTCTGTGTGGCAGGTGCCAGGCCCTGGGGCAGGCTTCGAGGAGGGGGCAAAGTGTTCCGAGCGCTGGCACGGTTCTGTCCAGCAAGTCTATTATATAATCACCATCTATCAGGAAGCCAGGCAGCTGGAGTGAGTGGGGAAGCCAGGATGCCCGGATCGGCTCTTCCTCCAGGGCCCAGGACGGTGTCGCCACCAAGATGGGGGTGCGGGCGCAGCCCAGCAGTGAGATGATGTGGGGGTCGAGGGGCAAGTGAGGGGCGCTGGGCAGTCAGATGGAGGCCCCACAAACCCCGCCCCCAGACCTCTGACTGACAGTGCCCTGAGCCAATGATTGAAGTCACTGTGGGGCTCTGCGTTAACTCTTTCTTGGGTCCCTATTTGCTTTAGGTGATAGAGTCCTTTTCAGGAACTGTTTGGTCTGGACTCCTCCCACCTTCTCGGGCTAGTGCTCCAGCCGGTGAGGAGTACCAGCTGGAGAATCCTTTTGTCCTAGTAACCCCGGCAACGGGATGCCTAATCTCAGACCCCCAGCAGCCCCAAAGTAAATTGTATTACAAGATACGGTTGTGTGTACACACTGTGCTTCCAGAAACAGCCCCTCGTGGCGCTGGCACACCCACACTGCGTCACGAACGGGCACCCTCACGCACCCATACCCATGCGGGCACTTCCACCGACGAACGCCAACGCTGACACACCTGTGACACCCCTCGTGACACAGTGACACACAGATACACGGAAAGACAGAGGTTCCCCGAGTTGGCCAGTAGAGGGAGCCGCTCGATTCCAGCAAGGGCCCCCTGCCTCTCTCCTTTCCTCCTGGCTCTCTCCAGGGTTCCACCCAGAACTTGTGGCTGCCCAGAGCTCAGCTCCGAATCCCAACCTGGAACCTCCGCTGGGGGAATGAGTCACAGCCCCACCCAGGGGAGCGCTCCGCGTGGCTGCTCCATAGGACATGTATTGTGCACCATTTAAGAGACCCCTGGCAACACAGACTCACTTGCCCCTGCAAACACTGTTTTGGACCTACTACGAACCAGGAATTGTGCCAAAGAGATCATAACAAGCCCCTTTGGCTTGTCATATATGTAAGGGGAGACTGATCCACATAAATGCAGTGGTCCCCTCTAAGAAGCACCCTGTTGGAGAAGTGGGGGCCCATATTATGTCTTTCTGGAGAGGAGATAAGAAATTAAACCTTATTTCCATGGGTCAGGTACTAGCCTAGGTGCTGGGATCTTTCACATTAGAAGCCTCTCTGGGCTTTGGTTTTCTTTTCTTTTAAGTGGGGATAAAATCGACTTCTCAGGACTGTGGTGATTCAACCCCCTAACCCAGGACAGTGCTTGGCACAGCAGGCTGGCACTTGGAAAAGTTTTGGTGATTGGATCAAAGCATCATCATGAGACAACGTGCATGAAAATGCTTTGTAAGCAGTGATGGGACACATGGGGGGGGGTTACTATGTTATCTTCTTTCAGGTTTTTGTCCCCTTCCACCTGTGCCTCCCTAAACCTTGTCCAGTGCCCAGCTGTTGGCACCATCAACCCCTCAAGGCCCTTAGGAATCTTTTGGGGGAAATCAGACATATATATATATGTGTGTGTGTGCATACACCTATACATATATAGGGGTGTGTGTGTGTATATATATATGTGTGTGTGTGTGTGTGACAAGATACAACACATCAGGAAGTACTCAGATGCTATGATGGGATAGGTGGTCAGAAGAGAGGGAGGTCAGTGAGGCTAGAACTATCTGGGGACCATCTGTGAGGAGGGGCAGGGGAGAGGGCCGAGGAAACAGCAGGAACAAGCAGGCTGGCTAGTGTTCTTCCTATCAGACACAGTCAATGCTTGTCACTTGCTATTAATTCTGGGTGGGTGGGGACAGTAGGAAACAGGGAAAGTGCCCTGGGATAAGGAGACCCAAATTCTAGTCCTGGGCTTACCACTTTCTAGCTGGGTAGCTCTGGGTAAGTCCTTAGGTAATGCAAACCTCAATTTCCTCACCTCTGTAATGGGACCATAACCTCTTTCTTGCAGGTTTGTGGTGAGCATTGAAACATGTGAAATGTTTTTAAAAAGCGCTTTGGGCCGGGCGCGGTGGCTCACGCCTGTAATCCCAGCACTTTGGGAGGCCAAGGCAGGTTGATCACCTGAGGTCAGTAGTTCGAGACCAGCCTGGCCGACATGGTGAAACGCTGTCTCTACTAAAAATACAAAATTAGCCGGGCATGGTGGCAGGTGCCTGCAATCCCAGCTACTTGGGAGGTTCAGGCAGGAGAATCGCTTTAACCCAGAAGGCAGAGGTTACAGTGAGCTGAGACCGCGCCTTTGCACTCCAGCCTGGGCAACAAGAGCGAAACTCCATCTCAAAAAAAAAAAAGGGCTTTACATTTTCTTTTTCATTGCCTCGATCGTCCTATAGGGTGGTGAGAGTGTGTGTGTGTGTGTGTGTGTGTGTGAGAGAGAGAGAGAGAGAGAGAAGCACTTTGAGGTTAGGTTAGGAGAGTTCTTTTGAGAAGACAAAGGTTTCACTTCCACAAACATTTTCTTAGCATGCACTTTGTGCTGCTGAGGATTGAGATGAAAAAACTCAGTCTGTGTCCTCAAGGACCTCATGGTCTACTAGGAGAGACATGAATAAAGAGATGCTCAGTGCATTATGGATGTGGGTGGGTACAACGAAGAGGGGACCCAGTGCTGTGTGTGTGTGTGTGTGTGCGCGCGCGTGTGTCCAGGCAACTTCCACTCCTTCCAATCAGTGCAGATAGGAAGGTAGGTTTGTCAAACCTTTCCCTAGCCTGGGATGTTGTTGGCGCGTCTCCTCCCCAGTTCTCAGGAGTGAGGAGGAGAGCAGAAACCCCCCTCCCCGCCCCCGGGCCAACCTGCCTCCCGCTAGCCGGCCGGGCGCCTTACCGAGTCAGACCACTGGGAGGCTGGGGGAGCCGGGTTGGGCGAGGAGGCAAGCGAGATGGGGGAGCTCTTATTTTGACAGGGGCCTCTCCGGGCTCTGGTATGAAGGCAGAAGGAGGCAGCCAGAGAGCCCCGATGCTTATTCAGGCTGGGGAGTGGAGCCGAGTGGAGGGGCAAGCGAGGCTCCGGCAGCGCAGGGGAGCCCGGGGAGGCGGCGGCGCGCGGCGGAGCCAGTGGCTGGACATGCCCCGGACCCGGGGCCGCTGCACCACCGCCGCCGCCCGGAGCCAGCCGGCCGGACGCCCGCACGCCTGGGTCCCCCGGCGCCGCGCCGCCCGGGGGCTGTGACCCGGACCCTCGGAGTCCGACCAACAATAAGCGCCCAGACAGCCCCTCCCCACCCAGCGCCCGGCATTCCCGCGGGCTTTGGGGAAAGGAAAGGAGAGGCGAGGAAGGAAGGAAGGAAGCAAGCAAGCAAGCAAGGGAAGGAGGAGCAGGAGCAGGAGCCGGAGCCCTGAGGTTCGGGGCCGAGACCCCGGCCCCGCGCCCCGGCCCCGGCGGGTGTGCGCGCTCTCCCGCCACTGCCCGGCGCCCGCGACCATGCTCCGCGGTTGGGAGGCAGGAACCCAGGCACCCAGCGATCCCCGGATAGCCTCTCCCGGGCCGGGCTGGTATTGAGATCAAGGCGTCCAGGATCAAAAGATCACCGCCTGCCCGCCCCCTCTGCATCTCCAACTGGCGAGCAGGAGGACCCCCATCCACACAACGACCCTGACCTGGTCATGGCGTCCAGCTCCGGCCTGGCGTGAGGACCCCCCAATCCGCGTGAGGTGAGGGGTGGGCTGGGGGCAAGGCGAAAGTCATGCCAGGCCAGCAGAGGCGCGAGGAGGGAGATCCAGTTTGAATCGGGGAGGGGAAACACAGTCTGATTGTCTCTTGCTCTCTGGCACGTACCCCCAGGCTGTTTAAGGTGTGGGGGACTCCCCCAGGGTCAGTGGAGGCTACTCTTAAGCCCCCAATCAGGTTGGCAGCTCCAGAACACCGTGGGGAGGGCTTAGGGACAGCCAGGGGACCCTGCCACCCTAGCGCAGAGAACAAGGCCGGCCTTGGGCCAGCTGGAGCAGCGAACCTTGCCCTGGGGGCTTCTGGGAGATGTAGTCCCCCTCCCAGGCTCACCAACCCCGTGGGTCTCAGCACCCCAGCCCTCCTCCTCTGGCTGATAGGAGCCTCCAGAAGGAGGTGGGTTGGGACTGGGGAGAGCTGGGGGTCACCCTTTTCTCCCAGGCACTGCCTGTGAGTAGCGGGGGCTGTGACTGAGGAGTCTCTTCTTCCAAGGCTTCTGAGTGATGTGGGCTTGGCTGGGGGGTGGGGCAGTCATACAGTTCCTTGGAAGTGTCCCTGCGCTGCTAAGGGGAGGTGGCCCCTGTCTTGATCCAAAGGAACCCTCGGGGAAGAATGTAGGAAGAGAAGTGAGCTTAGGCTTCTTGTTGCGCTGGGGTAGGTCCTATTCCAGGGCTGCTGGAATTTGGTTTCAGAAGAGACAGAGGGCTGCTCTCTCCTTCTGAGAAGGATAGTGTCCCTTGAAGTCTAGGAGTCTGGAGGGTGTCTCTCTGGAGCAATGAAGCTAGGATCAGCTACTGTCTGTCTGTCCAGCTTCCTTCCTTCCGGGTTTTTCTGACACCCCCTCTCTCCCTTCTCTTTCTGTCTACTGCTTGGGGTGTGTGTCTGTGTCTGTGTCTGTGTCTGGGGGAACCTCTGCTGCGAGGAGAAAAAGTGTTGCTCTGAGAGAGGTGAACTGGGCGTGTGTTTGAGCCCTCACAAAGGGGTTCCAAGCCTCCCTGGATCTTCTGCCCTCACTCCCAGCCTTGGTTTAGTGTGAAAGCTGACTGTGCCCTGTATCTGCTCCAACTCTGCTGCTGCCTCTGAGCAGCTCTCTGGATGAGACCACCACAGTGAGTGGGCTTCCACTGTCTTCTCCTTCTCTTCTTGGTCTCTCCAGGGAGCAGCCACTTCCGGGCAGGGGCTGCCTTGCTCTTCTGCTGCCTCTCAGCATGGGCCGGGCTACCTTCTCCAGGTCAGGACCACAATTTCATGACCCCAGAGGAGGAGCATGCTCAGGCCCTGTCTTCCTGGTGTCAGCTCTGAGGCCCTGCTGATAGAGGCCTCAGGACAGGACAGGGAGAGAATGGGTGAGGAAGGTGAGGAGCAGGGAGAGAGACTGGGAGGCTGGTGCCAGGAAGGAAGGTGCCGCCTCCCCCAGGTGATTTGCCTCCTTGGCCTTGGAGAGCCAGGCCTGGAAGCAGCCTTCTGGCCACCTCCCTCTAGGGGTTCCCTGCTTACCCATGTTGCTCCTGAGTGGGGTGGGGTGATGGTTCACAGCAGGAAGGGTGCTGAGGGGCAGGTAGAATACCTAAAATCTTGGATCCAGAGTGACTCTTGTGCCTGGAGTAGAAGGGGTCCCATGACTGGTGATGGGTTCTGGAGGCCCATATGGAGGTTCAGAATGAGTCTCTACTAGGATGGGGAGTCATGGGACCGGAGAGATACTACAGGGTCCTAGAGAGGGATTGGCAGTCCACAGAAATCTAGCGCCTCAGTGGCAATTTGGGACCTATTGATCTTGCCTGTTGAATCTGTGTTGGGTACCCATGACCCTGCTTAGCTAGTTCCTGCCTTTGGAGTCCTGGTACCTGGGTTAAGCGGGAGCCCTAGGCTGGGGTCTCAACTTCCAGACCAGGCAGGACAGTAGCCTCTGGGCAGGGGCCTAGGGGGTGGCAGTGTCGGCTCAGCAAGGGCTGGAATGCCTGGCACCTGCTTTAGATTAAAGGAGATGCCGAGCAAAGGGGAGCTGCCTGCCTATCAGGGGAGTGACTGCGATGGAGCTCCATGGAGCCCAGGAGTGGAGTGGGAGGAAAGGACCAGGGTTGCAGCAGCAGCTGCCGGGGCAGGAGTGGAGGGAGCCACTGTCACCCAGCTCTGCAGCCCTCCTCCAGGGAGTCCGAGAGCCACTGTCACCCAGCTCTGCAGCCCCTCCTCCAGGGAGTCCAATAGGAGGAGCTGGGGGCACCCCCACACTGCCTCTGGTACCACACGCTGAAGTTCTGTCCCAGGACCCTGGGACAGCTCTGGAGAGCTGGGGTGTTCAAGTTTCCAGTCTTCCCAGAATCAGAAGAGGCCCACAAGGAGGTGCCT
The DNA here is from genome assembly GCF_000001405.40 of Homo sapiens. Taxonomy (NCBI): domain Eukaryota; kingdom Metazoa; phylum Chordata; class Mammalia; order Primates; family Hominidae; genus Homo; species Homo sapiens. The sequence continues at coordinate 118,922,875 of NC_000011.10, read as the reverse complement.
GGGAAGTCCTTTGGGGTTCTTGTGGTCCTGCTGCCATGCTGGCTGTTTCTGGGGCTCCTTGGGTGCTGAGAGTGAGGTAGCTCAAGAGCCTGGGCACCCAGGGGTGACAGGGGAATGGCATCCCTTCCTTCCTTGTGCCAGAGCCCTGGGCACTGCCCGGGTGCTGACCTCCGATGGGGGGAGGGGGCAGAAGGGGGATGGCACCGTGGGAAAGTGGGCAGCCGTGGGAGCCAAGCGGGTACAGGCTGGGTGCCGCGGGCAGGGAGCCTCTGCCAGGCCCGCTCTCCCTGGGGTGGGGCCGGCTGTTCCATGGACTGGCTCAACCTGTTGAGCGCCTGGCTGCTCTAGCTCCGCATGTGTGCCCCTGCCTGCCAGCCCCGACAGCTGCCCACCCACAAACACACCGTGGGGGCTGCCCTCAGGGAACTGAGGAAGGGAAGCTCTAACTGGCCAGAGGAGCCGGGATGGGGCTGGTGGGAGCTCCTGCCAGGGCTGAGGAGCCTATCTGAGTCCCAGAGCTGGGGCTGGAGCCAGTTGGAGGGCTGGAAGGCCAGGGCTAGGAGGGGAAGGCCAGAGCACTGCAGCTCCTGAGCTGGTGCATGTCACTTGGCTCGGCGGCCCTGAAGGCTGCCTGGACTTACAGCCTGGAATTTCCTCTGCCTGGTGCCAGGGCCAGGCCTCTGAGCCCCACCCCCAGCCTGGCCTGACCTCCCCTCCCTCCCCTCCTGGGAGAACTCAGCCTGACTTTCCCTGGAGGCTGGGGGAGGGGCAGTAAGGGCATTCTGGCTGCCGTGGGAGGGGCGACTTCCTGGGTGTGGGCATGTGTTACACTGCCTCAGTCTCCCCGAGGGTCCCGCATCCTTGTGGAGAGGAAGAAAGCCTTGGGTTCCCAGGGGGATGCCCACAGCCTGCTCTGAGTGTGGGGGGTCCTGGAACCTGTGGAAGACCCCTGACTCCTGCAGGCCCTTGCCATCTCCCCATCCCCTGTGACCCCTTAGCTTTCCACCCACCTTGGGGCTGTGCTAGCTGGTGGGGAAGGGGAGCCAGGGTGCCACTCTGGAGGGGAGAAGGTGGTCACCACTGCCCAGGAGTAGGGGAAAGGACACAGACAGGTTCCCTCTGATTCTCCATGCCAAGGGGGAGGGGCGGCTTCCCCTGCCTTCTCACTTTTCCTGTCAGTGGCAAAAGCAGAGGCCTCTCCTTTGCAGCCCAGGCCCTCCCTGCTTGGCCCTGGACTGGTCCCCCTCCTAACCCTGGTGTTTTATTCTAGGCCCCCTTCCACCAGAGCTGGGACTCCCTCTGTCCGTTCCCGTTCCTCCTCCAATGGACTGGTAGCCCTGGGCTGGCCCGTCTTCCCCTCCTCCTCACTCTCCACTTCCCCACCCCCAGCCTCAACTCGGAATGGCCCTGAATCCAGCATTTCCAGCATTTCGAAACCAGGATTGTTTTGAAATCCCTGAGTGGTTCTCCACCCCCTGCAGGCTCCCCTCCTCCCCAGAGCATTGCCTTCTAATCCGACTTCACACACTCTGCGCTGCAAGTTTGTGTGTCTGAGTTTGTGTGCTAGCACATGGCTGCGTACTACTTTGTGTGTGTGTATAAGTTTGTGTGTGTGTGTGTCTCAGTGTGGGTGTATCTTCTGTCGGCGGTTCTGTTTGGCAGTTCTGTGTGATTGGCCGATGTCATGTGTGTTTCCTGAGCTCCCCTAGGCTGTCTCTATGAATACGGGAGCCTCTGTGGGTCTGAAGGGGCCACTCTTGGAGAATTTGGAGTGCTTTTTAGGAAACGTCTTTGGATGTGCATCTTTGGGAGTTGTGTCTGTGTTGTAAGTGTCCGGGGTACCTCTGGAGAGTGTGTGTGCTGGGGGCGTGTCTCGTCCACGTGTATGTGCGTGTGCGGGCACACACATGCGCTTCACTTCTCTTCCCTCCTCTCTCCTCCCTGGGAACATGTCTGGGGTATGTAGTCACAGGTCTCCCCACAGCTCCCTGGGACATGCAGTCCTCTGCCCTTTGATAGGGAAGTTTCCTGGAGTGGGGCCAAGGCTTCTGGCAGTTCCGTGGTCCTTGGAGAGAGAGTGGTGCAGTGGAGACTTTGTGATAAACTCTCCCTGGGGACTGGGGTCTCTCCCTCTACCCCTCACGGACACCTAGCACCTTGTAGGGTCCTCATACCACCTGTCCACCTCTTCTTGTCCTGATTATACAGTGGTGGTTGTTACAGAGAGGCTCGGTGTTCTAAAGGAAAAGGGGTGGGGAAAGGGAGCTAAGCCCCCACTCTGGGGTCACTTGTTCATTGAGGGCAAGGAACAGCCAATCACATTGGACTTGGGAGCTTGGTGGCAAATTTAAGGTTCAGAAAAGTTGACTTCTCCAGCTAGGGTCAAATAGCTAAACAAGAGAAGACACTCATATTTCCAGCCTGAGCAGAAGACGGAGGGGTCTGGAATCCAGGCATCTGGGGTGGGGCCAGCTGCCCTTGTAGCCTTGATCGATCGTGGGAAGTCCTTCTTGATGTTTAATCTCATTCCCTCCTACTGCACTTAGACAGTATTCTACATTAGAGGAGGTTCCTAGGGTTTTTTGATTTGGGGCCAAAGCAAGGACGGTGATAGCAGAGTTAGTGCATGGGATGCAGGCACTAGAACCCCCATAACCTTGCTGCATCTCAGTTTCCCATCCTGGGATCTCAGGATGGGAATGGAATGCATTTCTCCAGAAGCACTTGTGACAAATCAGTGAGGAAGCAGAGTGCTGGGGCCGGGGCTGATTGTGTGAGTCAGAGACCTATGGAGACAGCAGCAGGAGGTGGACATAAGGATAAGCTGTCCCTTTTACGTCCCCACCCCCAGTGGCCTCTGGTCCCAGAGCACAGTGGGAGGAAGGGAGGGGTACAGGTTGGTACAGTGCTCAGTGACCCAGCAGGGGGAGGGCCTGGGCAAGGAATTTTCAGCTTGTTTCTCAATCTCTGTCTCTGAGACACGCACACACGTCACTGCAGACACCTTTAGGAGATGAGCTCAGAAAAGTCACCTAGGTGGCGGCAGGGCAGGGCAGTGCCAGACGGGGCCATGTGGAACCAGCCTTATGCTGGTAGATGCCCTGCTCTGTATGAGCCTTAGAATGGAAAGTTGAGCCCAGCCGAAGGTCTCCTCCCCAGCAGACCCCATCTCAGGTCTGGGAGGAACACAGGCTGGAGAGGGTTAAGTCTGGTTGGCAGGGACACCCCCCGCCCAGTGCAGTGAGAGAGAGGGAGGGGTGGTTAGCAGCTTGCTCTAGTTGGCGTCTCTCCCAGAATTCTTCGGAAAAGAACTCCCCTTTGACCCCCCAGTACAAACTGAGCCCAGCCACCAGCCTCTCTCCCGCCTGCTGTGGGAGCTTCGCCCAGCCCCCTCCTACTGAATTGCTAAACCGACTCCCTCGGCCCAGGTCCTCCCAACCAGACCAGGTCCTCAGGACTTGGCCTCTTCAGGGAACCAGGGCTATAGCCAGGGAGACCACACAGGGACATAGAATACACAGCCATTCTTTTCCCTGACATAGGATAACCTGGAGGTGGCTGGTGCTAGAATCTGGGGTCCTCCAACCTCCCCATCCCTCTCCTCCCCCAGGTCCTCAGGCCAGGTCATGGGAGTCCTCTGCCTCTCCTCCTCCCCGTGGGGCCAAGCTCTAAGGGAGCTCTAAGGTCTTCCAGTGCCTCCTCCTCTCCTGCTTCCAGGCTAGGGAGGGGATGGTGTGGTGGGCGGGGGTTGGGGGGTCGGGGGGGGGGGGGCAGCGGTGCAGCTGGGGTCAGGCTTGGCTCCCAGCCAATCCACAGAAGTCCTGGTGGGGGTGGGGGGTGGCAATTGAGTAGCTCAGAGACTTCCTGGAGCTGCAGGCTGTGTGGACTGTGTGTACATGTTTCTGTGGTGTGTTCGTGGGGGGTGCTGGGGTGATGGGAGGAGCGGGGACATAGATTGCTAGAAGGGGGCTTCTAGCTTTGACCCTCTCTCCACAGGGAGCCCCCAACCCAGACCACACCCTTGAGCCTGAGCCCGACATTATTCCTGAGGTGAGAGGTCTGTGTGCCCCTGTGTGTCCCTCTCAGCCTCCCTGATTTCTGTCCGCGGCGGCCGCGTCACCCTGGCTTAGCCTCCTGCTTGGCGTTTTGTCTTTTGGGCTCCCTTCTCTTGGCTTTCTGCCCCCATCTCTCCTTTCATTCCCCTCCCTCCAGAGGAGGGAGGTCTCCTCTGGCTCCTGGTGGGCAAACAGGCTGACCAGAACCCTAGACCCAGTCAGGTGGGGAGTGGGGCCGGGCTGGGAGGGGTTAGAGCCAGGCTCCAGTGAGAGTCCAGCCCTTCTCTATCTCAGCGGATCTCACCCCCCACCCGCCCCACCCTGCGGGAGGCAAGGAGATTCCGCCCAATCGCCCTGGAGGGCAAGGTACAACTTCCTGGTTATCCCAAGTCCTTGCTCCTCCTCGCTGGCTTGGCCTCTTCTGGCTCAGTCAAAGCCAGGGTGGCTACCAGCCACAGTAGTGTGGTTTCTGCCCTGGCCCCTGGTCCCCTAGCGTACACATGCGTGCGTGTACACACACAGACACACAGACACAGACACACACACACACACACACAGCCTCTTCCCTCCGCCAGCCCCCCTTCCTTACTTAGCAACAACTCCCTGAATTCACAACAAACACGCCTGAGGGCTCCCGGTTCGACTAGGGAAAGCTGGAGGAAGCTGGGGACTGGGAGGAGGCACTTCTCCTAGACCATCCCCAGGAGGGAGGGGCTTCTCATCCCCTCACCTCAGCCCCGAACCTCTCCACTGAAGCCACCCCCCAAGGGACACCAAGGAAGTGGTCCTGCTCTCTACTGAGGAATGAAAGAGATGGGGAGCATTGGCCAGGTGTGGCTGAACAGGTGGGTGGGGGGCAGGGCTGGGACTCCACCCTCACCGGTGAGTCCCACTTGACCTTTGACCCCCACCTGGGGCCTCTCACGAGCCCGTGGTAACTCTTGGCAGGGGCTCTGTGCTGTTGTCTCGGTGACTAGCCTTGTGCCCTCCTCTGACCGGCAGGGACAAGGATGGGTGAGGAAGTAACGGACTGGAGTTGGGCGGGGCTGGGGGAGGCTGGAGAACTTTGCTCTGTCCTGGCACCACAGGCCAGGCCAGGCGGGTACCTGGGTTGAGGGAGTGGGGAGCGGTGCTCTCTCTCTGATCTTCCCTGGGCAAGCCCCGGGCACATCAGGCATGGAGGGAGGATGTGAGGAGTGAGAGGGTGGGGCCTGGACACCCATGCTTTCTTTCGTCATCGTTCAGAGGACTGATACTGTGGTGCATCTGGAGTATTGTGAAATGGCCCAGAACCCAGATGCCAGGGTGTCTGAATTCAAATCCTGCTTCTTCTAAAATTATGGGCCTTAGGCGAGTTATTTAACTTCTCGGCATGTCCCTTTTCTTAGTGGGAAAGTGAGGATAATAAGAATACTTTCTTACCAGATTGTTCTGAGGATTAAACTAGAGGATGCACGTGAAGCATTTAGGACTGGTGAAGTTACAAAGTAAATGCTCAATAAATGTTGGTGATCCTCCCCTCATTTGATTAGTCAGAGCTCTTCACAGGAACTTTTGATCCTCCCAGGGGTTTTAGCAGGGAAAGAATTGATGGTGAGAGAGGGAGTGTGGGGGTGGGGAAGAGACAGCCTTTCCACACTCCAGATTCCTGGATTCTAATACCCCTCCAGATCCACTGTTTGCTGCCGCCGCTTCCCCATCGTTGGTGCCTGCTGACTTCTTGATTGCAAGTTTGCCAAATAGCCAGGGGCCTGGAGAAGGCCCAGGGAGCTTAGGACACGTCTCCCTCGCTATCTTCAGGCTTCCCAGGGCCAGCCCTCCTCCCTGAGGCTGTTTGCTCAGTTCAGCTCAGCACTCCTCCCACTGCCCCATCCCCTGCTGCTCTGCTCTCACCAGGCAAACAAGACATTCCGTCCTTAAATGGCTTAAATGGCCGCCTCCTCTCCTTCCTGGCCTAGGGGTCAGGGACCTGGCTTGGGGAGAGAAGTGTCAGTGTGGAGCTGTGACCTGGATGGCAGCTGTTAGGAACACCTCAGGGCCCTGGACCCCGGATTCCCTGTGCCGTGCCTGGGCATTTCTCTGAGGGGCAGTGCCCAGACCTATGATCATGTGGGGGAGCCCCGATGGGCCTGTCTGTCACCTGCTGGACACAGATGGTCAGGGAGGGGGCATCCTGAAGCCCAGAAGGGGAGTGGGGTAATATCAGCATCTACAGCGTCCAAGGGACACCTCCAGAGTCCTTCCCTGAGCTGCAAGGGGGAGTGTGGACAGTGCTAGGAAAAGTTCTGCCTTAACCCTGTGTGCTGGCAAGGGAGAATGCTGAGTGGGGCCAGGTGGCCAGGGCTCCTATAGGCCCTGGGGTGAGAGTGGGATGGTGGAGGGGCTGAGGCTTGGGAACTTCTGGATGAGGAGCCCAGGAGTGGGCGGCAGGGATGGGGTGCCCACAATGAGGTGGGGAAGCTATGCAGACAAGGTGGGTAAAATCTTCTGGGGACTAAGATGTGGTAGAAGTGCCTAGGATCCCAGGGCCCCTGGGTCTGAGGCCTGGACTTAGCTAGCAGGTGCTCTCTCTGGCTTGGTACCAAGAGGGGTGGGCTGGAGCCCCTGGCTCTGCTTATCATGTTCCTCTGGATCTAGAGAGGACACCTCCCATCCATGGGCCTGGGGGATGAGGGCTCAGGGTCTGCCTGGGCCATGCCTTGCTACTGGACTGGCCATGCCTCCTGTGCCCAGCCCCTGGGGCCTGTTCCTTGGGCAGGCTGGGGCTATTTTTGGGATCGGGCTGGGGCTCTGGGGCCGGTTTCAGATGTTCCAATGTGAACACGAGAAAATGGGAACAGATGGCTGGAGGGTTCCGATCAGTGGGTCCTGCTGGGCGCAGGTTATTTTTAGGGCCTTGTTAACCCTTTGGGGGCTTCTGGGGCCACCCTGAGAGATACAGCCCTGTCTAGTTGAGAAGAGAACAGGTTTTCTCCCTGGGCCCCCTACTTTCCAGAACTGCTTGTCAGTTGTTCTTTCTCTCCCAGACCCTTCCTTTGAGATCCATGGCAAGAGAGTAGGCTTAAGCTTTCTCCCAGCCCAAGTACTACAGGGTGACTGCCAAGGGGCAGGCAGGGAGAAGGGGACCTGGCAGAGGGGAGGCTGGCTCTCTTGAAGGGAAATCCCCCTTCACTTGCCTCCTGGACTTTTGAGACATGGTCCTGAGGCTAAGAGAGTGGACAGCCACCCAGCCCCTCTCTGGGTTCATGCTCTGGATTTGAGTGTGTCGGTGAGCCCAGGATGCCCAGGAGTGTGCCAGCGGAGGGAGCTGACCTCTGAGAGGAGGGCAGGGGAGGAGCCAAGTCTTTTTACTTGGTACCACTAATATGATGCCCACAGGCCCTGTTCTCTTGGACACTCACAGGGAAAATATCTGGACAGTGCCTGCCTTTACCAAATGCCCACATATTTGGGTGCCATGGCAGGAGGTAGAGATAAGGAAATTGAGGCCAGAAGTGGTTTGTCAAGGGCTGGTGTGTCTTAGGCATTCTGTTAGTTTCACTACTGTTACCTCACTCTATAAAATTATTCTCCTTTTGCAGATGAGGAAGCTGAGGCTCAGAGGGATAAAGGGAAGGACAAGGCCCCATAGATGAGAAGGGGCAGGGTGTGATTGACACTGTCTGACTACAAACTTGGTTTTTTTTTTTGAGACAGTCTCGCTCTGTTGCCCAGGCTGGAGTGCAGTGGTGCGTCTCAGCTCACTGCAACCTCCGCCTCCTGGGTTCAAGCAATTCTCTGCCTCAGCCTCCTGAGTAGCTAGGATTACAGGCGCCCACCACCATGTCTGGATAATTTTTGTGTTTGTAGTAGAGACAGGGTTTCACCATCATGGCCAGGCTGGTCTTGAACTCCTGACCTCGTGATCCACCTGCCTTGACCTCCTAAAGTGCTGGGATTACAGGCGTGTGCCACCGCGCCCGGCCCTCAAACTCAGTTCTTATTCCACTGCATCATACTGCCTGCCAGGGCCCCAACCTCAGAGGGCGAGGCCACCAGGCACCAGACCTCCTCTGGGAGCAGCTTTACTGAATGGGTGTGGGAGAGGAGGCCTGGGGACAGGGGACCCTGCCTGTCACTGCTCTCACAATCCCCTAAGCCTTTCTTGCCTGAGGGTGCCAGGACTGACACCAGAAACCCCGTGTGGCCTTCTGTCTCCCTGCAGAGGTCACAGGCATACATCCTGTCTCATCACCCCCACCCCTCCCGGCCTGGCCCACGTGCCCCTGCATCCTGGAGGGTCATGACAGTCTGGATGTCAATGTGGGCAGAGCTCGTGGGGCCCCCAGGTGCTGCTGCTGCCAAGAGTGTGAGCCATCAGGGGAGGTGAGGGGCCAGGAGGATGCCTCTGCCTCTGGCTGTACCTGGGGAGAGAGCAGAGCAGGCAGGCAGGCGGGCGGGCGCTGGGTGAGGTCCCACCGTGGTGCGCTTGGCTGTGCCAGCAGTCTGCTGCACTCCATCCTCCCACAATGGCCCCATTGTTCCCAGCAGCCAGGCAGTTTGGAGGAGGTTCCTCGGCCACCCCTACCCCCCTAAATAGGGGACAGATTAACCCCTTGGAGGACTGAGGCCAGGTGAGGGCCCACAGGGAGCTGCCTTGCCCATCTCTGCCTGTTCTGGGAACCCAGGCTTGGGAAGTTACCTTCTACCCATGTGAACCCAGCACCACACCACCTCCTGAGATGGGAGTCTCCATAGGGTAGAGAGTGGCACCTGGATCATCTCCTACCCCCACCCTGGTGCAGGTGCCAGGGGACAGGAAGTACCAGTGGGGCGGCGGGCAGAGACCAGATATATTTGGGCCGGTGGGGCTAATTCCAGCCACCACTGCCTGCCCTACTGGCTCCTGAGCTCCTTTCCTTCCTGTGAAACCAGAGCTAGGTTGGGCCTAGCTCAGGATTTCGGTGGATTTAAAGAGGCAGCACCATCCCTGCCAGCCTGGCTCCCTCTACCCTCCCCAGGTAGGGTCTGGGGCAGAGAGAGGACTGGAGAGCTTCTTGCTCCTCCCTTGCCCTGGGCTAACCCCTGGCCCTTGCCTCTGTTGGGGTACCAAGCTTTTGGCACTCCTCTCTCCCAGAGCCTTGGGCGGGTGGGGTGGGCGGGGGTGGGCTGTGGTTTCCTGTGTTGGTTGTTTGTGCCTGGCCCAGAGTGCCCGCCGCCTGCCTGGGCTTCCTGCCCTGTCTTGTTTCCTTGTGCCCCCCACCCCCTCTCTACCCCTCCCCCTGTGGGAGGGAGCAGCTGGGGATTGGGTAGCTGTCTTTGGGGGCACCCCACTGCCAGGCCATGATTGCTTCCCAAGGCCCGGCCACACTGACAATGACTGTAGGAGCCAAGAGAAGTGAGGTGACCTCAGGCCTGTCCAAGCAATGCCACTTGTCTGTGCAGGCTCCAGAAGGGACAGTGGGCCAGAATGGGCAAAACCGCCGATCACCCCCCAGTACCCTGTTCAACAATCCCAGACTAGAAAGGTCTGGGACCAGGAGTTTCCCTGGTCCTGTGGAGCTGGGGTTGTCTGACATTACCCTAGGGCTGCAGGTGGGGTGGGGCTGGAAACTCCCAGGGAAAACCTCCCAAGCAAAAATGGCTGATTTGCATGGTCTCCTTTGGCACAGAGTCGGGGGAAGTGTGGAGAGCTACTAGGAACCAGGGCCATGGGAAGGCCCCCTAAGCCTGGAAGTCCCCACATCGAGGGTCCCAGAGCAGCACCTTGGTCCTTGAGCAGATTTCCTGCTGGGCTACGAATCCTTGACCTCCCTGCCCGCTGAGTCACCACCTCAGGAAGAGGAAGTGACCTGAGTGGTGGAGAGAGCTTCTGAGGACTGAGGGGTCCTGACACCCAGGAGAAAGGGGATTTGGGACCCTGTCGTCTCGGGCGCTGTATCTCCCTGAGCCAGAGGCCAAGGATCTCGTTCGCCCTGTTGTCCCCAGCAGGGTCCTGGGCTTTCACGTCATCACAGGGGGCCCTGGCAGCTCAGGAGCATGAACCCTCCAAAACATTTCCTCACTGCCTCTTTGGGGTGGTTTTGAGCTAGGCAGTGACACTGCTGGGCCAGCTGGTGAGCCAAGCAGAGGCTCCCAACGTGGGGGCAGCTAGGAGCAGGCAGGTTGCCACTGGATGTGTGAACGCCTGCCCTACCTGTGGTAGTTGTGTGTGGAGCAGAGCCGGTGTGTCATACCTGGAGGCTCTGGGCATCTGAGCCTTCCTCAGCTCCCTCCCCCAGCTAGGATCAAGTCCACTTTAACCCTTAGCAACCCTTAGGCTGCTAGCTCCTACCCTCGCGTCACTCGGGGTGGGGGAGCGGATGGATATCTCAGGCCCTTTGTCAAGCCGCCTCTTCCGCTCCTCCGATTCATTCTCCTGGTATGCGCCTGGCCTTCCACTCAGGTGACTCGCACCTGCTCCCTGTTTGTGAGCTTGCTACCCCTCCCCACCTAACCCCCTAAGAGGGAGGCACGGTGACGTGTTCCCAGAGCCCCATCCCTTTGCTTTCTCGTACCTCAAGGGCCCCTGGCCTGGTACTAGCAAGCCCCCTTCACTGGGTGCTTTAAAATTGCATTGGGCTGGGATCAGCCCTCTTGGCTTCCCATCACCAGGCCTTCCAGGTGTCTTCGGAGACTGTGAGTGTGTGGAGGAGGAGGGGTCTTCGGGAGCTGGGGCAGACTCTTGAGGGGCAAAGGGGGGAGGTGTGAGATGGGAAAGTCCTGACTCATCCACGCTTGACTCAGCTCGCCCTGCGGCGGGGTGGGAGAGAGGGGGTGGAGTCCCGGAGGGGAGGGTGACTGGAAGAGTCTTCTGGGGAGGAGCCTAGGCCTGAACGGCCACTGGAGAGGACTGATTTTCTAATAGCCCCTTCCCAAATTCTTACAGGTTCTCAATTTTTGAGGCTGTGAACATAGGTAGTGAGTGGCCCTTGCCCTGCCCCTCCCCCCTTATGGGGGACCTGGGCACTGTGGCTGGAATGTGGGAAGCCCAACTATCTGATGCAGGCTCAGAGGAGCAGTCATGGCTGGCGTGGGGAGGTGGGGTCACTGCAGTGTCTGGAATGAGGGTCCGTCCCCACACTGCCACATACTGGATATGTGACTCAAGGTCACGCCACTTCCTTTTCCCAGACCTCAGTTTCCTCGTTGAAATGGGGTCGATCCTTTTGAGAATCAGCGAGCTGGTGAAGGGAGAGCCTGAGATGCATGCCAGCCAGGAGCCTGCTCAGAGCCCTGGTATCTCAGTGACTCCAGCCTCTGCCTCTGCTCTTCCCTGGTTGTGATGGAGAAGCTGGGGGTGGCGGGCTGCTTCCCAGGCAGGTCCTGGACTTTGGAACCTTCCCCCAGGAGCCTTCCTCCCCAGAGACACGGCTGGAGTGGCGAAGGCCAATGTGCCCTAGGGTTAAGTTGGGGTTAGACTCCCGCAGGGTGGCAGGTGGGGCCCCCTCACCCCCAGGTCCCCGCCCAGCCTCCAGCAGCCCCGCAGGGAGCATCAGGAGTGTGCACCGGTGTCTGGCCGGGCCTGTCACCGGGACGAAGCTCCTGGGCCCAAGACTCCTCCCCTTTGACCGGGATCGGCTGCTGGAGGGCTGCTGGAGGGCGGGTAGGGGAGGCGAGGGGGGAGCCAGGGCTGGGGGCGGTTGGGTGAGGCCTCTGTGTTTGTGTAAGTCTGTTGCTGTATCTATGGCCCTGTGCGTGTTTCTTTGTGACTACCAGGCTCAACTTTCTTCGGCTCTCTTGTGGCCGGCCTCAGTCTTTTCATCTGTTCAATGGGTCCGGCGCTCCCACTCAGCCCTCGGGCAGCCCCGGTGTCTGCGCGTGCCCCAGGCTGTCTCCGCGCCTCCCGCTCCGGCGGCGCTTCCCTGGCCTCGGCGCGCCTCTAGCTTCCTGGGCTCCGTGCGTGTCTTGTCTCCCTGTCCACGTGTGAGCTGTGAGTGTGTGTGAGTCAGAGTTCGGGTGTCTGTGGGTCTCTGAGCCTCTGCTGGCAGCACCCGGGGCTCGCCAAGCTCTTGCCGGCTGGCGCGCGCCCAGCCCCTGGCGGGACTTGTCCGTGTGTCTGTCCGCGCGCGGGGCCTGGAGAAGCACGCTGCAGTCCTGTCCGCCTCCCGCTCGCTGCCTCGCTGGCTGTCGCTCGCTCGCTCTGCCTCTCCGCCCGGGCTCTGCCGAAGGGGGCGGGGTGGGGGTGCAGGGCGGGGGGAGGGGAGGCTCCTGCATTCTTGCGGTCGGGGAGGAATCCGAGCCAGCGTTACTGGTCTCCAGAAGAGCCCAGCTGCAGCCCCGGGGCCCCGCCAGGCCTCTCGCTGCCCGCCCGGGCCTGCTGGGATGGGCACGGGCTAGGCCTCGAGCTGGGGACGGGGCGGGGCGTGGCCCCAACCCCGGGCCCCCTCCACGGCTGGAGCGCTCTGGGGGTGGGGCACGAGGGGTACCCCACCCTGGGTGAGGGGCGCGTCTGGGAGCAGGAATCCCTCAGGGGGCCAGGGGAGACCTCACAGCCGCCCCACACGGCACCTTTGCTACCTAGCCTTTTAGTGAATTCTGTCTCTGCCGCCCGTCGGGGCGGAGGCTTGCTGGAGACTGCAAGCCCCCTGAGGGCAAGGTGCGGGAGGGATGGGGACAGGGCTGGCCTCCAGGATCGAGACCCCATCTCGTAATCCTCTTTTTCCAGTGCCACCCCACCCTATCCAGCTCCCTAGTCCCAGGGCTGTTGGGTCCTCCCTTCTCCCCTCCCCCTCTGACACCCCCTCCCCAAGTCACGAGTTTTCTCTTTGGGGCTTGTTGCTGCAGTCCGTGCTCCAGTACCGAGTACCTGGCTGGGCCCTGGGCACGCACAGGGGCCGTAGCCCCACTGTGTGTGGGAGCCATGAGGATCCTGGCTAACAAGACAAGGTGTGTGGGTGTCGTGGCGGGTGGGATGTGTGTGTGTGGAGTGCGGGAAGGGAAGGGCCCAGTGGTGATGGGGCCCAAGCTGTGCTGGCCAGGAGAGGAGCCGCCCTGGGCACCTGGCTCCCAGGCCACCAGTGGGCTAAAGGGGGGTTAGCATGGGAAGGCCTGGCCCGAGGCAGGAGGCGCAGCCAGCCTTAGTGCCTGGGCCTGGGTGGGGGGCAGAGGGGACTGGCAGCCAGCTATGCTTGCGGCTTCTGGTCCCTTCTAGTTCTTCCCTCCTTAAAATGGTTTGAGCAGACCCCCTCCCACCCTACTGTGGGGTCCGAAGGCCGCCTCTGGCCTCAGTCTAGCTGGAGGTGGGAGCTGGAGTAGGGGGCGGTGCCTGCCTCCCTCCCCCCTCCCCGGAGAAGCCGGCAGACAGGGCCAGGCGGCAGCAGCAGGACAGCAGAGCTGAAATAAATCTGAGCTGGTGTGGAATGAGGGGGGATAAATATCCTCTCCCGTGATGTGATCTTTCCAGCGGCTATTAATAGGTCTCCGGGGAGGGGGAGGCGGCGGGGGGAGCGGGCTGGAGCTTAAAGGGCCCGCAGCCTAGGCTGCAGGAATCCTTGGCTTCAAGCTACACTCCCCATCTGCTTGACACACCGCTCCCCTCCCCCTTTCCTCCTGCTTCTGCCTGCCGGCCTGGCCTGCCAAGCCCCCCTCCTCAGGCCTTCCCCTCCAGCTGTCTGGACCAGTGGGTAGCACTCCCTGGTGTGCGTTTTCCCACTGTCCCTGGGGAATGAGACCCGGGCATGTGCAGTGACCCCAGGTCCTGTGGCCCTTCTCTGCTGGTGTTGGGACATATGGGAGTTGAGGTTTGAGACCTTGGAAGGAGTCTGAAGACAGCAGATCTTAGAAGAGAGGATGCTTAAGTCTGATACAGAGGACAGGGTTGCCACAGAAGCTTGCAGGCTGATGGGTGTTTTGGGGCTGAGGTGGGTGAATTCTGCCAACTCTAGGCCCTGGTTTCCATTCAAATTGTGGAGGCTAGGGGGTGGAGGGTTTCCCCATCTCCACTCCCCAAGGTGGATGAGGGCTTCAGCCCTTGTCTGAGGAAGCCATGGAGGGAGGTAGAGAATAGCTGGTGGTGGTCTTGAGATACCACCCCTTCCCCCCACCCTCCCCCATTGTTAGGGGAGGCAGGATGGGGTAATTAAGTTGCAGGCATGCCTAGCCCCTAGCAAGGTTAACTTTTCACATTTCTCCCACCTCCTCCCAGGTTACCCCACCCCAGGAGGAGAGAAGCTCCAGGGAGCCCGCCGCTGTCCCCCCGCGGTCATTGCCCCCCTGCCCCAGCCAAGCCAATGCACCCAGAAAATAAATTGACCAATCATGGCAAGACAGGGAATGGCGGGGCCCAATCTCAGCACCAGAATGTGAACCAAGGACCCACCTGCAACGTGGGCTCGAAGGGCGTGGGGGCGGGGAACCATGGGGCCAAGGCCAACCAGATCTCGCCTAGCAACTCAAGTCTGAAGAACCCCCAGGCAGGGGTGCCCCCTTTCAGCTCGCTCAAGGGCAAGGTGAAGAGGGACCGGAGTGTGTCTGTGGACTCTGGAGAGCAGCGAGAGGCTGGGACCCCATCCCTGGATTCAGAGGCCAAAGGTACCCCATTTCCTCATCCCTAAGACCCTAGCATCTCCCATAGTCCAAGGCTCAGATGTTCTGGGAGATCACCTCTCTGCTCCCTGCTTGTCCAGTCCTCATCCCACGTTCTTCTCCAGTATTTCTGCATGGGTACCTTTCAACACCCACCAACCAGATCATTCGGGATTGGGGTTGGCCATGATGCCACCCATGGAGGGGCCACACAGAGTGGTCGGACTTCTGGACTCCTTCCCCTCCTGCTTTCCCACCAGAGCTCCAGAAGGGGAGAGGGAGGTGCCATGGAGTGAGGAGCAGACCCCAGACCCACACACTTCCAGGAGCCTCCGTATCCCGGCTGGTGGGAGCCCTTTGGGAGCAGGCACTGGGGCCTGGAAGAGTAGCAGCAGCTCCCCCTCCCCTCCAGCCCTAATTAGAACCAGTTGTGGTTGGGGATTATGCTGTACTTGGTGTTGGGGGGGAGGGGAGACAGGCATGGGGCTATAGAGAGAAATCAGAAACAAATGGTGGCGTGGTGGGGGCCACGGGCTGGCGAAGTGCCCACCATGGCCTGGGCAGTGCCCTCTAGGGTGGGGCATCTTAGAGAATGGATCTGGGAGGGACCCTGGGTGTGGGAGAATAATGGGGCCTCTAGGCACTCACTCTTTCCTCCGTCCTGCCTGGGCAGAGGTGGCGCCGCGGAGTAAGCGGCGCTGTGTGCTGGAGCGGAAGCAGCCGTACAGTGGGGACGAATGGTGCTCTGGACCGGACAGTGAGGAGGACGACAAGCCCATTGGGGCCACCCACAGTGAGTGCCTGTCGATGCCAGGGTGCTGTAGCCCGTGATGTTCCTGGGGGATGGACTTGAGAGGACTGAGCCTGGGAAAGAAGTGAGGACTGGGAGTCCTGGATTTTTCTCTCCCATCCTACCTCTCAGACTCTGTCCCTCCCTACACTGCAACTGCCTCGCCTCTGCCTTCCAGGTGCTCAGTGACCCCCTCTCCCTAGGGACCCTAGGTGGGGCAGAGTGGAGTGGCCTCCTTCTTGGTCACGTCACCTGCACCTCTACCTGTGAATTCCTGGCCTATGCTGCCACCTACTGGTTAGTGGAGGGAGGGCGGTGAAGCGTCCAGGGACACTGGGAGCCGGGCAGTTGGCTCTGCTGTGCAAAGCCCTGCTAAGCCTGGGTGTGAGTTGCCACTTGGCCGTGTCTCTAGTGCCCTTCCCTAACCTCTAATTGACTCCTGGCAAGTACCCAGGGTGTGTCACCAGGACAAGAAGTGGGTGTGGAGGGATGCCCACTCCTCCTCTGATTCTTTTATGGATTCGCCTATATCTTGTCCTTCCATGAGTGATGGGGGAGAGCCAGATGTAACCCCTGCCCCTGGGAAGCTTGTACATATTTTTTTTCCCTCAAAGTTTACGTTTACATCTTTTTGAGGAGAGAGACATAAGAAACTAGCCAGAGAGGCTGGGTGTGGTGGCTGTCACCTGTAATCCCCAGAATTTGGGGAGCTGAAACCGGAGAATTGCTTGAGCCCAGGAGTTCAAGAACAGCCTGGCCAACATAGGGAGACCCCATCTCTAAAAAGAGAGAGAGAGAGAAAGAAAGGAAAGAAGTAAAGAAAGAAGAAAAAGAAACTAGCCAGAGACTATTAAATTGTGAACTCCTTGAAGGCAGGGACCATAGAAAGAAGAAAGAAAAGAGTACATTGGCTACTTTGCTACTCTGTTTTATTTAATCCTTACAACAGCCCTGTGAGGTCAGTGTTATCATGATGCCAATTACAGAGGAGGAGAGAGAGTCAGCAAATGTTATGGAGTGAGCAGACTATGTCTGTGACAGGGGTGTAGAGGGTCAAATACCAAACCTCTACAGCTAGCTGGAACCTCACAGACCATCCTGTATCAGTTCTCTCTCCCCCGTGGGACTAACCTGGTGGTCGCCAAGCCTCTGGCTGAACCCTTTGATGATAGAAGCCTTTACTGCTTCCCAGACCAGACACCTCCCCCCATAGCCACCACCTCCAGTTCACTTATGTCACATCAGACTGCACCATTGTAGAAACTTTGTGAGTTTTATTTATTTATTGTTTAGAGACAGGGTCTCTCTCTGACACCCAGGCTGGAGTGCAGTGGTGTGATCACAGCTCACTGCAACCTCAAACTCCTGAGCTCAAGTGATCCTCCCATCTCAGACTCCCAAGTAGCTGGGGCTCAGGCATGTATCACACCTGGCTAATTTTTGTAGAGACAGTCTTGCCATGTTGCCCAGGCTGATCTTGAACTCCTGGTCTCAAGCGATCCTCATGCCTTGGCCTCCCAAAGTGCTGGAATTACAGGAGTGAGCCACTGTGCCTGGCAAACATAGGGAAATACAAAGTAGAAATTGCTAACATCCCATACTCAAGGCGACTATTTTAGTCGTACTACCCTTAGATTCTTTTATTTATTTATTTATTTATTTATTTTTGAATCGGAGTTTCACTCTTGTTGCCCAGGCTGGAGTGCAATGGCACGAACTCGGCTTACTGCAACCTCTGCCTCCTGAGTTCAAGCGATTTTCCTGCCTCAGCCTCCCGAGTAGCTGGGATTACAGGCACCTGCCACCACGCCTGGCTAATTTTTGTATTTTTAGCAGAGGTGGAGTTTTAGCATGTTGGCCAGACCGGTCCTGAACTCCTGACCTCAGGTGATACACCTGCCTCAGCCCCCCAAAGTGCTGGGATTACAGGCGTGAGCCACCCGGCCTGATTCTTTTTTTTTTTTTTTTTTTTTGAGACAGAGTCTCACTCACTCTGTTGCCCAGGCTGGAGTGCAGTGGCACAATCTCGGCTCACTGCAACCTCCACCTCCTGGGTTCAAGTAATTCTCCTGCTTCAGCCTCCCAAGTAGCTGGGATTACAGGCATGCGTCACCACGCCTGGCTAATTTTTGTATTTTTAGTAGAGATGGAGTTTCACCATTATGGCCAGGCTGGTCTTGAACTCCTGCCCTCAAGTGATCCGCCCGCCTCGGCCTCCCAAAGTGTTAGGATTACAGGCATAAGCCACCGTGCCCGGCCTGCCCTTAGATTCTTGAAGAGTTCTTACTGGAGGGGCGATAGAACGTAGACATTGACAGGACTAGTTCTGCCATCAGGCTGCCTTCGTTTGCAACCCAGGTTATTTCTGTAAATTTGGGAAAGGGCCTCAGTTTCCTCATCTGTAAAAGTATTATTTATCTCATAGGGTTGGTATGAGGAGTAAATGAGGTTATACATGTAACATGTTAGCTTTTATCATTGTTATTGTACTAGAAAGTTCCTTGTTGGACTAAGCCCTGCCTGTCTCCCCATAGCTCGTATCCAAGAGCTACTCAGCAGCCTTCACACATTGAGGTCAGCTCTCAAGCTCCCCCGCAAATTTCTGGCTCTGCTCTTCTATGTAAAATTGGATAGATAGGGTCCAGAGCAGGGCCGTTTTGGGGTGGGTCCATCAGAGAAGAAGGTGCAGAAGAAACTTTTTCCAAAGAGGGCAGCCTGACACTGGGCCCATGGGAAGGTGGTCACTGCCCTGGCTGGATGGAGACAACTTCAGGCAATCTGTCTCCCATTAACTGAGAATGCTGGTACTTACTGTCTGCGGGCCAGGAACTGTGACTTGCTTTTCTTGGCATGCGAATGGGTCTACCCACTCACCTAGACCCGTTGTAGATTTTTTTCTACGCTAAGACTTACAGTCAAGTGTCTAACCATGGAACAAAACTTCCCTTGGTGCTGAGGGCAGCTGGTCTGTCTTGAGAGTGTTTCCAGTATGTCAGCTTTTTCTAACTGTTTTTTCTTTCTTATTTTTATTTATTTATTTATTTTTTTGAGACAGTCTCGCTCTGTCGCCCTGGCTAGAGTGCAATGGTGTGATCTCGGCTCACTGCAACTTCCACCTCCTAAGTTCAAGCAATTCTCATGTCTCAGCCTCCTGAGTAGCGGGATTACAGCCATGCGCCACCATGCCCAGTTAATTTTTGTATTTTTAGTAGAGACGGGGTTTCACCATGTTGGCCAGGCTGGTCTTGAACTCATGACCTCAGGTGATCCGCCCGCCTCTACCGCCCAAACTGCTGGGATTACAGGCGTGAGACACCGCTCCCGGCTCTCTGTTTTTCAAATGGATTTTTTTAGTCTGTGACATTGATTTAAACTTACTGTTAAAAAATATATTTCTTTGGCCTGCCCCCTGTGCAAGGAGGAGGTTAGTATTTTACATTTTATAGATGAAGAAACCGAGGCTTAGAGGGATGTCTGGTTCATAAAATCACAAAGTCAGTTAGTGGTGGGGCTAGAGTGAAAAACCATCCATCATTTGGATCATCAGCTTGTGTACCCTCTCTGCCTTCTCCCTAACTGGGTCACTAGACTGTGTGCACATACACTTACCCAGTGAGAGGGGCAGCAGCTCAGAGCGGAGCTTCAGAGTCCCGGCCCTGGGTTCAGTTCTGGCTCTGCACTAACTGGCTGTGTAACTGTGGGTGAGGAACTTATTTCCTCCTTTGTTAAGTGGAGTGTGTGACACGTTCCTCCCAGGGTGTGTTGATGAGATGAAATCACACCTGTTAAGTCCCCAGCAGAATGCCAGGCCCATGGGAGCCTGTGGAGAGGACACATTTTCTCTGTCCCTGCTCTCCACATGGTCACCACTCTTGCCATCGTGGAAACCAGCCTGGTGAGAACACCAGATACTGACATCAAATGTCCCTGTGGGCACGAGCTGTAAGGCTGTGAGCATCAGTGGGAGGGGGCATCAGCTGGTCCTTCTTGTATCTAGACCACTTAGCCCCTTTCCCTGTCCTCTCTCCTGCAGATTGTAATGTAGCAGACCCAGCCATGGCGGCCCCACAGCTGGGTCCCGGCCAAACCACCCAACTGCCCCTCAGCGAGAGCAGCGTGCCAGGCGCCCCGCACGGCCCTCCTCCTGGCCTTCGGCCTGATGCCCCTGGGGGCGGGGGCGGGGGCGGGGGCGTCCCCGGAAAGCCTCCCTCGCAGTTCGTATATGTCTTCACCACCCACCTGGCCAACACGTAAGTGCCTGGTGGGCAGGCCAAGTCTCTCTCTCTCTCTGCCCAGCACCTCTCAGCCTGGGGTTCCGAGGGAGCCCCGTGCAGGGGCAGGGTGGGGTGGGTGAGGGTGGGGCTCCCTCCTGCTCACCTCTCTGAGCTGTCGGTGCCCCCACTCTGTGCAGGGCTGCAGAGGCAGTGCTGCAGGGCCGGGCCGACTCCATCCTCGCCTACCACCAGCAGAACGTGCCCCGGGCCAAGCTTGACCAGGTGAGCGTGGCGCCTCTGTGAGCAGCAGGACTGGGTGGAACGTCCCCTTACCTGTCTCATGCTCTCTTTGTCCTTCTGCAGGCCCCTAAAGTGCCCCCCACCCCAGAACCGCTACCCCTGAGCACGCCGTCAGCAGGCACCCCGCAGTCCCAGCCACCTCCACTGCCGCCGCCGCCACCCCCGGCCCCTGGCAGTGCCCCGCCTGCTCTGCCCCCAGAGGGGCCTCCTGAGGACAGCAGTCAGGACCTGGCCCCCAACTCGGTGGGAGCTGCCAGCACAGGTGGTGGGACTGGGGGCACCCACCCTAACACCCCGACGGCTACCACCGCCAACAACCCTCTGCCTCCTGGAGGAGACCCCAGCAGTGCCCCCGGCCCTGCCCTGCTGGGGGAGGCAGCCGCCCCTGGAAATGGGCAGCGCAGCCTGGTGGGCTCAGAGGGCTTGTCCAAAGAGCAGCTGGAGCATCGGGAACGGTCCCTCCAGACGCTGCGAGACATTGAGCGACTGCTGCTCCGCAGCGGAGAGACTGAGCCCTTCCTCAAGGGGCCCCCAGGAGGAGCGGGTGAGGGGGGCCCACCAGCACAAGCCCCCCCTCCCCCCCAGCAGCCACCCACGGCCCCTCCCAGCGGGCTGAAGAAATATGAGGAACCCTTGCAGTCCATGATTTCACAGACACAGAGCCTAGGGGGCCCCCCGCTGGAGCATGAAGTGCCTGGGCACCCCCCGGGTGGGGACATGGGGCAGCAGATGAACATGATGATACAGAGGCTGGGCCAGGACAGCCTCACGCCTGAGCAGGTGGCCTGGCGCAAGCTGCAGGAGGAGTACTACGAAGAGAAACGGCGGAAAGAGGAACAGATTGGGCTGCATGGGAGCCGTCCTCTGCAGGACATGATGGGCATGGGGGGCATGATGGTGAGGGGGCCCCCGCCTCCTTACCACAGCAAGCCTGGGGATCAGTGGCCACCTGGAATGGGTGCGCAGCTGCGGGGGCCCATGGATGTTCAAGATCCCATGCAGCTCCGGGGCGGACCTCCCTTTCCTGGGCCCCGTTTCCCAGGCAACCAGATACAACGGGTACCTGGGTTTGGGGGCATGCAGAGTATGCCCATGGAGGTGCCCATGAATGCCATGCAGAGGCCCGTGAGACCAGGCATGGGCTGGACCGAAGACTTGCCCCCTATGGGGGGACCCAGCAATTTTGCCCAGAACACCATGCCCTACCCAGGTGGGCAGGGTGAGGCGGAGCGATTCATGACTCCCCGGGTCCGTGAGGAGCTGCTGCGGCACCAGCTGCTGGAGAAGCGGTCGATGGGCATGCAGCGCCCCCTGGGCATGGCAGGCAGTGGCATGGGACAGAGCATGGAGATGGAGCGGATGATGCAGGCGCACCGACAGATGGATCCTGCCATGTTTCCCGGGCAGATGGCTGGTGGTGAGGGCCTGGCGGGCACTCCCATGGGCATGGAGTTTGGTGGAGGCCGGGGCCTCCTGAGCCCTCCCATGGGGCAGTCTGGGCTGAGGGAGGTGGACCCACCCATGGGGCCAGGCAACCTCAACATGAACATGAATGTCAACATGAACATGAACATGAACCTGAACGTGCAGATGACCCCGCAGCAGCAGATGCTGATGTCGCAGAAGATGCGGGGCCCTGGGGACTTGATGGGGCCCCAGGGCCTCAGTCCTGAGGAGATGGCCCGGGTTCGGGCCCAGAACAGCAGTGGCGTGATGGGCGGCCCGCAGAAGATGCTGATGCCTTCACAGTTTCCCAACCAGGGCCAGCAGGGATTCTCTGGAGGCCAGGGACCCTACCAAGCCATGTCCCAGGACATGGGCAATACCCAAGACATGTTCAGCCCTGATCAGAGCTCAATGCCCATGAGCAACGTGGGCACCACCCGGCTCAGCCACATGCCTCTGCCCCCTGCGTCCAATCCTCCTGGGACCGTGCATTCAGCCCCAAACCGGGGGCTAGGCAGGCGGCCTTCGGACCTCACCATCAGTATTAATCAGATGGGCTCACCGGGCATGGGGCACTTGAAGTCGCCCACCCTTAGCCAGGTGCACTCACCCCTGGTCACCTCGCCCTCTGCCAACCTCAAGTCACCCCAGACTCCCTCACAGATGGTGCCCTTGCCTTCTGCCAACCCGCCAGGACCTCTCAAGTCGCCCCAGGTCCTCGGCTCCTCCCTCAGTGTCCGTTCACCCACTGGCTCGCCCAGCAGGCTCAAGTCTCCTTCCATGGCGGTGCCTTCTCCAGGCTGGGTTGCCTCACCTAAGACGGCCATGCCCAGCCCGGGGGTCTCCCAGAACAAGCAGCCGCCTCTCAACATGAACTCTTCCACCACCCTGAGCAACATGGAACAGGGTGAGTCAATTGCGCAGGCAGGCAGGCAGGCAGGCAGGCAGGCGCTGAGCAGTGTGTCCATGCTGGGGCTGGGCAGTGAGTGAGTAAGGGCCTGTGTACCACGGGCCCAGAGGTGGATGGCTCTGCTTATGGGGCAGATGATGACATTTGTGGGCTTTCTCAGGGGGTACCACGTGAGTCTCCCAGGCATTTTGAGTGATCGTACTTGGGGCCTGGGATCTTCCCCTTGCCTGGGGCCCTGAGGCTGCAGGAATTGCTTGAAGACTGGTGGGCTCTGGAGATAGTGGGGGCCTGTGGGTGTGTCTGAAGGACCAGGTGATTTGGGGAACTGACCGCTTCCTAAACCTCCCCATATCCACAGCCAAACTCATCTGCCCCTCCCCAGTCACCCCTGCTCTCTTTGTCTCCCCGTTTCTGTAGGTACCCTCCCGCCTAGCGGCCCCCGGAGCAGCTCCTCAGCACCTCCCGCCAACCCTCCCAGCGGCCTCATGAACCCCAGCCTACCATTCACTTCCTCCCCAGACCCCACACCTTCCCAGAACCCCCTGTCACTGATGATGACCCAGATGTCCAAGTACGCCATGCCCAGCTCCACCCCGCTCTACCACAATGCCATCAAGACCATCGCCACCTCAGACGACGAGCTGCTGCCCGACCGGCCCCTGCTGCCCCCCCCACCACCACCGCAGGGCTCCGGGCCAGGTGCGAGGACAGGCCAGGGCCCCAGGGAGGCCAGCTGGTGTGGGCACTGGGAGCGGGGAGCACAGCTGTGGTTGTGCTGGCTTTTTTGTGCCTCTGAAGGCCCTGGGTGTGGGGGTGGAGGCTCCGGGATGCTGTTCCCACTCGCTGGAGTCATTAGGGAAACCCAGCCCAGAGCACTCGAGTGGTCTTTCCAACACCTGGTGGTGTGTCTGGCGAACTGGGCCAGAACTTGGTCTCTTGGCTTCTAGCATCAATGCCTCCAGTCCCTTCCCTCCCAGCCAGGGGAAGCCAGTGGTGAAGACTTTGACCTCTGGCACCCCCTGGCTTGGGAGTGGGGAAGGCCTGAGCCCTGCACCCTCCCCGAGCTGGGCACACCGTGCCTGACCCCCTGTCTTCTATTCCCTACAGGGATCAGCAACAGCCAGCCCAGCCAGATGCACCTGAACTCAGCCGCTGCCCAGAGCCCTATGGGCATGAACCTGCCAGGCCAGCAGCCCCTGTCCCATGAGCCCCCGCCCGCCATGCTGCCCTCCCCCACCCCTCTGGGCTCCAACATTCCACTGCATCCCAACGCACAGGGGACAGGGGGGCCCCCTCAAAACTCCATGATGATGGCCCCAGGGGGCCCCGACTCCCTGAATGCCCCCTGTGGCCCAGTGCCCAGCTCCTCCCAGATGATGCCCTTCCCCCCTCGGCTGCAGCAGCCCCATGGTGCCATGGCCCCCACTGGGGGTGGGGGCGGGGGGCCTGGCCTGCAGCAGCACTACCCGTCAGGCATGGCCCTGCCTCCCGAGGACCTGCCCAACCAGCCGCCAGGCCCCATGCCTCCCCAGCAGCACCTGATGGGCAAAGCCATGGCTGGGCGCATGGGCGACGCATACCCACCGGGTGTGCTCCCTGGGGTGGCATCAGTGCTGAACGACCCCGAGCTGAGCGAGGTGATCCGGCCCACCCCAACGGGGATCCCCGAGTTCGACTTGTCGAGGATCATCCCCTCTGAGAAGCCAAGCAGCACCCTCCAGTACTTCCCCAAGAGCGAGAACCAGCCCCCCAAGGCTCAGCCCCCTAATCTGCATCTCATGAACCTGCAGAACATGATGGCGGAGCAGACTCCCTCTCGGCCTCCCAACCTCCCAGGCCAGCAGGGCGTCCAGCGGGGGCTCAACATGTCCATGTGCCACCCTGGACAGATGTCCTTGCTGGGCAGGACAGGCGTGCCCCCACAGCAGGGGATGGTGCCCCATGGCCTGCACCAGGGGGTCATGTCCCCTCCACAAGGCCTCATGACCCAGCAGAATTTCATGCTGATGAAGCAGCGGGGCGTGGGGGGCGAGGTCTACAGCCAGCCGCCCCACATGCTCTCCCCGCAGGGCTCCCTCATGGGCCCCCCGCCCCAGCAGAACCTCATGGTGTCCCACCCCCTTCGGCAGCGCAGTGTGTCCCTGGACAGCCAGATGGGCTACCTCCCGGCACCAGGCGGCATGGCCAACCTGCCCTTCTAGAAGTCGCTGCCAGGGCTGGAGCCGGGGCAATGTTGCAAATACGATAACCTTAACAAAGTTCTTCCCCTCAATGTTGGGATGGCCTGGGTCGCGGGGTGGGGTGGAGGGGGTGGGAGGGGGCTTGTGTAGGGAGTGGCATTTGTGGAAACCAGATGTGCTGGCAGCTTAGGGGGAAGTGGCAGTGTGGGGTGGGGGATTTTGCATTGGGGTTGGTTCCATTTCGGCCACCAGGACTGCCCCTCCCCCACTCCTCCCAATTCCTATGGAGCCTCTCTATTTTACCTCTTTCCGTGCATCCCTGCACCCGCCACACCCCCTTCAGCTATGCTTTTGGAGTCCTGGATGGGAATCTGGGGGGAGAGAGGAAGGACAGGTCAGGTCTCCCCCAGCCCCTTCTGCTCCTGTCTCCTCGTGTCCGCATTGCTGGAGCTCCACCTCCCTCTTGGTTTCTCCGCACCCGCCCATTTTCCTTCTGTCTTTACCTGCTTCGTATCCTTTCCCTGCTGATGTGGCTGACCCCTCTCCCACCCCTCCCTGCAGGCGGCTGGCCAGGTGGGCAGGTGCCAGCCGGAGCTGTAAATAGAGCGCTGCGCTTTTGTGCTGGTTTGTGCGTGTGCTGTATTTCTGTGTTTTGATAGAAGTCACACAAAAAAAAAAGGATAAAAGAAACCCTTCCCCCCTTCTTCAAGTTATTGCTCCCTCCATTCCCCTGGACCCAGGGACATGCAGCCCTACATGGCCACCCACTGTTTGCAGTGTCTCTGGGTCCCTAAGGGATACCATTCCTGTCTCGTCCCCAAATGGTAAGATGACGTAAATGACCCACTCCTAAACTGAGGTCAGACCACCTAGGCTTCCACCTGGTGAGCCCTAGCAGGGCTGAGACCCCCAGGGCGGCAGCCTGTCTGCTGCTGAGTGATTCAGGGAGAACATGTGTGCACGTGCATGTGTGTTTGCCCACACCGGTGACACGGGGCCCTGGCTTTCCACTTTGGATGCCCGGGCATCCGCTGCTGCTACATCTTAGCCAGAACTTGAAGTCTTTTGTCCCAGTTTGGGATGAAGGAAAGGAGGAAGAGGCGGTGGCTGTGTGGCCCCCTTGAGTGGAGCCATGGAAGGGGTGGCATGGTGCCACTGGGGCCTGTGGCTGTAGTAGCCCTGGGCCAGGTAACCTCCAGGGCCCTGACTTTTCCAGAGGCTGCTGCCACCTACTTCTTATCAAAGAAGGGGGAGAACAGTTCATCTGAGTCAGTGCACCTCCCCTCCAGTCTCCACTCCCTGAGGATGGAATCGGGGAAACAGCATCCTGCCGCCTCCTCTCTGCCTGCCCACTCACCGGCAAGGTTGTCCCTCTGCCCAGGGCTCAGGGCCATGTACCAGATCTGTCTGTGCCCACCCAGGCACAGCCACTGCCTCCCCCTTGGCTCCCTGCTCCTACCCAGGAGAGCTCCCTATCCGCCTTTGGTCAGAGCTGAAGCCATATACGACTGGGTGTTTGTCCCCCTACTTTGGCCCCAGGAGTAAAAAAACTTCTCCTTTTCTCACTTCCTTTCCTGCCTCGGGAGGTGGCAGGGCAGTTCCCTGGCTGAGGCCTTTTGCGCCCCACCTCCAGGACCAAGGGCCATTCTAGACAGGGTGTCTTCTACCAGGACCCGTCCCTAGCCTTCCTGGCCTGGAGGGCCTGGTCTTGCACTGGCAGCTGTAATACAAAGGGAACTCGCCCCACTTCTCCCAGCCTGGTGCTGTCCTCTCGGCCCACCATCGGCCAGGTCCAGCGCTTCCTCTGGGGCTGACAACAGGCCCCTGACTCACCCCGGTCACCTCCCAGGGTCCATGGCCAGGGCCTCTGTGTTTGGGGGGCCACTTGCCCTTCATCCTGCCAGGCGCTTTGCCCGCCCTGCCTCAGCCTGGGCCCTGTGCCCTTGAGCCCTCCACCCCTGGCCCAAGACCCCCCCAAACTGTCTGACTCTGTGTTTCCTGCCCTGAGGAGAGAGGGGTCAGATTGCAGCGGGCCGAGTGCCCTCTCCGTCCCCTCTCCTCCCACCCACGCCACAGGCCAGCCTACTCTTCCCTCCATCCATGGCCACACCCCCAGCCATTTTGTACCATTATATAAATATATATATAAATATAAATATATAAATACAATATGTGAAGACATCTTCTTGGTTTTTATTTTGAAACAATTTTTAGGCTTGTTCCGGGGGTCTCTGTGCTGCCTGTACTGTATTGACCTGTTTTATAGGTGCCTTTTTATTAAAAAGAAAATTCAAAATCCAGCCTCTTGCCTCTTTGCATCTGCTTCAGACTCCCCCATCGATTACCCAGCTTGCGAGGAGATACTCAGAGAAAAAAGGGACGTCTTAGGGCTTCCTCGTTGTCCTGCCGTGAAGACACTCTCACGTGAGCCACAGCTGTTATTTCCCCAGTGGGGCCTCCCAAGGAGCTTGGCTGCTTGGCTTGAGTGGGACAAGGGCAGGGGTCCCTGACTCCCCACCTGATCAAAGGCTGGGGAGGTGGTAGGGAGCACCCAGAACTGCCGGACGGGCCTCCCACACCCCAGGTGAGCAAACAAGCACGGAGCAGCTTCCTGCGGTTCCATCTGAGTGACATCCTCACGGGGGCAGGGCACGGCTTCCTGGGGCCTGGGGACTTCCCTGCCTCAGTGTGTTTCTTACACTTCCCTGCCTAAGGTGATGCCACGGAGGGGATGGTTGAGATGACTCCCACGGGCCCCTTCCAGTCCACCTTTCTCCGTTCCGACTCTGAGTTTCCTCGGGTCTATAGCTTATGGGAAGGGAGTGAGGAGGGGACAAGCCAGCCTCCTTCCCCATCAATGCCCACAACCTCCCATCCCCTGGACCCAGCCACCCTAGGAGTTCTCCACCCCACCCCATCTCGCCTGGCGGAGGGGACCGCCGGGTTTGATTGATCCATCTCCCTCCTTGGGGTTCGGGAAGAAAGCTCTTTTCTTCCCTCTGTCGGGTTTCTTTCTTGCTTCTCGGCCTTCACGCTTCCTCAGGTCACTGGCTGGCCTCCAAGGGCACCTAGAGTCAGCCCTGCCTGCAGACCACCCAGGATCCGGTGACATGGGGTGGACCCAGCGCTGTTTCGGTCAGAGCCAGGGGCAGCTACCTGAACTCAACCAGTCTGAGCTTCCTGCTTGGTCAAGATGACTGCAGGCTTGGGGGCCTGGCAGAATGTCTGTGTTTTTAGGGACTGAGTTGTCCGAAGGCCACACTCTGCTGCCAGCTGGCCTTTCCTCAGCCTTAACCTCCACTCATCCCCTGGTGCTCAGCTTCTGGCTTTGTTTGACAGGTGGGCAGGAGGAGAGAGGGGAAGCTGTGGAGGTCAGCAGCCCCTAAGCTGATGGAGTGTGTTCTGGGAGGGGCAGGCGCTCTCCGTTGGCAAGGGCAGAAGTAGAAGTTGTTTCTTGAGCATTGGATGATTAGGATGGGAGGTGCGTGAGGTTCTCTCAGCCCAGGGGGGTGCAGATGGGTAAGGACAGCCTTCACTGTGCCTTTGAGCTGCTTTCCGCTCCCTGGGCTCCAGCCTAGCCCCAGGGCCGGCAGAAGAGCTGGCAGGGATGTTCTAGAAATGGGGGTTGGTTCCTCTAGCTACCCCAAATGAGGATACTCCTAGGACACTCTTAGCCACGGTGAGCCCTTAGGATCCCAGCTCCTGTTGGAAGGAGCATCCAGCATCACTGCCTGCCCCAAGGAAAAGCAGCAATAAAAGGGGACACTGGGACCTAGAACGTGGTGAGAGAGGTGGCATTCTCTGACTCAGAGAGACTGCTCCTGCGCCAGCTAGGGAAGAGCTGGCACAGGGAGGCAGGGCCGGTACAGCCCAGCTTCGTCAGGAGCCGCGACAGGTCACTGCGGAACTTCACGCCGGCGAAAGTGTAGAGCATGGGGTTGAGGCAGCAGTGGGCCAGGCCCAGGAACTCACACATGGTGATGGCCACGGGGAGAGAGCCATTCAGCTTGCAGGTATTGTCCACGGCCTTCAGCCTCGCCAGGGTGTCCAGGAAGATGACGATGTGGTAGGGTGACCAGCAGAGGAAGAAGATGCTTGTCACCAGGATGGCCACCCTGACTGCCTTCTGCCGCTGAGGGCGCCGCTGGGCCTGGCGCAACCTGTGCACTACCCCCACGTAGCACCAGCCCATCACCAGCATGGGCAGCAGGAATCCCGCCACATGGTAGAGGAATCGGGAGGTGAACCAGGCATGCGTTTCTGCTTGGTTCTCTTGGGAGAAGGTGCAACGTGGCAGGGAGTTGTTGTGATGGCCTTGGCTGACTTTGGCGAAGAGAATCTCTGGCAAGGCAAGGAGGAAGCCCACCAGCCAGATGGTCCCACAGGTGATGTGGATGGAGAGGAGGCGGCGGTGGCGGTAGGCATGGACGGCGTGGACAATGGCCAGGTAGCGGTCCACGGCGATGCAGGCCAGGAGCAGGCTGCTGCAGTAGAAGTTGACTTTGTGCAGGGCAATCACAGTTTTGCAGAGGAAGGTCCCCAGGACCCAGCCCACAGAGCCCTCGGCCACGGCAAAGGGCAAGATGAAGACCAGCAGGAGGTCGGCCACGGCCAGGTGGAACAGGAAGGTCTCCGTGGAACTGCGTGTCTGCCGGTGCCGCTCCAGGATCACCAGCACCAGGACGTTGCCGATCACGCCCAGGAGGAAGATGAGGCTGTAGGCCACGGGCACGAACACGGCCTTGAAGGAGGCCATGAGGGGCCCCTCTGTGGCAGGGCAGAGATGATTTTCCACCAGGGAGGTGTCGTTATAGTTGTCCAATCTGTCCAGTTCCCAGAACTGCAAGGGCAAGGAGACGGGAGGGTGAGGACCTAAGGACCTGTCTTTCCTCTCTGAGAGGAACCCTAGCTCTCTTGGAGGTTTTTTCCTACATAGGGCCCACTGACCAAATGTCAAGTTTCAAATTTCAATTTTGAACAAATCACTTTGTCTTTTCCAACTTCAGTTTTTCGCCTGTCAAAGGGACCGCATTCCTTAGAGTGGTGGTGCTGATGAAGGGAGGCGTGCGGGTGGCTGAGCTTTGTAAGTGCTGGAGGGCTGGACCCCATAAGTCAGCTTGTGTTTTTGGGTCCTCATGTACGGAAGCCTGCAGCCTTGGCGGCTGGAGTCACAGGACTTCAATTTGGGGAATGGACCTGCTTGGTACAAGGACCCATCTGTTCCAGTTCTGAGCAGAACAGTCGGGCACTGCAACTTAGCATTGTGCTGGGGACTAGGGGCGGGCGGGTGCTGACTTGGCCTGTGGGCTCCCTCCTCATGGGTCTTCCTGTTCCTGACTGTCTCTGTTATCACTGAAATGGCAGTAATAGCCTCCCATCTGGTTCAATATGCACAACCCGCTCAAGGTATGTAATATTATTCCTATTTCACAGATGTGTCTTGCTAAAGATCAGGTTTGTGTGAACCGACGTTTATCTACTTCCAAAGCCAGTACCTCCCACTGAACAACCCTGCCTGGGCTTCCTTCTAGGGGCAGCAGATGCAGGCTCCCTGCTACTTCCCATCACTGGCAACCTCCCTGCAGCTAGGAGCACTCAGAAGCAGAAAGCCCAGAGGCAGAGAGAGGCAGGAGAAAGTGAGGGCGACACGGGGAGACTGGCAGGAGAGAAGGAGAGAGCCTGCTCCAAGTGCAGGGGGTGTGCCCGTGATGTCTCCGGAAGTTCCCTCCTCCCCATCCTCCTCTTCCTCTCCCCATCACCCCCCCCCCATCACCCCAGCACTCAGGTTGTTTACCCAGCTAACCACAAAGGAAGACATGTGCCTGTTTTCACACCTTTCACTCACAGCTGTCCCCTGCACCTGTTCCTCCTCACCTCCCAGCTCTGTTCTTCCCACCCTCCCTACCCAAGCCCCTCCCCAGGCAATTCAAAACCAATTATAACCAACCTATGTGGATTCAAAATGGCAATACTATAAATGATGAACCCAGGGAGGCAGAGGATGGGATGGGGTACTCTGTCCACCAGGCTCCGGGTGGCTTAATGGTGCCCCCATTTCAGGAGAGCAAGGCACCCCCACAAGGAGGGGATGGTCACACTGGGTGCCACAGGGCTTTCTTGCCTCTCAGGAGCCACAGTTGTGGGTCACACACTCACTCCTAATGCTGAGCAGACCCATTCTCCAACCTGGGTCTTTCCTTCTGGCTCTGGGGGAATGAGGGTCTGTGAGAAGGAGGTGTGGGAGATACATCAGTGCAAGGGTAGAGCCATCTGCCAACCCTTCCCGCAGCATCCCTCTGCCATTGCCTCAGTCTGGTCTTCCTTCTCTTTACTCTAATGCTCAGGAGACCATCTCTCCATGGGTCCCATCCCCACCAGCTTCTCTACTCCTGTCCACCTCCTGCACAGAGGACAGGGTAAGTTTTCTAAAACACAAATCCCATCGCATCAATGTTCTGTTTAAAGTCCTTTACTGGTTCCCCATCACCTGTAAGCAGTGGTTTTCTTCTGCTTTTTGTCTTTATCTTATTTTTTCAACTTCACTTTTTTTTTTTTTTTTTTTTTGAGGGGGAGTTTTGCTCTTGTTGCCCAGGCTGGAGTGCAGTGGCACGATCTCGGCTCACTGCAACCTCCGCCTCCTGGGTTCAAGCAATTCTCCTGCCTCAGCCTCCCAAGTAGTTGGGATTCCAGGCATCTGCCACCACACCTAGGTAATTTTTTTGTATTTTTAGTAGAGACAAGGTTTCACCATGTTGGCCAGGCTGGTCTCAAACTCCTGACCTCAAGTGATCCCCCCGCCTCGGCCTCCCAAAGTGGTGGGATTACAGGCATGAGCTACCATACCTGGCCTCAATTTCACATTTAATAGCAAAGTCAGCTATAAGAAAAAGTCATATTTGTGATCATGTTCATCAATAGAAGATTGATTGGAGTCTGGGCATGGTGGCTCAGGCCTGTAATCCCAGCACTTTGGGAAGACAAGGCGGGAGGATCACTTGAGCCAGGGAATTTGGGACTGCAGTGAACTATGATTATGCTGCTACGCTCCAGCCTGGGTAACAGACCAAGACCCAATCTCAAAAAAAAAGAAAATGATTGGAGTAAGCCAAACTTAGTGCCATTCACACATCGCTAAATTTCAGAACTCCTGGGCACAGTGGCTCCCAGCACTTTGGGAGGCTTAGGTGGGAGGATTGCTTGAAGCCAGGAGTTCAAGACCAGCCTGCATGACATAGCGAGACCCCATCTCTACAAAACATTTTTTTAAAAAATAAAGTTTAGAACTCATTGCAGAACATCCCATGCAGTAGGATTCCATGGAATTTCTCCCCCAAACACACGCCTTTGTTTTTGTTTTTTGATAGATAGTGTCTTGCTATGTTGCCCAGGCTGGAGTGCAGTGGCTATTAATACGTGTGACCATAGCACACTACAGCCTTGACCTCCTGGGCCCAAGTGATCCTCCTCCTGCCCCAGCCTTCTGGGTAGCTAGGACTGCAGGTATGTGACAACAGTGCCCAGCTCCAAGGACTTTCTTTAGAGTACCCATGACTGTGTGTGTGTCACAGGGTTCCCCTGGAGTGGGGAGTGGTGTTGGGGCTCCAGGCTCCCCTCCTTGACTTTAAACTAGAGCTCTCCACTTTTGACTTGTGCAGTGCTTCACACATAAGCTTTCATTGAAGAAAATGGTTCTACTTTCATTTGAAAACCATGGACCTGTGGGAAGACGTCTAACCTCCCAACACAGCCTTTATGTTCTTCCCAAATGTATATTCCTCTGACCTTTCAAACTTTGTCTTCTATTAATAAATTATTGCTCTAGACCACCCCCCGGCCTTTCCCCAACACCCCAACACATTCCTGTCTCCAAACCTCTGCTTGGCCTTTTCCTTCTGTCTAGCAGGTCTTTCTTTCCAAATTTGCCTAATTTCCACCCTTCCTCCAAAGCCGAATTCAATCCCATCTTCAGACATCCTTCCCGGCTCCCCTCTTGGAATTCTCTCTTCTCCTTATGATGCGTGTGCATTTATTACAGCACCCAGGGTTGGGATGACACTTTCTAACCAGATGGCAAGGTCTCAGAAGCAGGCCTTCTGTGTCCCCCTCCCAAGGCCACGTGTTTTACGTAGGACAGACGTGTGCTGACCTGCTCTGAAAGCAGTTTCCCAGAGAAGGCCAGGAGCCCTTATAACCTGAGACTTAGACAAGTGCCTCTGCAGGGACTCACTCCGTAATCTTCTGCATTCTGCCTTCTCCCAATAACCTTGATGGCCTTGATCCTAGATCCTATCTTGAGTGCTCTCCCTCTATTGGGAGCTATTTCCAATACCGTCACTGAGCACACCCACTTGACTAATACTGGAATTCAGCAGTCTTCACGCAGAGCCAAGCCGTTCAGACAGGGAGGAGAGAAGCAGGGCCTGGGGCGGTCAGCAGGGCTGGACTCCACCTACCTTGGCCGTGCCTGGGTGAGGGCTTAGGTCCAGCCAGCCTGTCTGACCCAGAAAGCCCTGGGTTTCTGGGCTTGTCCTCCACACAAGTTCTTGCCCTTCAAAGATTCCAGACTGACTGAGTTATTGCTCATCTAAAGTCAATGCAGTGGGACATCTCCCTAGGGCTCCCATCTCCTGAGAACCAGATTTAGAGGGGGCTTGGGAGGGGCCTGTGTCTTCCTCCTTGCCAAGAGGTATTTGTCTGGCAGCGTTCAGAGAGGGTAAGATGGGAGGAAGCTGGTTTGAGGGGTGCTGGGAATTGACAGCACATCTCAGCAGGAGGTGTCAAACAGACGTTTTGGGGGTTCGGGAGTGGCACATGTTAAAGCCACTTCCCACACATAGGAGTTCTAGCTCCCCCAATCTCCCCCAAACTATGGAGAGAGGCAATAAAGCAAGGTTGGCTCCGGCCTCATGGGAAATTGAGGAATCAGGAATCCTGAATACCATGGGGCATGTGCTGCTGAAGGAAGCCCTCCAATCCCATGCCCAGAGGGAGCACAGGGCAGACCATTTGCGTGAGCGGTGTGCCCATTCTTTGACATGAAAAGCTTCTGAAACCTGAGGCCCTCGTGCACACACACACTCTTGACAGCAACATGCACCTTGCATAGACACAGGTGCCAAGATGGGCCACACCAGCATGTGGCCTAGACAGGCACCCAGCAGACAACAGCCTGGTCATGGGCCAGGGTCACATGCCCCAAAGAAGGCAAGAAACACAATGACCAGAATGAGGCTGAGAGTGGAGCTAGAATCTAGTTAGAAAATTGCTGTGAGCACTGGGGAGGAGCAGGGGCTGTAACAGTGTCCAGTATTGAGGGGCTTAGCGGGAGGTGGGGGGTGTAAGGAGATGCAAAGTGCTTGGCCTGTGGTAGGGCCCAAAATGTTACTCTTCTCCTTCCCTCCACTGTAGGATGCAGGCTCCTCCCTGGATAATTAAGTCTCCAAGCCCCACCTGACTTCTCCAAATAATGAGGCTGCCCCACTGCCCAGCACTGGCCAGCATGGAGCTCAGCTCACATTTGCTAATGGGGATTCTATGTCAGCAGGTGCATTGGGCAGGGGTGCCTAGCATGCCTCAGGGATCTATCCTGGGTCCCCTCCTCTTCAGCACTCTCAGCCCAGCTTTGGGGGCACTCTCAGGCAACACAGAGTTCTTTACAAGCTGGAACCATGGGTCCAACCTAACCAGATGAAATTGCATGGGGAAAAATATACAAGCCAGGACTCAGGTTTAAAACATTACCCGTCCAGGGATAAGTTAGGGAGGACCAGGTAACAACAGTTCGTCAGAAAGACTTGGGAGTTTGTCACCTACAAGCTTAAGATGAGTCACGGGAGTGACGTGGCCAGCCGAAGGGCCACTGTTACCTTCATCTAGGTGAACAGAGGCTTGTAAGTGGGCAGCTGACACCAGCCCAGTTTGGTTGGTCTGGACAAGGATGACCACTTTGTTGAGGGGCTTGGAAAACCCTGCCCATAGAGGAAATTTTCAGGTACTAGGGGTGTAGTGTCTGGGACAGAGAAGACTTGAGTCCCTGAGGGCTGATGTCAAGGCTTGGAAAGAAGCTCCATGGGCAAGAGGGCAGCAATGGACTCTTGCTATGAGCTTCCAGGGGGCAGTCTAGAAGGACTGGGCAGAAGCTGAGGGGGTAGCGTTTCAGTCAAAGGAGGGAGAACTTTCTAACAGACAGAACTGTCCAGCAATGAGATGGTACCTTTAGGAAGGAGAGGAACGTTTGAGCCCAAGTGTGTGGGAAGAGATTCCTGCCCTGGGAAGAAGGAGGCTGGACTCTGCCTTCAAATGCCCCTCGCTCCCACTCCCAGATTCTCTGTCTGTCCTGCCCTGCCTGGGGCTGAGCTGGTTCTCAGCATGATCTCCGTCTAGCTCAGTAGCCGGAGACTTGGTATTTCTAGTCCATTCTGCCGCCAGTGAATGCCCCAGCCTGACCTTGCTTCTCAGCCCCAAGGAGGGGGCAGGGCTGCCTGCATGCGTGGCTTACTCAGGCCGAACCCCAGGACTCCAAGGCCTGAGTCATGCTGGCCGCGGGAGGTGTCTGCACACAGACGCCAGTCATTGCTCTGGCCAGGGGGGAGCACACAAGCTCCATATCCTTTTATGTCCCTGTGTGGATATTCCCAGCCGAGAGTCAGGAGCTGTGAGTGGGGCTGGCCAGGGTATCTGTCATTCCAGCCTTCAGTGGCTTAAGGGGTGCAGGGGTCTGGAGAAATGAGACTGGGCTGTGGGTGAGGGTGTAGGTCTGTACCCCTTACCCCGTCTTTCTTCAGGAGGCCCACAGCCCCTAAAGACCATCTGAGACTCTGGCTTGCCATTTGTCACATCTCCCTTGCCGCACCCACAGCCTTCAGGGACAAGTCTGTGAGACTCCTCTTTCATCTCTACCCACGGGTTTTGGCCATCAGAAGCAGGTACTGTGCTGGATGTGGTGTTAGGGGGAGAGTTTAAGCTACTCCAAGCCTCTGCAGCAAGTCTTTAGGCTTAAGGGAGCCCCACCTGGCACCCCAGCGTCTCTTTGCCCTTTGGATACAGAGTCACACAGTCCAAGATGCAGGCAGACAGGCCTCCCAGGTGTGTGTGGCAGCCTCTTGAAACCATCTCCTGGGTTGGAAATATTTTTCCCCACCACTCTTGAAAGAATGCTCATTCTTGTGTCCTGATTCTTAGGTCCACATATGCGGCCACTGTTTCTGCCGTTCTGCTAGAGGAGTGGGATCAGCTGCAGCCTGCGTCCCTGGGGAAAGCAAGAGTTCCTGACGGAGACTCTGCAGTTTGTATGCCCGAACCCATATTCACTTTGACCCTGACCCATCCTCAGCTTGGCCTTGGGGCTCTCCCTCATCTCTGACCCTTCCAACTACACCCCAGTTGGGCCTCCTCTGCTGGGGTTCCTCTGGGACTTTTGACCTGGTTGCGGGGGGCGGGTGGAGAACCTCCCTTTCCCCTAGATGAAGCCCAGAAACAGCCTGAGCTGGTTTTGGTTCCTCTTCTTCACACCTACATGATGAAATGAGATGGTCCACGTGGACGGGCTGTGTCGCCTGTGATGCTCTGGTCACACTGAAGTCATGATGTGTGGTAATTGTCTATGGAGAGGGGTCATAGAAAGCCAGGCTCTGGGGCTTGGACCAGCTTCACCGTGCGCTATAGCAGCTTCCCCTCCCGGCTGGTGTGCAGGGTGGGGCTGGAGGTATAGTTTATGACCAGCCTCTGTGGATGCCCCAGCCCAGGCCCTGGTTCTGTTGGAAGGAGGCTCTCAGATCGAGGGTCGCATAGACAGGGTCTGCTCTAGGTCTGCCAGGATCGGCCTTTCCAGCAGGATGGGTCCCTGGCATACCCACCCCAGGACCTGGAATCTTCTTGTTCCTGGTTCTTAGCCATCTAATTTTTGTTCTATTTGGACCTTTCATTGATGAGAATTAGCAGCCCGTCCCCACCCCCCAGCCCCTGCCTTAAAGAAGTGGACATTTTAAGCGGCTCGAGTTGGTCTTCGAGTTCAAGAGGACAAATGGAATACAGAATGACGAACCTGGCTTATGGCCAGGAGCCCCCAGTTCCTTTTTTTTTTTTTTTTCTGGCAAGTTTGTGTAACCAAAAGGCCCCAGTTCTTAGCTCAACATGAGAGTGTAAAACCCAGCGTTCAAGGAATGTGAACCAATACCTGGTATGGGCAAGGACAAGGAGGAGAATAGGAAGCAGAAGGAATAGAAGGACCCAGACTAACTCCAGAGGAAAATGGTGAGCTAAGACCTTTACTGCATCACAAATCAATAAATACTTATTGAGAAGCTGCTACATGCAAGAT
Source organism: Homo sapiens (assembly GCF_000001405.40). Taxonomy (NCBI): domain Eukaryota; kingdom Metazoa; phylum Chordata; class Mammalia; order Primates; family Hominidae; genus Homo; species Homo sapiens. The sequence continues at coordinate 118,886,116 of NC_000011.10, read as the reverse complement.
TCTCCTGCCTGTACCACTACGCCCGAGGTTTTTGTACTGTGACACTGAGGGACAGTCTGCCAAGCTGCTCACGGCCCTTCAGTGAGTGGGTGGGGGCGGAGGAGAGGGTCTGTGTTCTGAGGGGACATTGGCCCTGGAGACAGGGTGTGTAGGAGATTCGTGAAGGGGGAACGAGGCACTGGTGGCTGGCTGAAGAGCTCCAGAGCCCAGATGGTCCTAGGACTCCTGGGCTCCTGGCTAGACCCTGAGTGAGGGATCCAGATATTGGAATGCCTGGCTGAGGATCACTCATTTGAGGTGTGACATGAAGAAAGTCACTGGGTCCCTTTCCCCCAGATGTAGGTTTTCTTGGGACATGCCCTGCTGCCCCTGCCCCCTGCCCCCACCTGTCCCTAGTAGGTCACTCAGTGAGGTGAGGCGTGCAGTTAGGGGAAACTCTTAAGGTTTCTCAGAAGCTGGGACCCGCCGGGTCTCCAGTTGGTTACTAAGATGTCCAACTGGGTCAGGGCTCGTGGTCAGTTTGAAGCTGCAGGCAGAGGAAGACGCCCAGTAACCTAATCAGGCGAGGCCAGCGGCTGTGACCGGGGGCCAGGGTGGGAGCACATTGCCCCTTTGGGGCCGCGGGTTTTTAGTCTGATTTGGGGTATTGCCCAGACTCTGTGATTAGACTCAGGGCAGCTTCATGGGCTTGCAACTGGGGCAGTCACACGGGGGCCTGCACCCAGCAGGACCCCCCACGAGGTTTAGTGCTCTGCTGTTGCCTTCTTATTTATAATAATTTTTCAACAAGGGGCCCCATGTTTTCATTTTGCATTGGGTCCCACAAATTATGTAGCAGGTCCTGGTTAGATGAATGGTCCGGCTCTGATTCCACCTACGGTTTGGATCCGAGGGGCCAGGCTTTGGGTAGTCAGCCCTTCTGCCCACTTTCTCCCCGTGTCCTACTTACACTTCCCAGCCTTGGGATCTGGGCAAGCGAGAGGCGGGCTTCTCTGAGCAAGTCTGGGAACATGGTTGGTGGAACTACAAAGTCCACTCCACAAAGTCCACTCCAGCCGGGGGAGCAGGAGGGAGTCAGACAATATCTTAGGGTAAGTTTGGGACAGGAGAGTTGGTAGGAGCCAGGGTTTGGCTCCTTCATGATCTAACCCAGAGTGCAGCCCCGAAACAAGTCCTCTCTCCAGGGGGAGAAAAGACAGTGAAGAAGTTTCCAAGAAACCCTTACAACCAGCCTCTGCCGTCGGCTCACAAGGAACCCTGTGTTTCTCTGGTTGAGCTGCTCCACACACACACACATCTTCTGGGAGCCCAGTGACAACCAAGTCAACTGCACCACTACGCTTCACTGGAGAGACTTGAGTGGTGGCAGCGTAGTGCTGGAGACCATTTTCTTAGCCCACCCAAGAAACCTTTCCAAGAATACCTTATCTCTAGAGATTCTACAACAGGTTCCAAGACATTTGTCAGATTAACAGTTTTCTCACCCTGCTCCCTGACTCCAGCCTGCTGGGATCCTCTTCCTTGCTACCATCTGGTCTCACATTCCCTCAGTTTAGCACATAATTGTTGCCTAATAGCTTCCAGTGAGTGATTTTTTTCTCTGGCCAGAGCAGAAGCTATTTGAGGGCAAAGACCAGGTCCTCAACTTCTCCACCCAACACAGAATGTAGTGCCCTGATGACATAATCATATGGCCAGAGACGAACAGCTATGCATTCATTGACTGATTAGCAATGCCAGCCTCCTTACGGTAAGAAAACCTCCAAAGTACTTTCCTGTCTAGTTCCATATTCCGACCCTAAGAGAAAAGGAGAGAAAGAATGGAGAGGTGAAGTATCCTGTTCCCAGTCACATAGCAACTCAGAGGAGGATGCAGGGCCTGAACCCGTGTCTTCCAGCTTCCTCTAAAGGATGTCTCCTAAGGACAGCAGCTCTCCTTATCTGCTTCTTCCACAGAATGGAAAATAAACTCTTAAAGGGCGGGAGCTGACTGACCTGTCTAGATTTTACAGATCCACAGTGGGAGAGGATTCCCACACTGTCCCCTCTCCCTCGGACTCTGGCAAAGGATGTTAGAATTCCAGACAGGGCCTCGGCGACAGGAAGCTACCCGTGTCTACTCACCAGGTCCTCCAGGTTCTCGAGGTCCATTTCCAGCGTTAGCGGGTAGTTCATGGCTGTGCCGGCTGTGAGTCACCAGACTGGTCACTGTCTTATGTTGAGAGGCTCCCCGCCAGGTGCCTCTAGAGAGGTGGCAGCCGTCAGCTGCAAATTTAAGCAAATGAGCTGCGCATCGTCTCCTGAGGCAGTAGGGCCGCGACCTGCCTCACAACTCATCACTTTTTTTTTTTTTTCCACTGGGTCTTTTCTGTTTTTTTGAAGAAAGAGGGAAAATCCCCCACAGCATCAGTGCTAGTCAAGCATTTCAGCTTCTTTCCCGGCAATAATTGTCTCAACTGGGGCCTATGACTAGTTTAAAGGCTGCCCTCACTTCTCCTCCCTATACCCCCAATAAGGGGCTCACAACTTGTAATGAAACCACCACGCAAAGTCAGCAGGTTGATGAGGGAAACTCCTGATCAACAGAGAACAGGAGAAGAGCTCTCCCAGCAACCTCTCCTCCAAGCCACCTCCAAACCTTCATTTTCCTCACCACTAGGGTGATCAACCATTCCAGTCTGCCAAGGACTGAAAAGTCCCTTGACTTGGGAAACCCCTAAGTCCTGGCAAGTTAGGGCACTTGGTCACACTACTTGCCACCATCCTTTTGCCCAACAGAGGCAAAACCCCTTCCCTTCTCAGCTCAAGTTCAGAAAAGATAGGTTAGAATTTTTCAAAGGGAACAACAGTAAAACAATACTGGAAGACAAAAATGAAATCAACTTTGGAAGGCCGAGGCAGGAGGATGGCTTGAGGCCAGGAGTTGGATACCAGCCTGGGCAACATAGCAAGACCATGTCTCTAAAAGAAAAAAAAAAAGTGAAATCACCAAGAAAAGCACATAGTTACAGAGTCATTTTCTGACTCAAAAATAATGATGTTCTATCTATAAATTAACTTTGTTTGCTCATAAATTATTAACCTCATAAACTACCAAGCTAGAGATGGCTTCAGAGATCATCCAGTCTAACCCTCAATTTTTATTCAGGAGGTCCGTGAGGCCGAGAGGGAGAGCAACTTACCCGAGATCCCACAGCTAACCAGTGGCAGAGCTGGGACTTGAACTCAGGTCTTTTGACTCCACCTTTAGTGTTTTCTCTACTCCAGGCTGCCACTCTTGCAGGCACTCATAACCTCTGTCCTTTCCCTCAACTCTGTCCTGTCTGAGGGCCGCTTCCTTTAAGAAGCCGTTTTGTAGATGTTGATCAATTTCCCTTCCAAGTCTCATTTTGTGGCTTTTTCTTCCAGAAGTGGGCATTTCCTCTCTTGATCCACAATGATGTGAGAAAGATGACTGCACGCACAGAGGCACCCACACATGGTGGCTGCTTCTTGGCCCCACCCCCACCCTTGTTATCACGCTCCCTTTCAGCCAAATCGCCCTTTGCTGGGATCCTACTACCCTTTCCAGTGCCCTCCTTCACCCTCTCCTCCATATTCACCTTCCCTCTTTCCCCTCTTCACACCTTGCTTACTGAAGATGCTTACCCCACTGCATCCCCAACAGATGCATCATTCTTTTTTTTTTTTTTTTTTTTTTTTTTTGAGACAGAGTTTTGCACTTCTTGCCCAGGCTGGAGTGCAATGGCATGATCTTGGCTCACCACAACCTCCACCTCCCAGGTTCAAGCGATTCTCCTGCCTCAGCCTCCCGAGCATCTGGGATTACAGGCATGCACCACCACGCCCGGCTAATTTTGTATTTTTATTTATTTATTTTGAGACAGAATTTTGCTCTCGTTGCCCAGGCTGGAGTGCAATGGCGAGATCTCAGCTCACCACAAACTCCACCTCCCGGATTCAAGCAATTCTCCTGCTTCAGCCTCCCGAGTAGCTGGGATTACAGGCATGCGCTACCACGCCCGGCTAATTTTGTATTTTTAGTAGAAATGGGGTTTCTCCATGTTGGTCAGTCTGGTCTTGAATTCCTGACCTAAGGTGATCCGCCTGCCTCAGCCTCCCAAAGTGCTAGGATTACAGATGTGAACCACCGTGCCCGGCCAACAGATGCATCATTCTTAGGATTAAACAGCCTGAGGAGTTTCCAGCCTCTGTTGGTGGTATTGGGGTCGTTTCCTCGCTCTTCTCCATTCACTGCCTTTAGAAGCTGCTTTCAAAGAAGACGGCTTTCAGGACAAGGCATCACACTTCTTCTCCAGCACGTACAGTCCTGAAACCTCCAGGAGGAAGCTGCCCCAAGGTTTCCTGTGTCCCAAGCTTGCTGGGAACTCCTCATCCTTCCATTCACCCTATTCTCAATATCCCTGCCCCTCCAATCCCTTAGCATACTTGACTTAGCCTTGGCCACCCTGGCTAGGGACATTGATCAGGAAGGAGTACAGCGTATAGAATCATAGAGGAATTGAAAGGAACTTTGGAATATAAACCAGACTATCCTCAACCACACCCCCACCCCCAGCAAATGCAAGATTCTCGTCACTGCATCCTTATCAGATGATCACCCAGAATCAATGAATACGAACATCAATGAAGGTGAGACATTTGCTCCTTTCAATAGATCATGTTTCAGTGGAGGATGGTTTCATGATTAGAAACTTATTCCTTATGATGAGTCAAAATATGTCTTCCTGTAACTCCTCTCCAGAGGTCCTGGCTGTGCCTTCTGTCTGGACTGTCTGACTCCTCTTCCAATAAGCATCCTCTGAAGACAGCCAGCACATCCTGAGAGTCTTGTTGTCTCCCAAACACACTTCCACAGTGTCTTCAGTCGTTATTTGCAGACTTGGTTTCTGGGTCCTTTGACGCCCTGTTTTTTGACCTCTGGGTGATTTCTGGTTAATGGTCTAGATATTATCTGACTAGGAAAAAATATAGGACGATATGCATTTCCTTGTTCAAGACTCTATACTTGGCAGGGCGTGGTTGCTCATGCCTGTAATCCCAGCACTTTGGGAGGTCAAGATGGGAGAATCCTTTGAGCCCAGGAATTTGAGACTAGCCTGGGCAACATGGTGAAACCTCGTCTCTACAAAAAATTCAAAAATTAGCTGGGCATGGTGGCACACACCTGTAGTCCCAGCTACTCAGGAGGCTGAGATAGGCGGATCGCTTGAGCCCAGGAGGTTGAGGCTGCAATGAGCCATGATCACACCACTGCCCTCTAGCCTTGGTGACACTCAAAAAAAAAAAAAAAAAAGATTCCATACTTCTATAACTATGTAACTACAATACAATTGGACTTTCCTGCAGGGTCCTACTCCTCTTAATAACATGCCTAAAGGATTTCATTTTGAAGGTTCTGGGCCATTGTTGCAACCTATAAAGGGAAATTTTTCTGATCCCAATTCTGTCATCTGGTGATGTGATAACAACATAGATTAGTCATCCTTGGGTCTATCCAAGTCCTGATGGCAAATATTGACAGGATGAAGCCAAAACCAGAACCCTGCTTCATGCCATTAGAGACTTACTATACCCAAAGGTCAGGAAAGACTTCATGGAAGTCTTGGCCACTGGAGGCTTGGAGAGAGTGAAGGCTTGGTGTGCCTGGAGAGGGGGACAGGGTGGACAGTGTGGGACATGATGAGAACTGCTTGGAAAAAATGTGTAGAAAGAATTATCTGGCCGGGCGCAGTGGCTCACGCCTGTAATCCCAGCACTTTGGGAGGCTGAGGTGGGTGGATCACGAGGTCAGGAGTTCAAGACCATCCTGGCTAACATGGTGAAACCCCGTCTCTACTAAATATACAAAAAATTAGCCAGGCGTGGTGGTGGGTGCCTGTAGTCCCAGCTACTTGGGAGGTTGAGGCAGGAGAATGGCGTGAACCCGGGAGGCGGAGCTTGCAGTGAGCAGAGATTGCGCCACCACACTCCAGTGCGGGCGACAGAACTACCCGGGCATGGCCGGGTGCAGTGGCTCACACCTGTAATCCCGGCACTTTGGGAGGCTGAGGTGGGCAGATCACGAGGTCAAGGGATTGAGACCATCCTGGCCAACATGGTGAAACGCCGTCTCTACTAAAAATACAAAAATTAGCTGGGTGTGGTGGTGGGCACCTGTAGTCCCAGCTACTCAGGAGGCTGAGGCAGAAGAATCACTTGAACCTGGGAGGCGGAGGTTGTAGTGAGCCGAGATGGCACCACTGCACTCCAGCCTGGTGACAGAGTAAGACTCCGTCTCAAAAAAAAAAAAAAAAAAAGAATTACCTTGTGCCTGGCACATCATGGGCCTTCTGTGTATGGTGGTGTGGCTATGGCAATAATGATGATGAGATAGGGCAGGGGGAGGAGCAAGGAAGTGGTTGGAGCATGTACTGGACAAGGTAGGAGCTGCTCTTATGGCCTTCTCCTCTCCTACTCTTTCCACAGTTCTCTATATTTTCCACATGTGCTGTAGGCCTAGAAAAAGAGTTTTGGGGGAGGCTTAAGACTGCTTCCCAGGTGCTATAGCAGCAGGCTCTGGCCAGTAGTTTCAGCTATGATGGTTTGGGCAGCAGAGAGGTAGCCTACCAGCTTCTCTATGGCTGACTCAGGCGTCACACATTAGACACATCTGTGACTGTCACCTGAAGTCTTTGACTTTTTGGGCCTATTCAGAGATCCCATTCTTCTCTCCAGATGGTGAACACACTACAGCTTCCCAGGGTCTACTTGTGTTAGCCTCTGACCTTTGATAGTCAACTCAGTTTGCCCCCAGTGGTAAATACCTTCTGACCTTGAGGCTTTTTCTTTTTCTTTTTTTTTTTTTTTGAGACAGGATCTCATTTCATCACCCAGGCTGGAGGGCAGTGGTACGATCATGGCTCACTGCAGCCTTGACCTCCTGAGCTCAAGCCATCTTCCTGCCTCAGCCTCCCGAGTTGCTGGGACTACAGGCACATGCCACCTCACCTGGCTAATTTTATGTTTTTTGTCAAGACAGAGTTTCACCATGTTGCCCAGGCTGGCCTTGAACTCCTAGGCTCAACCGATCCGCCTGCCTCAGACTCCCAAAGTGCTGGGATTACAGGCATGAGCCACCATGCCCAGCAACCGTGAGTTCTAATATTGTTTTGAGAAGGCTCAGAGAGTTACTGCCTCTACTAGAAACCATGATCTTACAATCTTCACACACATAAAGTCAGACTAGCTCCCTAGGATAGAGAGGGCAACGCTTAAGCTGCGATCCTTTGCCTTTGAAGAGGAGATGTCAGAGGTTCCATCTGTGTGTGACAATCGGATGGCAGAGGACCCTTCCAGGTCAGGCAGCTCAGGTTTTATTTCAGTGTGCAACTTGTTTATATTTCACCTATGCAGGATCCCAATCCCCACCCCATAGGCAGTCTAATTGAGGCTAAATTGTTTTCTAGCCTTCTCGTCAAAATGACCACTGGAGGCTGAACATGGTAGCTCGCCTCTGTAATCCCAGCATTTTGGGAGGTCAAGGGGGGAGGATCACTTGAGCCCAGGAGTTCGAGACCAGCCTGGGCAACATAGGATACCCCATCTCTACAAAAAATAAAAATATTAGCTGGTGGTGCACACTAGTGCTTCCAGCTACTCAGGAGGTTGAGGTGAGAGGATTGCTTGGGCCCAGGAGGTCGAGGTTGTAGTGAGCTGAGATTGCACCACTGCACTCCAGGCTGGATGACAAAGCAAGATCCTATCTCAGAAAAAAAAAAAAAAAAAAAAAGACAGAAAGACTACTGATACTTCCGCCAAGACTGGGTTTGTGTCTGGTTTAGGCAAGGGTGGCCGCTTACATCAGCTCAGGTGTATTTTTCTCAGTAATTATACTTTACAGTCCATGGATTACATTAAATTTCTATTTGTTCCAGAGATTAGATACAATCACTTGTCTTGGAGTTCATTTTCTATATTCCACAGAAAAAGTAAGCTGTTCCACACAGTTTTGGGGTGCTGCTACAGGGAACGGGCTGGGGTTTCCCCTTCTATTAACCTAGGACTCTCTCCCTCTCTGACATGGCCAGAGACTTTGTTCTCTTCTTTCTCTGGGTCTTTCCCAACAGCTGAGAACAGAGCTCCCAGGTCCCTACCTCATCAGCCTCAGGAAGAGTAGGGTATACCTCTCAGCACTGAAGGAAACTCGCCATAGACTTGCATAGCAGTCACCGGTCTACACAGTCCCATGAAAGTTTAAATTTAATGTTACTTAATCTTTATATTTCACTTAATCTTCACATTTAATTATATGTAGTCCTTGAAGCGGCTTGTGCCGGAGGGATTGGCATCACTCCTGGCCGTATTTTGTGAGGACAAGGAAACAGAGTCTCATTTTCTTGCTCGTGATTGCAGGGAGGGTTCGTTGCAGAGTCAGAGCCTGAAGTCAGCCCTGTAGGCACCAAATCCAGGGCTCCCTCCACAAGACCACACGGCCCGTCTCTCAGAGGCGCCATTTTGCAAAGGACAGGCACTTACCTGGCTGGCTAAGGGGAAAACTATGGCTAAATCCTGCACAGGCTCCTCATCAGGTACTTTCTATGTGCCATGAACTATGATAGGTTTTTCACACATCATTTCTTTTCATTCCCTGAACAGTCTTTGAGTGTTGGGTTTTTTGTTTTGTTTTGTTTTTGAGACGGAGTCTCGCTCTGTCGCCAGGCTGGAATGTGGTGGCACCATCTCGGCTCACTGCAACCTCCGACTCCCTGGTTCAAGCAATTCTCCTGCCTCAGCCTCCCGAGTAGCTGGGATTATAGGCACGTGCCGCCACGCCCAGCTAATTTTTTGTATTTTTAGTAGAGACGGGGTTTCACCATGTTGGCCAGGATGGTCTCGATCTCCTGACCTCAGGTGATCCACCTGCCTTGGTCTCCCAAAGTGCTGGGATCACAGGCATGAGCCACCGCGTCCGGCAAAGTGTTGGGTATTTTTATTACCACACTGCAGATGTGGAAACCAAGCTTCAGACAGTAATGGGAAGTAGCATGAATGTTCACAGCTCACTCAGACAGCAGGGACCCAACACCCCATTACAAGTCAACACAGGAAGTGGGGTGGTAAAGGCTGTCATTGCCGGCAGCCTGCACCCACGCACAGCTCCCCTCTCGTTAGGAAACAGGTAGAGTCCTGCAGGGAGGAAATGGGCTGCAGGTGCTGGGTAGGCACATCAAGGTTACCACAAGGTCATGGGGGCCACAAATGAGCTTGGGAACGTCGGCCTGGGGCAGGTTGTGTGGCCAGGGTTAGAGTGAGTCTGGTGCTTGGATCAGGTGTTTGTATACTGAGTACTGCGGCAGCCAGAGGCGAGATTCTGATGGAGGAGCACCTTGTCTAACAGAGAAGGCAAAACAGACACATCATGCAAGTTGGCATGCTCATATTCACATGCAACTGGGCACATTTTCAAAGAATATGCAAAACTCTACCGTGTTGCTAAGGTAGTGTGGGTGGAGTCAGCAGTGTGGAAGGCACAGGGAATGGGGGAAACGTGCAGCATTCCTTCGCACCTAAGTGCTGTGGGCGCATGCGCTGGGTAGGCTGTAAGGCTGAGTGGGTGACAGAAGAAACGCTGCACTGGAGGCCCAGCATGTCTGCTTCCCAGCAAGGCCGCTCTGAGACCAGACCCTGCCTGCTTGCGCAAAGACACGCCAAACACAGAATGCCAAACAGGCATCCCCAGGGGAGTGCTCCTCACACTTTATGCCTCAGAGTCACCAGGAGGGCTTGTTACCTCCAGGTTGCCAGGCCCCACCACGAGAGTGTCTGATTCGGGAGGTCTGGGGTGGGACCTGATAATGTGCATTTCTAAGAGTGTCCAGGTGACGCTATGCTGCTGGCCTGAGAACTACACTCCTAGAACCACCGCTCTAGGCCACGTAGGACTGGTACACAGCCATATACCAATTGGTAAACTCGTCCCCACACAGCTTGTTTTCCAACCTGGAGCTCCCAACCACCCAGCAGGGCCTTCAGTCCCTCCACACAAAGGGTGCCATAGTTGACGTCTCTCCAGAGCAACACAGCACCTCATACAACCAACACACAATCAACAACAATGACACAGCACCTCATACAACCAGCACACAACCCACAGCAACAACACAGCACCTCATACAACCAGCACACAACCCAAAACAACGACACAGCACCTCATACAACCAGCACACAACCCACAACAGGAAGAACACAGCACCTCATACAACCAGCACACAACCCACAGCAACGACACAGCACCTCATACAACCGGCACACAACCTACAACAACAACACAGCACCTCATACAACCAGCACACAACACACAACAGGAAGAACACAGCACCTCATACAACCGGCACACAACCCACAACAACACAGCACTTCATACAACCAGCACACAACACACAACAGGAAGAACACAGCACCTCATACAACCAGCACACAACCCACAACAACACAGCACTTCATACAACCAGCACACAACAGTTGGTTTTCCCAGAACACCGGCCTCCCTGGGCCCCACCCTGGCACCGTTGAGATTTCTGTGGTGCCTCCCGGGCTCTGACAGGTTGCACCTCTATCTCTCTGGTCGGTCTCAGCTCTACTCTAATAAGTAATGCATGAGCTCTACTAGTTAGCTTTCAGCATGTCATGTAATCCTGTCACTTTGATCATGACCCATAGGAAGAAATATATTTTATATCACAAGCTAGTTGGACATGTGTGATGAACATATACACACAAATACACAGTAAGTTTTGTAAACACTGCTTAGTATGGGTAGCATACTCATATTTTCTACTCTTCCTCCTTCCCTCCTTTCCTCCTTCCTTTCGTTCCCTCTTTCTTTCTCTCACTCTTTCTTTCTTCCCTTTTTTGTAGAGATGGGGTCTCTCTATGTCACCCAGGCTGCAGTGCAGTGGCACAATCATGGCTCACTGCAGCCTCCACCTCCCAGGCTTAAGTGATCCTCCCACCTTAGCCTCCTGAGTAGCTGGGACTACAGGTGTGCATCACCACACCAAACTAACTTTTAAATTTACTGTAGAGATGGGGTCTTGTTATGTTGCTTAGGCTGGTCTGGAACTCCTGGGCTTAAGCCATCCTCCCACCTTGGCCTCACAAAGTGTTGAGATTATAGACGTGAGCCACCATGCCCGACCCTCTTTCTATTTTTAATAGCGGTCAATGAATCACACTGCTTTCATGGGTCCACACATAAGTCACAATCCCCAGTTTGAAAATTACAAATATAACTTCTCTGAGCATTAGTTTCCTAATATGTACAATTGTAAAATACCTGCATGGCCAATTTTGCTATTAAATAATATCTTGTATGTAAAAGCCTTTTTCTTTCCAAATAGAAATCCTCCATAGGTCCAAAGTGCTATCTCTCTCTCTCATACACACACACACACACACACACACACACACACACTCATGCTTTTTTTTTTTTTTTAGAGACAAGGTCTTGCTCTGTCACACAGGCTGGAGTGCAGTGGCATAATTGTCGCTCACTGTAGTCTCAAACTCCTGAACTCAAGTGATCCTTCCACCTCAGCCTCCTGAGCAGCTGGGACTATAAGTGTGTACCATGCCAGGCTAATTTTTAATTTTTTTTTGTAGAGATAAGGTCTTGCTATGTTGCCCAGGCTGGTCTCGAACTCCTGGCCTTAAACTTCCTTCCTCAGCCTCCTAAAGCACGGGGATGTCAGGCATGCACCTCTGCGTCAGGCCCACTCATGCTTTTTAAAGGGAGGTCAAAAAGGAAGGAACTTCAGGCAGGACTTTGAGGGAAGGAGGTCCGCAGGCGGTAAATGCACATCTTGGGGAAGGGATGGTGAGCAGTTTGTCTGGACTGGAGCAGAGGAAGATGTGGGAGAAGGCAATGAGGGTGGATACTGAGAGGCCCAGAGAGCCTGTCTGGGCATTTGGATGGCAGAGGGGGCAACTGAGACACATGGCAGGGACTTCAGCAACAGAACTTCACGATGAAGCTGGTGGTGTTTAAGGTGTTTTCATTCCTTTCTTTTCTTTTCTTTTTTCTTTCTTTCTTTCTTCTTTCTTTCCTTTTCTTTCTTTCTTTTCCTTTCTCTTTCTTTCTTTTCTTTCTTTCTCTTTCTTTCTTTCTCTTCCTTTCTTTCTTTCTCTTTTTTTTTTTTGATGGAGTCTCGCTCTCCTCACCCAGGTTAGAGTGCAGTGGCAAGATCTTGGCTCACTGTAACCTCTGCCTCCTGGGTTCAAGCGATTCCCCTGCCTCAGTCTCCCGAGTAGCTGGGACTACAGGTGGGCTAACATGCCTGGCTAATTTTTGTATTTTTTTTTAGTGGAGATGGGGTTTCACCATGTTGGCCAGGCTAGTCTCGAACTCCTGACCTCAGGTGATCCATCGTCCTCGGCCTCCCAAAGTGCTGGGATAACAGGTGTGAGACACCACACCCGGCTAAGGTGTATTCATCTCAACTTCCAAAAAACAGGTATGAATGGCTTACCAAATGCCAGGCTTCAGCAGTGGACAAGACAGACTGGCCTAACAAAAGTCTCTTGCGAGGATGGTCGTGGGTCCTCAAATAACTCACCAGTTTATCGTTAGTATTCCTTAAACCCCCACAACATTACAGGCTCTGAACCAGGTGCTGGCAGAGTGATGAGAAACAAAATGAAGCATGGCTTCCACTCTGCGGTAGCTTATACCCTGGTGAGGAGGGAGGCATTAGACCCATAAACTACGTGCTTAGTAATAATAATAACTTATAATATCATTAGAAAATGTGAAAGTGCTATGAAGAAAAAGAACAGGGTGCTAAGAGAGCAAATAACAACGTGAACTCAATCTCTGTAAACTAATAACCATGACTGTAATGCTCCCAGATTAATTTACAGTTTATGAAGCCCTCTCCCATTCTTGGTCTCATAAGGGCCTCATCCCAGCCTGTGGAGACAGGCAAGCAGGCGTTCTTGGCCTATGTTATTTCTGAGAAAACTAAGTAAGAGTCTATAGGTCTCATGCATCATATAAGTCTACCCAGTTAGTGAGGAACCCCAGCTAGTTCTGACTCAGGGCCCAGAGCTCTGTCCTCCAGGGAGAAAGAGATGAGCCGGCCCTGAGCAGGGCAGCTAGCCTGCTTGTTCTAGAGGAGAAGCTCAAGACATCAAATGGTGAAAGGTTCATCTTCCCCATGTTCAGTCTGGACGGAGCCTCGCAGTGAGGCTAGTGTGAAGAACTGTGGTCAGCAACGCGGAGCTTAGAGGCTTGGCCTTGGGTGGCCCAGAGTGGGGCAGGCAGGACAGAGTGACCTTGAAAACAAAGGAGCAGGAAACGCCGAAGAAAAAAGATGCTGAAGCGGCATCATCAAAGGCGGCCGTGGAACTAACTCAGCAGTGAAAGTGAGCCAGGCCCAAGGCAGAGGTGATGGGCCAACGAAACTCCTCACCGCATTCACCGTCGCAATTGGAGACATGATTGAGGCCGGCCCACCTGCCGCATCTGCACCTTGATCACGGAGCTCCTCCGAGAGAGGTTTCCAAATGACTCGGCCCTGCTGCCCCAGGAAGGAAGCCTTCGGGGCTGCAAGGTGGGGGCCACTGGGTGGGGGCCAGGCACCTGAGAGTAATTGATGACACAGCAGTAGGGGACAGGGCTGCTGACACAGTGGGACCGGCGCTGGAGGTGGCAGAGATGGAGCAGCCACCTGGCCTTACCTACCCAAGGGGGACAATGGGAAATCCCGCCAACGGCTCTTGTGAACAGAGAAGCAAGTGCCAACCCTGGTGCCACAGTTTATGTCCTCTGTAACCTGGCCCCAATTCCCCGCTTTTGTTTCCCAGATATAAATATTTATAGAATGTCAGCCGGGCGCGGTGGCTCATGCTTGTAATCCCAGCACTTTGGGAGGCCGAGGTGGGCGGATCACGAGGTCAAGAGATCGAGACCAGCCTGGCCAACATGGTGAAACCCCCGTCTCTACTAAAAATACAATAATTAGCCAGGCATGGTGGTGCATGCCTGTAGTCCCAGCTACTCAGGAGGCTGAGGCAGGAGAATTGCTTGAACCCAGGAGGCAGAGATTGCAGTGAGCCGAGATCGCGCCACTGCACTCCAGCCTGGGTGACAGAGCGAGACTCCGTCTCAAAAAAAAAAAAAAAAAATTTTATAGATTGTCTACTGTTTTTTCCCAAATTTATTTCTTGGTTCCCCCATTGGGGGTGCACTGTCCTCCAGCCAGTTGAACCCCAGTAGCGTTCCCTCTTTTTGGTGCCCTCCACCCCCTCTGCTTAAAGATTTCTCCAGTTCCTGGGAATTCGGGCGCGGCCCTTTCCCATAATATTCCTCTGGATTGACCGAAAAGCCTAAATTACTCCTCAAGGGCCCATTCTCAGGTGCCCCTTTTCTCGTACAAAGAGACTCCTGCTAAATTCAAGGTTAAACCGTTGCGCCCCGGCCACCCACAACGCAAAGGTGAGATCGGGCACCCTTAACCTGTATTTTTTGAACCCTGGCAGCCCCAACGCTGATAAGTGATACTCTAATTTCCGCACTAAGCCCATATCACAGCCTTTGGGTGACAAAGCCATTTATGATTCTTCCTTCCTCCCCTTTCCTCAAGAGCTTTGCACCCCACAGGAGTACAATAACTGTGTTTGACAGACTGGCTGAATGAATGAAGAGGGAGTGAGGTTGGAGCCAGTGGAGGGTGGGGTGGGAAATCTGGGGTGGGTCTGAGTTTGGCTCTCCTGGGTGTTTTTCTGTGGCCTGCCTGTGGTGCTCATTCTCATCAGGAGAAGCAGAGGAGCTTTGGATCTCAGCTTGGATATCAGTAGCTGTGTGACAGTGGCCAGTCTCTCTTCTTCGCCCTGTGTAAATGGCACAACCCATCTCAAAGGTTATTGTGAGGATCAATGCGTGATCAATACACGAAAACACTCAGTGCCTATTAGGTGCTCAGTAAAGTTTGTTGATGAATTACACAAGTGACAGTAATTTTTTAGTCTCTTTTTTGAGGTTGGGGTGGGGGTGGGGTGGCCATCTACCCTACTCTTCCTTTCAGTACTGACATCTGTGACCTTGTCAGGTCTTTCCTACTAGATTATAACCCTGCACAGTGCCAGGAACGCAGGGCAGCGCGAGCAGTCAACAGAGGTTTGGTGAATGGATGGATGAGCACATGTGTGATATGTAAATCAGTAGTCTCTGGAGTGTAACATCCTACTTCCGATTAAGCAAGGTGCTCTGGAAACTACAGGAGCATAAGTGGCTGCTGTTGCTGTTGTTCTGCCTCTGGACAAGAGGAATTCATGTCTTCTGGGTGGTGATCCAGCTCCACGATCCTCCAGGGTCCCCTGCTGGCTACTGTGGGGGTGCTGCTGGGAGAGAGGCTCAGCTTGTCGGTGAGGGCAGTCGCTCTTTGCTGCAGGCTGACCCAGAAAACAAACTGGTGCTTCTTGCCCCTCCCAGGCCTGTGGTGGGGAGGAGAAAGCCGCAGGGCACTGAGCCCTATGAACCAGTCCAGTGTCCAGAAAAGGGACGATGGCCAGGCTTCAGGGCTGTGGAACTCGCTGTTCTGGAGGCTGAACCCGGGTCAGCTGCAGAGGGGACTCCTTGGGCTGGGCAGTGGGGAAAGAGAGCAGCCAGGGAAGTGCCCAGGGACAGGAAAGAAGGGGCCCCAAGCTGGCCTCAGCAGCTTTCTGTGCACGCAGTTTCTTCTCTGAGGTAAGCAGTTTGAGCTCATCATAGAGAAGGTCTCAGAAATGAACAGTGCCACAAAAGTCTTGTGAAAGGCTTGTCTGTCATCTGAGGCTAGTGCACAGTGACGCGGTGTGTGGGGTGTGCCCTTGAGAGAAACCGGCTGTGCTGCTGCCCAGCAGCCACTGAGCTGGAGGAATTTGCCGTCAGAAGACCCTAGGGAGGCCGCAGTCTCTCTCCGGCCTGTTTCTCTCCAGGCAAACTAAACCTGTGGGTAACTTGCTTCCAGAGGGCTGTTCCACTCTTTCCTCTCCAAGCTGGAGGTCTCTGGTGGGGGTTTCCTACAGCCCTGCTAAAGGCAGAGAGAAGCGGCGAGGGTGTTCTCTTTGCCCCGTCCACGTACAAAACAGGCCAAGGCTTTGGGCTGTGTGACCTGGAGCCATGTCTCAGAGGGCGCTGGGAGCTCTCCAGGCCTTTCTCCAGCCCCCACATTTGTGTTTAGCTGGAGGCAACCTGAGCCTGCGCGGGAAAGTAAACAGTTTCGTTGTTTGGGAAGCTTTTATTAATAGTTACAGATTACACTTTCTTTAAAGGCTTTAAAGAAAACAAGGTGTAATCTGTAACCAATTTTTTTTTTTTTTGAGACAGAGTCTCACTCTGTTGCCCAAGCTGGAGTGCAGTGGCGCCATCCCGGTTCAAGCAATTCTTTTGCGTCGGCCTCGCAGGTAGCTGGGATTACAGGTGCCCGCCACCATGCCTGGCTAATTTTTTTGTATTTTTAGTAGATACAGGGTTTCACCATGTTGGTCAGGCTGGTCTCAAACTCCTGACATCAAGTGATCCACCCGACTCGGCCTCCCAAAGTGCTGGGATTACAGGCATGAGCCACTGTGCCTGGCTTGTAACTGTTAATGAAAGCTTCTTCCAGCATTAAAAAAAAATCTAATTACATAATATTTTTAAGTTAAAATATTTTTAAATTTAATAATTGTTATTATTATTTTTTTTTTTGAGATAGAGTTTCGCTCTTGTTGCCCAGGCTGGAGTGCAATGGCACGATCTCGGCTCACTGCAGCCTCCGCCTCCCCAGTTCAAGCGATTCTCCTGCCTCAGCCTCCCCAGTAGCTGGGATTACAGGCATGTGCCACTACACCCAACTAATTTTGTATTTTTAGTAGAGATGGGGTTTCTCCATGTTGGTCAGGCTGGTCTCAAACTCCCGATCTCAGGTGATCGGCCCGCCTCGGCCTCCTAAAGTGCTGGGAATACAGGTGTGAACCACCTCGCCTGGCCTAAATTAAAAAATAATATTTACCCATTGTTTTTGTAAATGACTTTGCAGTAGAAGCCCTTTGGTGGGGACTGTTCTATGCACTATACAAAAGATAAAGTTGGCCAGGTGTGGTGGCTCACTTCTATAATCCCAGCACTTTAGCAAGACAAGGCAGGAGGATTACTTGAGCCCAGGAATTTGAGACCAGCTTGGGCAACATAGGAAGACCGGTCTCTACTAAAAAAAGAAACCAAACAAACAAATTAGCTGGGCATAGTGACGCACACCTGTAGTCCCAGCCAGCTACTTGTGAGGCTGAGGTGGGACAATTGCTTGAGCCCAGGTGTTCAAGACTGCAGTGAGCCCTGATTGTGACAGAGTGAAGCATGAAAAAAAATTGTAAAAAAAGGAAAATGTATAGTTTTGCTTTCTTTCTTTTTTTTTTTTTTTTTGAGACAAGTTTTGCTCTGTCACCAGGCTAGAGTCCAGTGGCGAGATCTCGGCTCACTGTGACCTCTGCCTCCCAGGTTTAAGGGATTCTCCTCCTCAGCCTCCAGAGTAGGTAGGTCTACAAATGCGTGTCACCATGCCCAGCTAATTTTTTTTTTTTTTTTTTTTTTTTTTAGTAAAGACAGGGTTTCACCATGTTGGCCAGGATGGTCTCAATCTCTTGACCTCATGATCTGCCTGCCTTGGTCTCCCAAACTGCTGGGATTACAGGCATGAGCCACCACACCTGGCCAGTTTTGCTTTCTTTTTCTTTCTTTTTTTGAGATGGAATCTCTCTCTGTCACCCAGGCTGGAGTGCAGTGGTACGATCTCAGCTCACTGCAACCTCCGCCTACCAGGTTCAAGCAATTCTCCTGCCTCAGCCTCCCAAGTAGTTGGGATTACAGGCTTACGCCACCACGCCCAGCTAATTTTATGTATTTTTAAGTAGAGATGGGGTTTCACCATGTTTGCCAGGCTAGTCTTGAACTCCTGACCTCAAGTGATCCACCCACCTTGGCCTCCCAAAGTGCTAGGATTATAGGCGTGAGCCACTGTGCCCAGCCTGCTTTCTTTTTATATGAAGGATATATTATTCATATTTCAGTAAGTTAACATTTTATTTTATTTTAGAATCAACATTACATATAATTGGAAAATAGTGGGGAAAATCAGTCATAATGTTGTGATGGGAACTAATATAACTTTGTCCATCATCTTTTTTCTTTATTATATATATATATGTAGATATATAGTTTTTTTTTTTTTTGAGACAGGGTCTCACTCTGTCACCCAGGCTGGAGTGCAGTGGCATGATCATAGCTCAGTGCAGCCTTGAACTCCTGAGCTCAAGTGATCCTCCTACAAAATTATCCCAAGTAAACTAAATAAGAAGGCTTTCCAGCTGGGCGTGGTGGCTCACACCTGTAACCCCAGCACTTTGGGAGGCCAAGGCGGGCGGATCACCTGAGGTCGGGAGTTTGAGACCAGCCCTACCAACATGGAGAAACCCCGTCTCTACTAAAAATACAAAATTAGCTGGGCCTGGTGGCGCATGCCTGCTATCCCAGCTACTTGGGAGGTTGAGGGAGGAGAATCACTTAAACCTGGGAGACGGAGGTTGCGGTAAGCCGAGATCGTGCCATTGCCCTGCAGCCTGGGCTTTCCATGAACTGGGCAATTGTTGGAAACCAAGTGGATGTGGGTTGCTAGCTGATTCCAATATGTGCCTAGAATTAGAATATTGATCCGGATTTTTACATTACTCATCCCTCTTGTTTCATCTGAGCTGCAGTCAGAGATCACTGATTGGTTCACAGCAATAAGCAGGTGAGTCTAAATTGCAGAAAACAAGCTCAAAAACAACTGATAAGACTAGAATCTAGTAACAGGTGTACCACAGTTACTGAAACATATTTTTTTTTCTCCAGTCTCCCGTTTTTACTAAAGAAAAATCACGGTAAGACCAATTTGCTTTATTATATTCAGTCTGATCATTTGTATAAAGTGCAGCAAGAATAATTATTTTTCACATAGGATTTTTATAATTGACTTTGATGGAACTTTCTTCCATAAAAAGAATCTCAGATAATACCTTTTTAAAAGCCAAGCCTAGCCATGGGTTTGTACTGTCAAACACCTATAGGAGTTGCATAAATTCCTTTCCTCTTGAGGTCCCGAGATAACTTGGGGCTCCTGGGCCTGTCAGAAAGTGACATTCTTTATTTACCACAGGTCAGAAACCCTGTATAAGGACTGTGCAGACAAGGCACATGGCCAGTTTTCCCAAGGGGCTTTATTGCCTCTATAAGTCAAGTTTGATTCCTTAAAGGAAAGCGCATCATTCCATTCAAAGCCTTGGTAAAATAACCAGTTTCTCCAATTGTGTCCTGTTGCAAAAGAAAATGTTCTTATTGCACTTATGCAAATAACCATATTGCCATAAGTTAAGAATACTCACAAATAGTGTCCAAATTCTGACAAAATCAGAAAGAAAAACAAATATGCTCCAAATTTTGTTCACAGGTGTTTACTCAATTGTTAGAAGCTGTCAATAGCTCAAAATAAAAGTTTTCTTGACTCCAAAGTCAGCCAATTAGTGCTGAAGTCTATTTCCTTTGGGTTGGGGTCTCCCCAGTATAATCCCCTCATGGTTAGCCAGGAAGACGTTACTGGAAAGGGGTCCCAATCCAGACCTCAAGAGAGGGTTCTTGGACCTCGCACAAGAAATAATTTAGAGCAAGTCCATAGAGTAAAGTGAAAGAAGTTTATTAAGAAAGTAAAGGAATAGGCTGAGTGCGGTGGCTCACACCTGTAATTCCAGCACTTTGGGAGGCTGAGGCTGGTGGGTCATTTGAGGTCAGGAGTTTGAGACTAGCCTGGCCAACATGGTGAAACCCTGTCTCTACCAAAAATACAAAAATTAGCCAGGCGTGGTGGCAGGCACCTGTAATCTCAGCTACTCTGGAGGCTGAGGCAGGAGAATCTCTTGAACTCAGGAGGTGGAGGTTGCAGTGAGCCAAGATTGCAGCACTGCAATCCAGCCTGGGTGACAGAGCAAGACTCTGTCTTGAAAAAAAAAAGAAAGTAAAGGAATAAAAGAATGGCTACTTCATAGGCAGAGTAGGCAGAGCTACATTTTCATTTAGCATGTTCTTAAAAATATTGTTTGGAGGTTTTCAGCACGAAATGTCAATGTTTAAAATTTCTGCCTCTTACTGTTTCCAAAATGTCAAGATAATAATTAGAGTTAACATGTATTTATTATATTTAATGAACAATTATTATGAAGAACCTACTATGTGCCAGGTTGTGGTCTAGGCTCTGAGGACATAGCAGTGAAAAAAACAGAAAGGATTCCTATCTTCAAGTCTTCATGGAGCTTACTTTCTAGTGGGGAAAGACAGACAATAAACAAAATAAATAAGTAAATTAAATAATACATTAGTTAGATTGGCTGGGCGCCATGGCTCATGCCTATAATCACAGCACTTTGGGTGGCTGAGGTGGGCAGATCACTTGGGTTCAGGATTCGAGACCAGCCTGGACAACACGGCAAGACCCTGCCACTAAAAAAAATTATAAAAATTAGCCAGGCTTGGTGGCGTGCACCTGTAGTCCCAGCTACTCAGGAGGCTGAGGTGGGAGGACGACTTGAGCCCAAAAGGTGGAGGTTGCAGTGAGCCAAAATCACGCCACTACACTCCAGCCTGGGCAACAGAGTGATACCCTGTCTCCAAAAAAATAAAGAAAGAAAGAATACGTTGGTTAAATAGTATATAGATGGGGCACATGTGTTTTTTTAAAAAGGTGACCCAGAAACAGAGGATAGAGAGGGCTGGAACTGTCAGGAAAGACCTAACATTTCCAAGGGGACTTTTTGGGTTTTTTTTGATCAGGGTCTCACTCCATTGCCCAGGCTGGAGTGCAGCAGCACAGTCTCAGCTTGCTGCAGCCTCAACTTACCGGGCTCAAGTGATCCTCCCACCTCATACTCCTGAGTAGCTGAGACTACAGCCATGCACCAGCATGCCCAGTTAATTTTTGTATTTTTTGTAGAGACAGGGTTTCATCATGTTGCCCAGGCTGGTCTCGAACCCTTGGGTTCAAGTGATCCTTCCACCTCGTCCTCCCAAAGTGCTGGGATTACAAGCATGAACCACTGCACCTGGCCCAGGGGGACTTTTAAGTGAAGACCTGAAGGTGTTAAGAACATGAGCCATGAGGATATCTTGGTGTAAAAGTGTTCCAGGCAGAACAATGAGCAAGTATGAAGATTCTCAGGGGCGGGAACTTGCAAGGAGGCAAGTAAGCAAAGGGTTGTGTAAAGATGACAGCAGAGAAGTTGAGGCCAGAGTATGGAAGACCTTATAGGCTCTGGCAGAGACTTTGGCTTTTACTCTAAATTGGGAAGTATTGAAGGGTTCGGGGCAGGAGTAACATAATGCAACTTCTGTATAAATAGGCTCACTCTGGATGCTATGTTGAGTAGAGACCATAGGAGAGTATACTTGGAAGCAGGGAAACCAAGAACCTGTTTCATTAATCCAACTAAGAGGCGATTGTGACTTGGACCAGTGCAGTTACGGTGCAGTGCTGAGAAAGGGTATTCCAAGTATCTTTTAAGTATCTTTTGAAGGTAAAGCCAAGGCCTTTGGATGGATGGATGGATGACTCCGAGGACTTTGGCCTGAGCAACTAAAGGAGGGAGTTGCCATTAACTGAGATAGTTAATGAGATAAGGAAGACCTTGGAAAGAGCAGGTTTAGGGGTGGAGATCTTTTTATTTTAATTAATTTTTTTCCTGATCACTAGACCACCAGGGATAGGGACAGAGATCAAGAGTTCAGTTTTGGGCTGGGCATGGTGGCTGACACCTGTAATGCCAGCACTTTGGGAGGCTGAGGCAGGAGGATTGCTTAAGCCCAGGAGTTCAAGACCAGCCTGGGGAACATAGGAAGACCCCCGTCTCTACAAAATGTAAAAAATTAGTCTGGTGTGGTGTTATGCACCTGTAGTCCGAGCTACTTGGGAGGCTGAGGTGGGAGGATCACTTGAGTCTGGAAGTAGAGGCTGCAGAGAGCCATGATTGCGACACTGCACTCCAGCCTGGGTGACAGAGACCTTGTATCAAAAAAAAAGAAACAAAAGTTCAGTTTTGGGAATGTTAGTCTAAAGATATCTACTTTGTATCCATGTGGACGTGTCCATCAGGCAGGCTGATATATTCCAATAAAGAGTTCAGAGCAGAGGAATGAACTCAAGATATAAATTTGGAAATGGCTGATATATAAATGGTATTTTTTAAAGCAAGTTTAATTTTATTTTATTTTATTTTATTTTATTTTTGAGATGGAGTCTTGCTCTGTCACCCAGGCTGGAGTGCAGTGGTGCAATCTCTGCTCACTGCAACCTCCACCTCCCGTATTCAAGCAATTCTCTGCCTCAGCCTCCGAGTAGCTGAGATTACAGGCATCCGCCACCACACCCAGCTAATTTTTGTATTTTTAGTAGAGATGGGGTTTCATCATCTTGGCCAGGTTGGTTTTGAACTCCTGACCTCATGATCCACCTGCCTCGGCCTTCCAAAGTGCTGGGATTACAGGTGTGAGCCACTGTGCCTGACCCTAAATGGTATTTAAAGCCAAGGAAGTGAGTGTAGGCAGAGAAGGGATTAAGGATTGTGGCCCTGGGCACCCCAAGGTTCAGAGGTTAGGGAACTATATGAATTCATTTAATCCTCACAATAATCTTCTGAGGAAATTGTTATTACTGTAGTGTCACCATTTAATTAGTGATGGGCCAGGCACGGCGGCTCACACCTGTAGTCCCAGCACTTTGGGAGGCCAAGGTGGGCAGATCGCCTGAGGTCAGGAGTTCAAGACCAGCCTGGCCAACATGACGAAACCCCATCTCTACTAAAAATATAAAAATTAGCTGGGCATGGTGGCGCAAGCCTGTAGTCCCAGCTACTCGGGAGGCTGAGGCAGGAGAATGGTGTGAACCTGGGAGGCGGAGCTTGCAGTGAGCCGAGATTGCACCACTGCAATCCAGCCTAGCGACAGAGTGAGTATCCATCTCAAAAAAAAAAAAAAAAAAGTGATGAAATTGAGGCAAAAAGAGGTTAAGTAACTTGCCCAAAGTCATGCAGCCAATAAGTAGCAGAACTGGGATCTGAACCAGCCAGTCTGGCTCAAACCATTGTATATTTCACCTCTAGGCTATAACAGGTTGGCTCTGTTAAATGGCATACTTTGCAAGTAGAGAAATTGAGTTTTAGGTTAAATAATTTGTTAATATTGGTGGTCGGTGGCAGAGCTGGGATATAAACTCTCTCACTGGTTCTTTGTTTTAAGAGATCTCTGCATTTTTGTTTTTTTTGAGACGGAGTTTCACTCTCGTTGCCCAGGCTGGAGTGCAATGGCACCATCTTGGCCTCCTAAAGTGCTGGGATTACAGGCGTGAGCCACCAAACTCGGCCAGATCTCTGCATTTTTAATTACTCTGCTGTATGATCTGTGCAACGTTTAGTTTTTATTTTCTTTATTTCTGAGACAGAGTTTCACTCTCGTTGCCCAGGCTGGAGTGCAATGGTGCAATCTCGACTCACTGCAACCTCCACCTCCTGGGTTCAAGTAATTATCCTGCTTCAGCCTCCTGAGTAGCTGGGATTACAGGCACCTGCCACCACGCCCGGCTAATTTTTTGTTTTTGGTTTTTTTGAGACGGAGTCTCACTCTGTTACCCAGGATGGAGTGCAGTGGCGTGACCTCAGCTCACTGCAACCTCCGCCTCCCAGGTTCAAGTAATTCTCCTGCTTCAGCCTCCTGAGTAGCTGGGATTACAGGTGCCCACCACCATGCCTGGGTAATTTTTTGTGTGTGTTTTTAGTAGAGACGGGGTTTCACCATGTTGGCTAGGTTGGTCTCGAACTCCTGACCTCAGGCAATCTGCCTGCCTTGGCCTCCCAAAGTGCTGGGATTATAGGTGTGAGCCACTGCACTCAGCCTCTATGCAACATTTAAATGATGGGTGTACCTGTAGTCTAAACTGCCTGGGAGGCTGAGTGGGGAAGGATGGCTTAAGCCCAGGAGCTAGAGTCCAGTCTGGGCAATATAGCGAGACCCTGCCTCTAGAAATTTTTTTTAAAAAAGGCCGGGCGCAGTGGTTCATGCCTGTAATCCCAGCACTTTGGGAGGCCAAGGCGGGTGGATTACAAGGTCAGGAGATCGAGACCATCCTGGCTAACACGGTGAAACCCCGTCTCTACTAAAAATACAAAAAATTAGCCGGGCGTGGTGGCGGGCGCCTGTAGTCCCAGCTACTTGGGAGGCTGAGGCAGGAGAATGGTGTGAACCTGGGAGGCGGAGCTTGCAGTGAGCTGAGATCGCGCCACTGCACTCCAGCCTGGGTGACAGAGCAAAGACTCCATCTCAAAAAAAAAAAAAAAAGATGGGGATAAAAACCTCCCGCATCTCTCAAATCACCACCCTTAATCAACTACCTTTCCTACCTACACACAAGACAAATTTTCTGGCTTGTCACTGTTATTGGAGAAATGGGATACCAGATCGAGGTGCTAAGTCAGTGTCAGTTCCTGCTCCCCTGCTTCTTCCTCCTCTCCTGGGCAAGAATTCCATGACTGGACATGATTCCTGACTTCTGAAAGCACAGGTCTTAAGGGTGTTCTGTGGAATGGTTCTCTGTAGCCAACAGCAACTTGCTTTCCTTGCCAGTTTAGTTTCTCCTTCAGCAAAACAAGAGGATTGGGTCAGGACACTGGTTCCGAAGCTTGGCTGTGAATCTGAACTACCTACCTGGGCACTGTTTAAAGCCTACAGTGCCCACCACAGACCTATTGAATCAGACTCTTCAGGGGTGAGACCCAGGCATGTATACGGTGGCTCTAAAACACCCTTCAATAAGAAGCCCTGGGCTAGATGATCTTGAAGGTCTCTCAGCTCTAATGCACTGTGCTTCCCTGATGTCTTTCTCAGGGCCAGCACAAAGTGGAACTCTGAACAGAAGGCAGAGAACCTGGGTTCTTATTCCAGCCATGCTAGTAACAGCTCCGAGTTACTTCCACTCTTGGGGCTTCAGTTTCCTTATCTGCAACAAGAGTTGGGGGTAGGGGGGTTGCCCTAGATTCCTTCATCCAGCAAGTATTTATTGAGCACCTACTCTGTCAAGCTCTGGGATTCATGGGGTCTGAGTCTTGGTCATGGAATAGGATGACATTGCAAGGGGTAAGGGCTGCTGCCAGGCAACTGGGCCTGGTTTAAATTAAATTAAATTATTTAATTTAATTAAAGGCAAGGACATCACAGGTCCTTTTTTTTTTTTTTTTTCTTGAGACGGAGTCTTGCTCTGTCGCCCAGGCTGGAGTGCAGTGCTGGTGCAATCTCAGCTCACTGCAACCTCCTCCTCCTGGGTTCAAGTGATTCTCCTGCCTCAGTCTCCCGAGTATCTGGGATTCCAGGTGCCCGCCACTACGCCTGGATAATTTTTGTATTTTTAGTAGAGACGGGGTTTCGCCGTGTTGGCCAGGCTGGTCTCGAACTCCTGACCTCGTGATACACCTGCCTTGGCCTCCCAAAGTGCTGGGATTACAGGCATGAGCCACCGCGCCCAGCCCCCCACTGGTCCTCTTTTAGTACCACCATGATGGTTTCCTGTCCCCAAACTCTCTTCCAACCCTTGTTAACCATAGCTAGTCTCCACAGCAACAAACAAACCTCCTGGGTTCAGAAAGGGAACTGTATGTAAAACTGGCTAAATAAAAGTTATTAGCTTGTCTAGATAATCCCACTAGCCAGTTCTGAGATCTGAGACTAAACTATTCCACACACAATGGCACAACTAGAACCTTGTGGTTCACAGCGTGGCCCACAGATCAGCATTGGATCTGTCACTGACAGCTTGTTAAAACTGGAATCCTAGGCTCCACCCTGGTCCTACTGAATCAGAGACTGCATTTAAAGTGATCCCTAGGTGATTGTATGCACATTACGGTCTGAGAAACACTAAACTAAAAAACTATGAGCTCAGAAAATCTGTGGCAAGAAATGTGTGTGAAACCTATAAGAGGAAATCCATACCACTTCCCCGAGAGACAGCACATAGCGTGTTTCTGGATGGGAATACTCAGTGGGGGGAAGATGACAATTCTCACTCGCATGAAATGGATCAAAGTGATTTTTTTTTCTACTGTCATTTTTCTTTTTCTCTATATTTTTCAAAATTGATATATCATGATGGTACATATTGGTACATATTGTGGGGTGTGTGTAGGTCAAATTGATTTTTGAAGTTAATTTGAGAGAATAAATTGGCTGGGCATGGTGGCTCACATCTGTAATCTCAGCACTTTGGGAAGCCAAGACAGGAGGATCCCTTGAGGCCAGGAGTTCAAGACCAGCCTAGGCAACATAGCAAGACTCCATTTCTACAAAAAATTGTTAAAAATTTGCCGGGCTTGATGGGTGCACGCCTATAGTCCTAGCTTCTCAGGAGGCTGAATGAGGAGGATTGCTCGAGCCCAGGAGTTTGAGGCTGCAGTGAGCTATGATAGCGCCACTGCACTCCAGCCTGGGTGACAGAGCAAGAACCTGACTCTAAAAAAAAAAATTATAAAATAAACAGACAAGAATAGAGTTTTTTTTCTTTTGGAAAATAAATACAATAAGGTAGGATTTCCCCTATTAGATATTATGTTAAGCTGTGTGTAGTGGCTCACACCTATAATCCCAGCACTTTGGGAGGCCGAGGTGGGCAGATCACCTGAAATCAGGAGTCTGAGACCAGCCTGGCCAACATGATAAAACCCCTGTCTCTACTAAAAATACAAAAAAAAAAAAAAAAAAAAAAAAAAAGCCAGGCATGGTGGTGCACACCTGTTATTCCAACTACTCGGGAGGCTGAGGCAGGAGAATTGCTTGAATCCAGGAGATGGGGGTTCCAGTGAGCTGCGATTGCACCACTGAACTCCAGCCTGGACAACAGAGCAAGACTCCATCTCATGGCTGGGCGCAGTGGCTCACACCTGTAATCCCAGCACTTTGGGAGGCTGAGGCGGGCGGATCATGAGGTCAGGAGTTCGAGACCAGCCTGACCAACATGGTGAAACCCCATCTCTACTAAAAATACAAAAATTAGCCAGGCGTGGTGGCGCACGCCTGTAATCCCAGCTACTCAGGAGGCCAAGGCAGGAGAATCGCTTGAACCCAGGAGATGGAGGTTGCAGTGAACTGAGATTGTGCCACTGAACTCC
This sequence comes from Homo sapiens, assembly GCF_000001405.40. Taxonomy (NCBI): domain Eukaryota; kingdom Metazoa; phylum Chordata; class Mammalia; order Primates; family Hominidae; genus Homo; species Homo sapiens. The sequence goes on along the minus strand of NC_000011.10, from coordinate 118,858,864 downwards.
AGCCGGGCGACAGAGTGAGACTCCGTTTCAAAAAAAAAAAAAAAAAAAAAGACTCCAACTCAAAAAAAAAAAAAGAAAAGAAATGATGTTAAGAGGAATTCAGGTTCTGGAGAAAGAGAATCTGGGTTTAGGCCAGGTGCAGTGGCTCACGCCTGTAATCCCAGCACTTTGGGAGCCCGTGGTGGGCTGATCACGAGGTCAGGAGATCGAGACCATCCTGGCTAACATGGTGAAACCCCGCCTCTACTAAAAAAATTACAAAAAAAAAAATTAGCCCGGCGTGGTGGTGGGCACCTGTAGTCACAGCTACTCGGGAGGCTGAGGCAGGAGAATGGCGTGAACCTGGGAGGCAGAGCTGGCAGTGAGCCAAGATTGCACCACTGCACTCCAACCAGGGCGACAGAGTAAGACTCCGTCTCAAAAAAAAAAAAGAAGAAAATTGGGTTTGAATCTGACTTTGCCACTTCCTGAACATGTCACTGCTATGGACTGCATGGTGTCCCCTCAGATTCATATGTTGAGGCCCTCCCCTTCTCCTCCCCGTCTCCTTTCCCCACCCCCTGCCCAGCACAAAGGAAAGGGCACTTCATGAAGACACAGCGAGAAGGTGGCCATCTACAAACCAGGGAGAAAGCCCTTGCCCAAAGCTGAACCCTGCCAGAACCTTCCAGCCTCTAGAACTGTGAGAAGATATTGATAAATTTCTGTTGTACAAGCCACTCAGTCTGTAGTATTTTGTATGGCAGCCCGAGCAGACTAAGGCTGCCATCTTGGGAAACCTTCCTAACATCTCGTAGCCTCTGTTTCTTCCTCCTGTAAAATGGGAGTAAGAATATCATTTACAGCATCCTTATGAGTATTAAAGGAAATAGTATATGTCAAACACTCAGCAGAATGCCTGGCCCATAACAGTTGTTCAACAAATGACGATTACAGTGATAACAACTGCACCACTGGGCAAAAATCTGTAGAAAGACCAATGGAACAGAACAGATAACCCAGAAACAGACCTCAGCATTTCCATAAGCTCCAGGAGTGCAGAGAAAGTCTATGTTTGTACTCACCATTGTGTCATTTTCCCCATGCCTAACATATATAGGGCATACAGGAAGTGCTTAAAAAGTGTATGTTGTATTAGAATTTCATACACATGGCTGGGCATGGTGGCTTACACCTGTAATCCCAGCACTTTAGGAGGCCCAGGTGGGAGAATGACGTGAGCTCAGGAGTCCCAGGCCAGCCTGGGCAACGTCGCGAAACCCCATCTGTACAAAAAATACAAAAATTAGCCAGGCATGGTGGCACGTGCCTGTAGTCCCAGCTTAAGCCTGGGAGGTTGAGGCTGCAGTGAGCTAAGATTGTGCCACTGCACTCCAGCCTGGGGTATAAAGTGAGACTCTGTCTCAAAAAAACCCCAAAATGTAATACATGCTAAAGAAGGACTCATAAATCAGTGGTGAAAGAGAAGACTAGTCTTTCAATAATACTGGGAAAATTGCTTACAGTTTTGGACTAAAATAACCAGATTTTATTATTTCATTTTATAAAGAGGCTTTTAAACCTTTTTGGACTATGACCCACAGTAAGAAATATGTGGAACATCTCGCCTGAATATAAATTAATAATTAAAACAAAAGTTTATAAAGCAATATTTATCCTTATTATGTCAGATGGACTCTGATCTATTCTATTCTATTCTATTCTATTCCTATATTATTAAAAAGAAAATTCTGGTGTCTGCCCAGTAAATTGATCTAATAACTCACTAGTGAATAGCTACCAGTAGTTTGAAGAATATTTCTTATACCAAAATTAATTTTTAATTTAAAAAAAGAAAAAATTATAGGTAAATAATATGAGAGTTTATTTATTTATTTATTTTTGAGACAGAGTCTTGCTCTGTATGTCACCCATACAGTACAGTAGCACCATCGGCTCACTGCAACCTCCGCCTCCCGGGTTCAAGCTATTCTCCTGCCTCAGCTTCCCGAGTATCTTGGATTATAGGCATGCACCACCACACCTGGCTAATTTTTTTATTTTTAGTAGAGACGGGGTTTCACCATGTTGGCCAGGCTGGTCTCGAACTCCTGACCTCAAGTGATCTGCCCGCCTCCGCCTCCCAAAGTGCTGGGATTACAGGCATGACCCACTGAGCCGGCCAAATAATAGGAGGTTTTGAAATGAGAAATGACTTGAGATTTTAAAAATAATGAAAAAAATAACAAAGGCAAACATCAACAAATTTGAGAACACCAACATTTTAAATATGTTATAGGGACCACATATGGCAAAGGCAGCTATGACAGACAGGATGTGGTCATCACTGGAGAGAAGAGGCCAGTTATTCTTGACATCTCTTTCTTCCTCATATTCGCCCACATGGAACCCAACAGCAAGTCCCGCAGATGCTGCCTCCATTCGTGCACTTTCTCCCTGGCCACAGGGAGATCTTAGTCCAGACCTGATCTTAGCCCTGATCTTAGTCCAGACCATCATTCTCTCACTCTGGGACTGCTGCCCCTACCTCCCAGCTAGTCTCCCTGCTTCCACTGTGCACCCCACAATCCTTTCTGCTCACAGCAGCCAGAGTCATCTTTTTTTTTTTTTTTTTTTTTGAGACAGGGTCTCACTATGTTGGCCAGGCTAGTCTCAAACTCCTGGTCTCAAGCGATGCTCCTTCCTCGGCCTCCCAAAGTGCCGAGATTGCAGTCATGAGCTACCATGCCCGGCCAAGAGTAATCTTTTTGAAGTATAAATTAAATCACTCTCAGTAATCCAATTAAGAAACTGGCAAATGAAAAATCTTACAAGTGCTGAATCTTCTGTCTGTCTGTATTTATATGTGTTGTGTGTGTGTGTGATGTTTATACATAAAAGAGCTCTGATTAATTGGCAGCAGGCAAGGTGAACCCCTTGGGCGGTTACAGAATGGAAGAGCGGGACTTGACTGTGACAGGCCAGACCTCTCTGCACTTCCACATTCCGAGGAGAAACTGAGGAGTCCAAGAATTCTAAATTCCAGCTGGCTTCCTAGTTCTTTTTTTATTTTTTATTTTCCAAGATGGAGTTTTGCTCTTGTCACCCAGACTGGAGTGCAGTGGCGTGATCTCGGCTCACTGCAACCTCCGCTTCCCAGGTTCAAGGGACTCTCCGGCCTCAGCTTCCCGAGTAGCTGAGATTACAGGCACACCACCACGCCCAGCTAATTTTTGTATTTTTAGTAGAGACGGGATTTCACCATGTTGGTGACAGGCGGGCACCTGTAATCTCAGTTACTCGGGAGGCTGAGGCAGGAGAGTCATCTGAATCCGGGAGGTGGACGTTGAGTGAGATTGTGCCATTGCACTCCAGCCTGGGTAACAGAGGGAGACTCCGTCTCACAAAAGAAAAAGCAAAACAAAAAAGCAAAAAACAAAACACAGCACTTTGTAGATTCCCAGGATTTTAGGAGTTGTATGCTGGGAAATGGTGATAAAGACCAAATATATATTTCAGAATATCACAGGAGGATAAACCATATTTGGTCTAATAGTCTCTTTATAACTTGTAACTATCAGGTATATGGTCTATGAGCCTCCATCTGTATTCTCGCCCAAGCTTTGGCTTTTGGTAGAGACAGGCTTGGCTGCATGGAGGTCTTGGGCCGGGTTCTTCTTCTTGGGGAATCCAGGGGATGCACACACACAGACCCTTGGAGCTTGAGCCCCAACAGAAAATTGACCCTGAAATCTTTGAAGCTTTTATAGGAATGGAGAGGAAATGAAATTTGTCATTTCAAAGCTGAAGTTAATCCATTTTCATTCTAGGAAAACCCTCTGGAAGGGACTTTTAGTTATGTACCTGTAGGGCAGAACTCCTCTTCTGAAATGGAGATGCCTGTGGCCCTGGGGCTCCATGGAGCACCCCTCCTGTGGTCAGCTGATGAAAGGGCCTGTGTTGTAGGCAGAAAGGTGCCTCTTCGGATCAGGTTTCCCTTTAAAATTTTTGATACAGGCCAGGAATGGTGGCTCACGCCTGTAATCCCAGCACTTTGGGAGGCTGAGGTGGCTGGATCACCTGAGGTCAGGAGTTTGAGACCAGCCTGGCCAACATGGCGAAACCCCGTCTCTACTAAAAATACCAAAAAAAAAATCAGCCAGGCATGGTGGTGCGTGCCTGTAATCCCAGCTACCTGGGAGGCTGAGGCAGGAGAATTGCTTGAACCTTGGAGGCAGAGGTTGCAGTGAGCCAAGGTCACGCCATTGCACTCCAGCCTGGGCAACAGAGTGAGACTCAGTCTTAAAAAAAAAAAAAAAATTGGCCGGGTGAGGTGGCACACACCTGTAATCCCAGCACTTTGGGAGGCCGAGTCAGGGGTGGATCATGAGGTCAAGAGATCAAGATCATCCTGGCCTACATGGTGAAACCCCATCTCTACCAAAAATAGAAAAATTAGCTGGGTGTGGTGGCGCACACCTGTAGTCCCAGCTACTCGGGCGGCTGAGGCAGGAGAATGGCTTGAACCCAGGAGGCGGAGGTTGCAATGAGCCAAGATCATGCCATTGCACTCCAGCCTGGCAACATAGAGAGACTCTATCTAAAAAAAAAAAAAAAAATTGAGACAAAATACAATTTATACAATTAATATTTAATAAATGATTATTATGTGCCAGATACTATGATAAGCACTTGATATGAATTATCTCACTCAGCCTTCATAATACCCAATATTACTTTCATTATATAAATGAAATGAGCAAACTGAGGTTCATAGAGTTTAAGTAACTTGTGCAGTGGGCATGCATTTGGCAAGTGACAGAGAAGGGATTTGTACCTACACCTGACTCCAGAGCCTATTCTCTGCCTCCATCATCCTCTGGAATTTTTTCAGGTCATTAATGGAGTGAGTAATTTTCCCAGACTGTCAGAGGGGTTTGAACCAGAGCGACTCCATCTTGAATAGGGGCTGGGTAAAATGAGACTCAGACCTACTGAACTACGTTCCTAGGAGGCTAGGCATTCTAGTCACAGGAATAGACAGGAGGTCAGCACAAGATACGGGTCATAAAGGCCTTGCTGATAAAACATGTTGCAGGTGGCTGGGCGCGGTGGCTCACGCCTGTAATCCCAGGACTTTGGGAAGCCGAGGCGGGCGGATCACGAGGTCAGGAGTTCGACCTGGCCAACATGGTGAAATCGCTACTAAAGATACCAAAAATTAGCTGGGCATGGTGGCGTGCGCCTTTTGCTACTCGGGAGGCTGAGGCAGGAGAATCACTTGAACCCAGGAGAATGGCTTGAACCCGGGAGGCGGAGGTTGCTGTGAACACTCCAGCCTGGGCGACAGGGAGAGACTCTGTCTCAAAAACAAACAAACAAACAAACAAACAAAAAACACACGTTGCAGTGAAGAAGCCAGCCAAAACCCACCAAAACCAAGATAGTGACAAGAGTGACCTCTGGTTGTCCTCACTGCTCATTATACGCTAATTATAAAGCATTAGCATGCTAAAAGACACACCCACCAGCGCCATGACAGTTACAAATGCCATGGCAACATCAGGAAGTTACCCTATATGGTCTCGAAAGGGGAGGAGGCCGGCGCGGTGGCTCACGCCTGTAATCCCGGCACTTTGGGAGGCCGAGGCGGGTTGATCACGAGGTCAGGAGATCGAGACCATCCTGGCTAACATGGTGAAACCTCGTCTTTACTAAAAATACAAAAAATTAGCCTGTGGTGGCGAGCGCCTGTAGTCCCAGCTACTTGGGAGGCTGAGGCAGGAGAATGGCGTGAACCTGGGAGGCGGAGCTTGCAGTGAGCCGAGATCGCGCCACTGCACTCCGGCCTGGGTGACAGAGCGAGACTCCGTATAAAAATAAATAAATAAATAAATAAATAAATAAATAAAATAAATAAATAAATAAAAATAAATTTAAAAAAATAAAAAGGGGAGGAACCCTCAGTTCTGGGAATTGCCCACTCTTTTCCCAGAAAACTCATGAATAATCCACCCCTTGCTTAGCATATAATCAAGAAGTAACAGTAAGTATCCTCGGTCGAGCAGCTCAAGCCACTGCTCTGCCTATGGAGTAGCCATTCTTTTATTCCTTTGCTTTCTTTTTGTGGACTTTCACTTTGTGGACTTGCCTCAAATTCTTTCTTGCGCATGGTCCAAGAACCCTCTCTTGGGGTCTGGATCGGGACCCCTTTCCGGTAACAAGATTAGAATGCCATTCTTGACTGACTTAGACCGGAGCAGAATAGGAGAAATCATCACCTTCTTGAAGTGTGTGCCAGTCGGGGCCATCCTTGCTGATCTTGGGAGGAACTTCTCTCTTGACCCAAGAGGGAAGGGATGGAATCATTTCACAAGGCACAAAGACACCGTCTTGGCGACAAGCAGGAAGAAGCCATGACCCGTTCTTCCTGTGGGCCAGGCCAGGAAGAGTTGAGTCCCAGGTGGCCATGCCAAGTTCCAAAGGGTGATGTTGAAGAAGACTGCAAGTGATGCTGAGATTGAGCTCTAGTGTTTTACAGAAGCAAGCAGACCCCTGGACAGAGGCCTCTTGACAGAGCAAACTGCTGGGGGCAAGCAGTGTTCAGAGAGTCAGAGCAAATGTGAGAATGGCTGGAGCAAAGAAAATGTAACTACTCCCTCCTCTACCCACCCCTCCTCCAAGTAACCCTCAGCCCGTCTGTCCCAGTTCAATGGTTACACTTCTTGACATTATGTTACAAGCTGTTGGTTCATATTTAGCTTGTGGTTGGCCTAAACCACCAGATCTTTTTCATACAAACTGCTATCTGGCCAGTTCCTTCCATCCCATGCTTCTAGTACACGTGCAACTAATTTAAAATAAAGCAAAACGTAAATGCAAGATATCCCACATACAATTTAATTCTGTTTGATTCTGGTCAGCTGAAATAATTAAAAGTTTTAATTCTGTCATCTTTTGTAATAATTCCCTTCCCAGTTTGCATCATCTGCCAAAGTGGTAAACATTGATTATTTTGTCCTAGCAGGTAGTGAGAATGCTGAACAGGACCAAGCAGAGTCCTCTGGCATAATGCTACAACAGGGGTCCCCAAAGTGTGGTCTGGGAATATCAGAGGTCCCAGAGACCCTTTCAGCGGGTCTGTGAAATCTAAACTATTTTCATTGATTGATTGATTGATTGATTGAGACGGAGTCTCGTTCTGTCGCCCAGGGTGGAGTGCAATGGCACGATCTCAGCTCAACGCAACCTCTGTCTTTCCGGTTCAAGAGATTCTCCTGCCTCAGCCTCCCAGTGGCTGGGATTACAGGCACCTGCCACCATGCCCAGCTAATTTTTGTATTTTTAGTAGAGACAGGGTTTCCCCATGTGGGTCAGGCTGGTCTCGAACTCCCAACCTCAGGTGATACACCCGCCTTGGCCTCTCAAAGTGCTGGGATTACAGGCGTGAACCACTGCACCCAGCCCCAAAATTTTTTTTTTTTGAGACGGAGTCTCGCTCTGTCGCCCAGGCTGGAGTGCAGTGGCGCAATCTCGGCTCACTGCAAACTCCAACTCCCGGGTTCATGCCATTCTCCTGCCTCAGCCTCCTGAGCAGCTGGGACTATAGGTGCCCGCCACTACGCCCGGCTAATTTTTTGTATTTTTAGTAGAGACGGGGTTTCACTGCGTCAGCCAGGATGGTCTCGATCTCCTGATCTCGTGATCCACCCGCCTCGGCCTCCCAAAGTACTGGGATTACAGGCGTGAGCCACCGCGCCCGGTCCCAAAAATTTTTTTTAAAAAAGAAAATAAGCCGGGCATGGTGGTTAACGCCTGTAATCCCAGAACTTCGAGAGGCCGAGGCAGGCAGATCACCTGAAGTCAGGAGTTCAAGACCAGCCTGACTAACATGATGAAACCCCGTCTCTACTGAAAATACAAAAATTAGCCGAGTGTGGTGACAGATGCCTGTAATCCCAGCTACTTGGGAGGCTGAGGCAGGAGAATTGCTTGAACCTGGAAGGCAGAGATTGCGATGAGCCGAGATCGCGCCACTGCATTCCAGCCTGGGCAAAAATAGTGAAACTCTGTCTCAAAAAGAAAAGAAAAGAAAAAAAATTTGGACTGAGCACAGTGGCTCATGCCTATAAGCCCAGCACTTTGGGAGGCCAAGGCAGGCAGATCCCTTGAGGCCAGGAGTTCAAGACCAGCCTGGCCAACATGGTGAAACCCCATCTGTACTAAAAATATAAAAATTAGGCCAGGCACAGTGGCTCACACCTGTAATTCCAGCTTCTTAGGAGGCTGAGGCAGGAGAATTGCTTGAATCCGGGAGGCGGAGGCTGCAATGAGCTGAGATCGTACCACTGCCCTCCAGCCTGGCAACAGAGCAAGACTCCATCTTAACAAAATAATAATAATAAAAAATTATCTGTGAACTGTTATAGTGCTTACATGCCATTTTCACTCTTGTTCTATCACAAAATGTGGAATGTTCCAGAGGCTACAGAATGACTGATATCACACTAGACTACATGCAGCACCAGTTATGAGAATCCAGCTGTCTTCTGTGAAGCCAGAGATGAATAAGATTTGTAAAAATGTAAAACAAAGCTGCTCTTTTCTCACCAACTTCTTTTTCCTTTTGAAATGTAGTTGTGTTTCATAAAAGTGTTTGAGTATGTTTGGGCTGCTATAACAAAATACCTTAGGCTGAGTAATATATAAACAACAGAAATTTATTTTTCACAATTCTGGAGATCGGGAAGTCCATGATCAAGGTGTCAGCAATTTTGGTGTCTGGTGAAAGCCTGTTCCTCATAGATGGCTCCTTCTTTGTGTCCTCACAAGGTGTGAGGAGCAAGGAAGCTCCTTCAAGCCTCTTTTACAAAGGCACTAATCCCTCGATAAGGGTGGAACCTTCATTACCTAATTACCTCCCAAACACCCCGCCTCTTAATATCATCACCTTGGGGATTAGGTTTCAACATATGAATTTTGGGGAGTACGCCAACATTCAGATACTAGCAAAAGTTATTTATGTATGTTATTTATGTTGACACACAATGAGTTTATTATTATTTTATTCTGTTTTTTGAGACAGAGTCTCACTCTGTCGCCCAGGCTGGAGTGCAGTGGCGCGATCTCGGCTCACTGCAACCTCCGCCTCCCAGGTTCAAGCAATTCTCCTGCTCAGCCTCCTGAGTAGCTGGGACTATAGGCGCCCACCACCATGCCTAGCTCATTTTTTTATTTCCTAAAAATATTTAAGTGAAAGCTTTTTTTTTTTTTTTTTTTTTTTTTGAGATGGGCTGGAGTGCAGTGGCTCAATCACAGCTCACCAAAACCTTGAACTCCTGGGCTCAAGTGATTCTCCCATTTCAGCCTCCCAAGCAGCTGGGACTATAGTCATGCAACATCACACCTGGCTAATTAAAAAAAAAATTATTTTTGGCCAGGCGCAGTGGCTCACGCCTGTAATCCCAGCACTTTGGGAGGCTGAGGTGGGCGGATCATGAGGTCAGGGGTTTGAGACCAGCCTGATCAACATGGTGAAACATGTCTCTACTAAAAATACAAAAATTAGCTGGGCGTGGTGGCAGGTGCCTGTTATCCCAACTATTTGGGAGGCTGAGGCAGGAGAATCACTTGAACCCAGGAGGCGGAGGTTGCAGTGAGCCGAGATCATACCATTGTACTCCAGCCTGGGCGACGAGAGCGAAACTCCGTCTCAAAAAAAAAATATTTTGTACAGACAGGGTCTTGCCATGTTGCTCAGGCTGGTCTTGAACTCCTGAGCTCAAGAGATCCTCCTGCCTTGGCTTCCCAAAAGGCTGGATTACAGGCATGAGCCACTGTACCTGGCCAACCGTGGTACTTGGTTTGCAATTGATCTATGAAATGCTTTCTACTCTATACCTTTTAGAAAAGACCACCAGATGCAGTTTTCTTTTAGTTGGCAGGGCTGCAGTACACCTTCATGTCGCTACCTCAGGGCTCCATGCACTCTCTAACCTCTGTCATAATCTGGTCTGAGGAGAGGAACATGTGGTGAGGAACTGAGGCATCCTGCCGAGAAGCAGCAACAACTTGTACTGTGTGCCTGGAGTCACAGCTGCTTGGGAGACTGAGGTGGGAAGATCACTTGAACTCAGGAGGTGGAGACTGCAGTGAACTATTGTGCTAATGCACTCCAGTCCTGGTGACACAGAAAGGTGCTATCTCAAAAAACAAAACACAACAGAAAAAGCGACCAAGTGCCATGGGATGTGTTGATTTGCTTTAGCGATGAAATTATACCTGGAACAGCAGCTGCAATTGGAGTTACAAGGCTGTGGATAACCCACTTTCATTCTCCTGTGTCCTTCAGTCTGCTGACAGGCAAACAGGTGATTTGAGCAGGGATATGGTAGGAATTACCACCTCTGTGTCTTTCAAGACCTTGTTAGTGGCACTAATCTCATCAAGCCTTCCAGAAATGTGATACTGTTTTTGGTTTACTATTTTAGTATGTAGACACAGTTCTAGTGGATTCCACTTGGCCTTTTTTATCATGATAGCCTTCGTGCCATGGGTCAGAGAACCAATACAAGAAGTCTACCAGTTGTTGCCGGGCGCGGTGGCTCATGCCTGTAATCCCAGCACTTTGGGAGGCTGAGGCAGGTGGATCACGAGGTCAGGAGATCGAGACCACCCTGGCTAATGCAGTGAAACCCCATCTCTACTAAAAATACAAAAAATTAGCCGGGCGTAGTGGCGGGCACCTGTAGTCCCAGCTACTTGGGCAGCTGAGGCAGGAGAACGGCATGAACCCGGGAGTCGGAGTTTGCAGTGAGCCGAGATTGCGCCACTGCACTCCAGCCTGGGTGACAGAGCGAGACTCCGTCTCAAAAAAAAAAAAAAAAAAAGAGTATGTTGTTGAGTATGTCTACTCATACACCTACTGAATATATCTAAACTGCAATGTATACCCACCTGTGCATTCTGGAACTGGGGAAATAATGATGCGATGAGTTCTGGGAACTACTGGGCTTGCTGTGAGATGGAGCCAAGCCAAAACTTCATAGATCATCTAACTTCCATGAGCCTCTGCTCTGACAATGGGACACAGTGCCATTTTGGTTCTCCGGGGATTAGCACCAGTTCAGAGCCGAGGTTTACTAACTCCTAAGTATCTGGTCATTTCTCCTTCTCAAAGCACAGTCACCCTGCGTTATGGCTTCAGGTCTCTTTGAGGAAATGCTAAGAAGATTTACCGTGTAACTTTTTGACAGTGTAGTAAATCCTTCCTCAAAGGATCTTTCCTTCATTCAAGGGGACTGGGTTTGGGGACTGTCTCTAATCTAAGAATTGATTGAAGGGCTCTTACTCTTTATTGTCAGAAGTCAGCCGGGTGCGGTGGCTGACGCCTGTAATCCCAGCACTTTGGGAGGCCGAGGGGGATGGATCACGAGGTCAGGAGTTGGAGACCAGCCTGGCCAACATGGTGAAACCCCGTCTCTACTAAAAATACAAAAATTAGCCGGGCGTGGTGGCGCGCGCCTGTAATCCCAGCTACTTGGGAGGCTGAGGCAGGAGAATCACCTGAACCTGGAAGATGGAGGTTGCAGTGAGCCGAGGTCTTGCCACTGCCTTCCAGCCTGGGCAACAGAGTGAGACTCTGTCCCAAGGGGAAAAAAAAAGCAAACTTCTAAAGCCATTCCCAAACAACTTGAACAGATACCTTAAATTCAGAATCTCTGCTTAGTACACATTTTGCTTCTTTAAATTTTTTTTTTACATTTATTTATTTTTATTTTTTTTTTAGAGACAGGATTTTTCTCTGTTGCTCAGGCTGAAGTGCAATGAATGGCATGAACCTAACTCTCACTGCAGCCTTGACCTCCTGGGCTCAGGCGATCCTTCTACCTCAGCCTCCTGAGTAGCTGGGACTACAGGTGTGCGCCACAATATATTCTTATAGAGATGAGGGTGTCACTATGTTGCTGGTATTAAACTCCTGGCCTCAAGTGTTCCTCCTGCTTTGGCCTCCCAAAGTGCTGGGATTCCAGGTGTGTGCCTGGCTGCTTTGCATTCTTTAATGAGATGGCCAGTCTCATAAAAGCTATGGCCACAAGAGACAGGAGAGGCTCAGGAAAACAGAGTTTATTGTACTCTTGGATCCTAGGGACAGGAAGCATGCAGGGCCCCAAGGAAAAGACACAGGGTGGTCAAAGGGCAGAAGACAGAAGTGTGGGGAAGGTTTAGGCTACTGCTCTTTGGGGTGGGGGGTTTTGAAGGAAAGGCAAGGTAGGGTGGGGTTGAACCTTTAGTATTGACTAGTTTGAATAATTTCAGTGGCTTTGGGGTATAGGTTGGTCCCTAATTGACTGGGACCTGGCCCTGGGCGGAGGAATTTTGCCTCTGGGGGTGTGTAGGACAGATAGAGGGGGTGTGGCTCTGGGGCTGGTTCATTTGCATATCAAAGACATGCTTCTGGCTGAGCTCTTTGCTATCTCTAAGAACTGGCTAGCCCAGGGAGGGGCAGTCTCTCCCCAGCCAGAAAGGTTTATTTTATTTTATTTTGTTTTCTCGTAGAGATGGGATCTTGCTATGTTGCTCAGGCTGGTCTCGAACTCCTGGCCTCAAGCAATCCTCTTGCTTCAGCCTCCCAAAGTGTTGGGATCACAAGTGTGAGCCACTGCACCTGGCTGATAAAGGCTTTTTAGGGTTTGCATTCTTATTAATAAATTCATCCAGGCCAGGCGTGGTGGCTCACCCTGTAATCCCAGCACTTTGGGAGGCCAAGGCGAGTGGATCACCTGAGGTCAGGAGTTTGAGAGCAGCCTGGCCAACATGGTGAAACCCCATCTCTATTAAAAATACAAAATTTAGCCGGGCATGGTGGCAGGCGCCTGTAATCCCATCTACTCAGGAGGCTGAGGCAGGAAAATCACTTGAACCCAGGAAGCAGAGGTTACAGTGAGCCAAGATTGTGCCACTGCACTCCAGCCTGGGCAACAGAGAGAAACTCTCTCTCAAAAAATAATAAATAAATACATAAATAAATTTATCCAAATCCAAAATTATATTTCTTCCATCCTGATCCCACTCTTTCAAGATCTATTCCCCTACCTATTCCCTGAGTTTCAGTCAGTATAAATCAGCATTTGAGGATCTTGGTAAAATATAAAAGGAATTGTTTGTACTATTCTTATAACTTTGCTGTAAATATGAAACTATGTCAAAAAAAAAACATGAAGCAATGTATACATTGACAAACTCTCAATATTCTTTTGGTTTGTATGGTATTTCCTCATGAGTCACCCTGGGGCCTGCTATGACTTGAATCTCTGAGCTTACAGATCTAAAAGAGGTGGAAGGGTTAGGTTCCTAGGAGGATCACAGTCCCCTGAAAGGCCACTAGCTCTGGGGAGGTCATCCCAGGTTCTTTAGGTAAGGGAAGATTAACTGCAGATAGAGAAGAAGGTCACTTTTTTTTGGCTAAGGAGGGTTAGCTGAATTTAGGGTTTAAGGCAGGGGTGTCCAATCTTTTGGCTTCCCTGGGGCACATTGAAAGAATTGTCTTGGGCCACACTTAAAATACACTAACAATAGCTGATGAGCTAAAAAAAAAAAAAGAAAAAGAAAAAGAAAGAAAAAGATCACAAAAAACCTCATAATGTTTTTTATTGTTGTTGTTGTGGTTTTTGTTTTTTGTTTTTGTTTTTTCTTTTGAGGCACAGTTTTACTCTTGTTGCCCAGGCTGGAATGCAGTGGTGCTGTCTTGGCTCACTGCAACCTCAGCCTCCCGGGTTCAAGCGATTCTCCTGCCTCAGCCTCCCAAGTAGCTGGGATCACAGGCGACCGCCACCACGCCTGGCTAATTTTTGTATTTTTAGTGGAGAGAGGGTTTCACCATGTTGGCCAGGCTAGTCTCGAACTCCTGACCTTAGGTGATCCACCCGCCTCGGCCTCCCAAAGTGCTGTGATTACAGGTGTGACCCACTGCGCCTGGCCAAAGCTCATAATGAAAGTTTATGGCCGAGTGTGGTGGCTCAAGCCTATAATCCCAGGACTTTGGGAGGTTGAGGCGGGTGATCACCTGAGGTCAGGAGTTCGAGATCAGCCTGGCCAACATGGTGAAACCCCATATCTACTAAAAATACAAAAAAAATAGCTGGGTGTGGTGGTGCGTGCCTGTAATCCCATCTACTCAGGAGGCTGAGGCAGGAAAATCACTTGCACCTAAGAAGCAGAGGTTGCAGTGAGCCAAGATCGTGCCACTGCACTCCAGCCTGGGTGACAGAGGGAGACTCTGTCCAAAAAAAAAAAAAAAAAAAAGAAAGTTTATGAATTTGTGTTGGGCACATTCAAAGCCATCCTGGGCCACATGCAGCCTGCAGGGCCACAGGTTGGTCAAGCTTGGTTTAAGGTCTTTGACCTCATAGGAATCCATCCGTATGTCTGTATCCTAAGACTCAGGGTCTTACTCCTTTCCAATCAATGTCTTATTTTGAACATAAGACACCCTGGTAGGTTATGAATTCACTTTGCGTTGAAATTCAGTCTGCTGCAAGTGGACACTTAGTGTTTGGTGATCAGAAATCTTGACCTTGAGGCTATCAGAGATGAGAGTTTTTTTTAAAGGCAGTCTTCAAGTTTTTTGGTCCATTTTCCAGAACTTGAGATGGAAATTTAAAGCCTTTAGCTCATCATTTTCTTTCTCCAAACTTTCCCCATATGTAGAAGCAACCAACATTCCTCATTACATTCCTATTTCTACTAAAATGTTCTACAGCAGCAAATATTTGGCTACCCAAAGCTTTGCCGTCTATAAGCATGTATCACAAGTGATTACAGGTAGAGTTTAAGAATTTAAGTTTACTGCTGGCAACAATCATGAATGCACTTAAGTTTAATCAGGTCAGAGAACCAGTTTCCAATTCCTATCCTTAATGATCTGTCCCCTGAAACCACGGCCAGTACCAGTAAGTGTATCAGTCAGGGAGGTAGAACCTTCATGAATGATGAGATAAGGAATTTATTATGGGAACTATGCTTTACACAATTGTAGAAGAAGCTGGGGAAAGGAAAGACCAAGAGGTTAGTCAGAGAATCAAAAGAGGAGTCACCAATGTGGGGAGGGAAGTGCATCTGGCCACTGACATGGGGCTGTGATGAGAAGGCTCCTGGAGAGCCATCTGGGCAGCCGCCACCTCTGTGGATCCATCACCAAGTGTCTGGTGGTCACTGGTGGTCAACAGGGTCAGGAATTGGAAAGCATTTCTGGACACTGATCAGAGCAAAGCAAGGACAAGCTAGAGCTCACTAACACTTCTGTCACCACATCTAACCACAATGACATTTAGAGAATAATACTTGTGGCTAGGTGTGGTGGCCCACGCCTGTAATCCCAGCACTTTGGGAGGCTGAGGCGGGTGGATCACGAGGTCAGAAGTTTGAGACCAGCCTGGCCAATTTGGTGAAACCTCATTTTTACTTAAAAAACAAAAATTAGCTGGGTGTTTTGGGGCATGCCTGTTGTCCCAGCTAATCGGGGGGGTTCATTTTTGCCTTTTTTTTTTTTTGAGACAGAGTCTCGCTGTGTCTCCCATGCTGGAGTGCAGTGGCATAGTCTTGGCTCACTGCAACCTCCACCTCCCAGGTTCAAGCGATTCTCCTGCCTCAGCCTCCCGAGTATCTGGGATTACAGGCGCCTGCCACCACACCTGGCTAATTTTTTGTATTTTTAGTAGAGATGGAGTTTCACCGTGTTGGCCAGGCTGGTCTCGAACTCCTGACCTGGTGATCCACTGCCTCAGCCTCCCAAAGTGCTGGGATTATAGGCCTGAGTCACCATGCTGGGATTACAGGCGTGAGCCACCATGCCCAGCCCTTAATGTTATTTTTATGTTTGATAACGGCATTGTGGTTATGTAAGATAATGTCATTCTTAGGAGTTGGGGTTTAAATATTTAGGGGTGAAACTTCAAATGGCTTTGCATTTGTTTATTTGTATTACATATCTAGTGAATACAACAAAATGTTCAATCGTTGAATCTAGGTGGTGGATCTGCAGATGTTTCAACCTTTCAGTTATGTTTGACATTTTTTAATAATAAAGTAACAGGGAAAATAAAAGACTCCTCTCGATTCTTACCTTCTCTGGAAGGCTTTCCTACCCACCTCCTGTTACTGCTTTAAAGTCTGTGCTGTCCATCCTTTTTCTTTCCAAGGTATAGCTCTGTGGCATATATCATACTGTACTTTAATTTCTTGTTTTCTGGTCTCTCTGTAAACTTTGAAGTCCTTAAAGGGCAACATGCTCTCTTTCATCTGTAACTGTCCAGCATTTATTCCTGTACCTGGCACAGGATTGGGTGACTCATTCATCCTCGTTCAGTCAAGAACAGAAGAAAGTCTAATTTAGGAATTTTCTTCAGGGCTACCAATTCAAGTGACTCCAAGAAGAGCAACGGTTTGAGGTTTTTAATTTTTGTTTCACATTATAGAAGTGATGCTTGCAAATTAAAATACTTTTAAAACAAACTAAAAAGTAGAGTTATTTCATTCCTGTCATATACACACTTGTTAGAGTTGAGTTTACCATGTATCCTTCCAGAACTATATCTATGCAATTATAAACACACACACGCAAAACACTACTATAAATGTTGTCTGGAGACTTACTTTTTAAAAATCTAATAATATATTATGGAGCTTACCATATTTGTATATAAATAGATCTGCATCATTCTTTACACAGGCTATGTAGTAATTGTATGGCTGTGCATTGATTTTGTTTCACTACTGCATTTGAATAAGCGTATAGGTAGAGAAGCAGTCTCTACATGAAATGGCTAACCCAGACAAAAAGGGATTTGGCAACCACTAGCCCAGACAAAAAGGGATTTAGCCTTGAACTGTGGGTACAAAGTCAGTGTAAACTGGCAAGGAAGGGAATTTACCAAACGTTTCAGCTTACAGAGTCCTGGTCTGTTCAAGAAACAAAATAGAGATCATGGAAGAGAAAGAACCAAGTATGAAATTGAATGGAGCCAACTGACAAGTGTGAGACCTGTAATCACCTAATTTGTGTATGCCGTTACCTTCCTACTATATGAGCATAGTCCCTGCACCCTGAGGCAGCCAAGACATGACACAGCCTCTAGGAACAAGTGAAAGTGGCAAGTGTATGGGCCCTGGTTCATCTTGGACGAGAAAGTCCCACTGGCTTCCCAATGACAACAGAAAGTTACCCAAGCAAGTGTGGGTGAAATCCCACTAATGTTTCTAGAGCCAGCCAGTCTCATCATGGGTGCCCCCACTGCTTTCGCTTTCCCCAGCCACTTCTTACGCACGAAAACACGCCTCTTCTGCTGGGAAGCCCTCCCTCCTTTCTGAGAGTCCTCACCCACCCCAACTATCCAATCTCATTTCCCTCTTAGTTTCTTTTCTTTCTTTCTTTCTTTTTTTCAGACAGAGTCTCTGTCACTCAGGATGGGATGCAGTGGCATAATCTCAGCTCTCTGTAACCTCCACCTCCTGGTTTGAAGTGATTCTCCTGCCTCAGCCTCCCGAGTAGTTAGGATTACAGGCGTGTCCCACCAAGCCTGGCTAACTTTTGTATTTTGGGTAGAGATGCGGTTTTACCATGTTAGCCAGACTGGTCTTGAATTCCTGGCCTCAAGTGATCCACCCTCCTTGGCCTCTGAAAGTGCTGGGATTACAAGCATGAGACACCACGCCCGGCCTTATTTCCCTCTTAGTTTCTTTTTCTTTTCTTTTTTTTTTTTTGAGACGGCGTTTCGCTCTTTTTGCCCAGGCTGGGTGCAATGGCACGATCTTGGCTCACCGCAACCTCCGCCTCCTGGGTTCAAGCGATTCTCCTGCCTCAGCCTCCCGAGTAACTGGGATCATAGGCATGCGCCACCACCCCAGCTAATTTTGTATTTTTAGTAGAGACGGGGTTTCTCCATGTTGGTCAGGCTGGTCTTGAACTCCTGACCTCAGGTGATCCACCTGCCTCGGCCTCCCAAAGTGCTGGGATTACAGGCGTGAGCCACTGCGCCCGGTTCCTTCTTAGTTTCTAATACCCATCCTGTTAGCTCAGACTGTTACTGTGTCAACAAAATGATGATGGAGCGCATTGAGACTATTAAAATGGGTTGTATAATCATTGCATGCCTATATCAAAACATCTCATGTATCCCATAAATATATACACCTACTATGTACCCACAAAAATTAAAATTAAAAATTTATTTAAACAATTAAAACTTTTTTTAAAAAAGAGTTGTAATATCCTGATGGTGTTGCCCACTCCAAAACATAGCATGAACCCATCCCTGTCAATTCGCCTTCACTGCCATGTCAGAAGTATGTGCTCATGGCCCTGTCTGCTGCTAAGCACAGGCATTTCTGCAAGTAAAATAAATAGTAATGAGTTTATATGCACAGTTTGCTTTATATAAATCCAATGAGTGGTGATCCAAGAAGTAACAAATTTTGGTAAATACAAAAATTGGGAATTTTAATCTGGGATTCTGTATAGTGTTAGGAGAGCTCAATGTTAGATTATTTGAATGCTAGTCAATAATGCTCATTGGCAATTTTTATTTTATTTATTTATTTATTTATTTATTTATTTATTTATTTATTTTTGAGATGGATCTTGCTCTGTCGCCCAGGCTGGAGTGCAGTGGCGCGATCTCGGCTCACTGCAAGCTCTGCCTCCTGGGTTCACGCCATTCTCCTGCCTCAGCCTCCCGAGTAGCTGGGACTACAGGCACCCGCCACCACGCCCGGCTAATTTTTTGTATTTTTAGTAGAGACGGGGTTTCACGGGGTTAGCCAGGATGGTCTCGATCTCTTGACCTTGTGATCCGCCCGCCTCAGCCTCCCAAAGGGCTGGGATTACAGGCGTGAGCCACCGCGCCCAGCCTGCATGTTTATGTTTTTTATTTTAAGAATGTTAACTTTTTTGGCTGGGCACAGTGACTCATGCCTTTAATTCCAGCACTTTGGGAGGGAGGTTGAGGCGGGAGAATCGCTCGAACCCACAAGGCAGAGGTTGCAGTGAGCTGAGATCGCAACACTGCACTCCAGCCTAGGTGACAGAGAGAGACCATGTCTCAAAAAAATTTAAAAATTAAAAAAAGTCTTTTTCTTTGACAATCTTGCATACTAACATTTAAAACATTAAATAAAGTGTTATGAAAATACGGAATAGTTTTTAATATCAAGAATTTCTGAGAATTCCTGGGAATTTCTATTTTATTCCCAAATCCTAAAAATTGGCCATAAAATGATAATTTGAAGCCATTGATGGGTATTTTGGGTGCTATAATATAACCGTGTCTATTCTCATATAAGTTAAAAAAAAGTTTTTTTTCAGTCGGAGTCTCACTCTGTTGCCCAGGCTGGAGTGCAGTGGCACGATTTTGCCTCACTGCAACCTCTGCCCCCCTGCTTCATGTGATTCTCGTACCTCAGCCTCCTGAGTAGCTGGGATTACAGGTGCCTGCTGACACATCAGGCTAATTTTTTCATTTTTACTAGAGACAGGATTTCACCATGTTGGCCAGCTGGTTTCAAACTCCTGACCTCAACTGATTTGCCTGCCTTGGCCTCCCGAAGTGCTAGGGTTACAGGCATGAGCCACTGCCTATGTTTAAATTTTTCCAAACCAAAACTGGATCATTTGGGCTACATTCCTGCACAAACTACTTTGATGACTTTCTAGCACCCCTAGGATAAAAGCCAACCTCTTTGTGCCCTTTAAAGCTTGCATAATTTTGACCTGTTCACCCTCCAGCTCCAACTCTCACTCTCCTACTGCTTTCCAGTGACATCAGCCTTCTCTCAGTTCCTCAAACTCATCACTTTCCTGACTCAAGGTCTTTGCCCATGCTGTTTACTCTGCTCAGAATATTTTTCAGCCCAGCACTTTGGGAGGCTGAGGCAGGTGGATCACATGAGGCCAGGAGTTTGAGACCAGCCTGGCCAATATGGTGAAACCCTGTCTCTACTAAAAATAAAAAAATTAGCTGGGTATGGTGATGCATGCCTGTAATCTCAGCTACTCAGAAGGCTGAGGCGGGAGAATCACTTGAAGCTGGGAGGTGGAGATTGCAGTGAGCCGAGATCGAGCCATTGCACTCCAGCCTGGGCGACAGAGCGAGACTCCATTGCAGAAAAAAAAAAAAAAACTCTTGGTCGGGCGTGGTGGCTCATGCCTGTAATCCCAGCACTTTGGGAGGCCTAGGCGGGTGGATCACAAGGTCAAGAGTTCAAGACCAGCCTGGCCAATATGGTGAAACCCCGTTTTTACTAAAAATACAAAAATTAGCCAGGCGTGGTGACGTGTGCCTGTAATCTCAGCTACTTGGGAGGCTGAGGCAGGAGAATTGCTTGAACCCAGGAGGTGGAGGTTGCAGTGAGCTGAAATCGTGCCATTGCACTCCAGCCTGGGCAACAGAGCGAGACTCTGTCTCAAAAAAAAGAATACTCTTTCTGCTACTACTTCCCTGGCTAACTCTTACTTATCTTTATTTTATTTTATTATTTATTTATTTATTTATTTTTGAGACGGAATCTCACTCTGTCGCCCAGGCTGGAGTGCAGTGGTGCGATCTTGGCTCACTGCAACCTCTGCCTCTCGAGTTCAAGCAATTCTTTTGCCTCAGCCTCCCGAGTAGCTGGGACTGCAGGCATGCACCACCAGGCCCGGCTATTTTTTTTTTATTTTTTATTTTTAGTAGAGATAGGGTTTCACCATATTGGCCAGGCGAGTCTCAAACTCCTGACCTCATGATCCACCCACCTCGGCCTCCCAAAGTGCTGGGATTGCAGGTTTGAGCCACCACGCCCGGCCTCTTACTTATCTTTAAATAGGAGTTCCTCTTAAAGGCTTTCCTTAGACCAACCTTCTGCCTGCTGCCAAATCTAAATCAGATCTTCCTGTGAAACTCTCCCACCATTCTACCATCCTTCATACCCCTTCTCACAGTTTATAGTGGTATATTTATTCACGTGCTTATTGGTTTAACAATTGTCCCTCACTACATTGTAAGGGAAGGGGGGATGTCCTTTTGGTTCACCCCTATTGTATCTATCTACACTCTTAGCACAATGCTGGGTACGAAATTGGCCCTCGGTAACTACTAGTGTAAACAATCTGACTGTGCAAGGGAGACAGATACTTTGACAAGAAGGAAATAAAGTTCAGCAAAATTGCTCTTAGTGAATATGTGACAGCTCTCAGAACCACCAAATTTTTTTTGTGTTGCCCACAAATTCCATTCTAGAATTTCACTTAAGATCAACATTGGCCGGGCGCGGTGGCTCACGCCTGTAATCCCAGAACTTTGGGAGGCCGAGGCGGGCGGATCACGAGGTCAGGAGATCGAGACCATCCCGGCTAAAACGGTGAAACCCCGTCTCTACTGAAAATACAAAAAATTAGCCGGGCGTAGTGGCGGGCGCCTGTAGTCCCAGCTACTTGGGAGGCTGAGGCAGGAGAATGGCGTGAACCCGGGAGGCGGAGCTTGCAGTGAGCCGAGATCCCGCCACTGCACTCCAGCCTGGGCGACAGAGCGAGACTCCGTCTCAAAAAAAAAAAAAAAAAAAAAAAAAAGATCAACATTGAGCTTGCCATTTGTCATTTCTGGAGTCTACCTCTCTCATTCTTCTTATTCTTTTTTTCTGAGACAGGGTCTCACTATGTCACCCAGGCTGGAGTACAGTGATACGAACATGGCTTACTGCAGCCTTGACCTCCGGGTTCAATCAATCCTCATGCCTCAGCCTCCCATGTAGCTGGGACCACAGATGCCCACCACCACACCTGGCTAATTTTTTTTTTTTTTTTTTTTTTTTTTTTTTGTAGAGAAGGGGTTTTGCCATATTGCCCAGGCTGGTCTCAAATTCCTGGGCTCAAGCGATCTGCCCACTTCAGCCTCCCAAAGTGCTGGGGTTACAGTGTGTGCCATTGCGCCTGGCCCCTTTCTTCTTTTTTGTTTTATTTTGTTTTGCTTTTTTCAGACAGAGTCTCACTCTGTCACCCAGGCTGGAGTGCAGTGGCATGATCTTGGCTTCCTGAAACCCCTGCCTCCTGGGCTTAAGCAATTCTTGAGCCTCAGCCTCCCAAGTAGCTGGGATTACAGGTGCATGCCACCACGCCTGGCTAATTTTTGTATTTTTAGTGGAGACGGGGTTTCATCATGTTAGTCAGGCTGGTCTCGAACTCCTGACCTCAAATGATCCACCCGCCTTGGCCTCCCAAAGTGCTGGGATTACAGGCATAAGCCGCTGCGCCTGGCCCCTTTCTTCTTCTTCTTCTTCTTTTTTTTTTTTTTTTTTGGATTGGAGATAGAGTCTAGCTCTGTCGCCCAGGCTGGAGTGCAGTGGCACGATCTTGGCTCACTGCAACCTTTGCCTCCTGGGTTCAAGCAATTCTCCTGCCTCAGCCCCCGGAGTAGCTGGGATTACAGGTGCCCGCCAGAACGCCCGGCTAATTTTTTGTATTTTTAGTAGAGACGGGGTTTCACCGTGTTAGCCAGGACGGTCTTCATCTCCTCACCTCGTGATCCCCCCGCCTTGGCCTCCCAAAGTGCTGGGATTACAGGCCTGAGCCACAGCGCCCGGCCTAGCCCCTTTCTTCTTAACAACGTTAAATAAAAAACTGATCCTCTAAGGCTGGCAACGGAGGGAAAAAGCAGCTCAGGAGAATTAACAGGCGTAGCAGCCAATTGCTATGTGTGGAACTGATTTGCCTAGAATTCCATGGTTTTTTGTTGTTGTTGTTGTTGTTTGGCTAGTCAAGTGAAGCAGTAGGGAGTGGAGAAGGAATAAATAAATCTGTGACTGGTTGTGATAAATTAGTTGTAACACCACTGCACTTGGACCATCTCCAGGCTGGCGTGCAGCGGCAAGATCTTGGCTCACTGCAAGCTCCGCCTCCTGGGTTCACGCCATTCAGCTGCCTCAGCCTCCCGAGTAGCTGGGACTAAAGGCCCTTGCCACCATGCCCAGCTAGTTTTTGTATTTTTAGTAGAGACAGGGTTTCACCGTGTTAGCCAGGATGGTCTCAATCTCCTGACCTAGTGATCCGCCTGCCTCGGCCTCCCAAAGTGCTGGAATTACAGGCGTGAGCCACCACGCTAGGCCCTGTAGTTTATATTTAATGTGTTTATTTTTAGAGACAGAGTCTTGCTTTGTCACCCAGGCTGGAGTGTAGTGGCAGGATCAGGGCTCACTGCAGCCTGGAACTCCTGGGCCCAAATGATCTTCCTACTTCAGCCTCCTGAGTAGCTGGGATGACAGGATTGCAACACCATGCCTGGCTAACTTTTTACTTTTTAAAGAGATGGGGTCTCACTATGTTGCCCAGGATGGTGTCAAACTCCTGGACTCAAGCAATTCTCCTGCCTCAGCCTCCCAAGGTACTGAGCTTATAGGTGTCAGCCACCGTGCCTGGCAGCCCCAAGTTTTGACTCTTATCCCAAGATTTAGTTTTTGGTCCAAGTAAAAGAGGGCACTTCGTTATTGTTTCTACAGACATTGAAAAGATAATAGAACATTATGAACAACTTTTTATCAATATAAATTTAACAACATAAATGAAATGAATAAATTCCTGGAAGGACACAAATGACCACACTGACTCAAGAAGAAATAAAATATCTGAGTAGTCCTATATCAATTAAATAAACTGGATTTGAAATTTAAAATCTTAGGCCCTGGTGAGTTAATTGTTAACAAAATATTAGCAAATTGAACTCAGCAATATGTAAAAAGGATAACACAGCCTTCCAAAGTGAGTTTATTCTAGGAATGCAAGCTGGGTTTAACATTTGAAAATCAATTAACGTAATTCGCCATGTTAATAGAATAAAGGAGAAAAACCATATGATTATCTCAGATGCATAAAAAACATTTAACCAAATTCAAAACCAAAATTTGTAACAATAACAATGAAAACCTCCCAAAACCCAAACTTTCACCAAGACTTTTTTGCCCACGATTCACCTTGTACCCTTACTTCCCCACTTTCTACTGTGCACCAGGGATCTCTCTCCGTGGTCAACCCTGGAGGAGTCAACACTCAACCTTAAACAAATATTTGGGGCCTGTTAGGAGCTGAGGGTACTGTCGTGAATACACAGATGAGGTCCCTACCTTTTAGAATTTATCTTCTTGGAAATAGGCTTGATTTTATTAAGGGTTCTGGAAGGACTCCTTTCACTTTCATTCTATCCATACCACTTTAAAAAAATCTGTGGGTGGTTTTCTGAGCTTCATTCTGTTGAGCAATGAGACTCGTGGTCTGGTTGTTGGACTTTTCTAGCAGCACGGCCCTGAAATGCCAGTCTCTACTACTGCCTCAAAAGAAGAAACCAAGTCTGCCTTGTGCTCTGAGACCAGAGAAGACATCCATCTCTCTGGGCTTGCAGAAGAAGACAGAAAAAAACCAGCGGAAGCAACTGAACTTATTGATAAAGTACAAAATGAAATAGACTTAATGAACAAGCCAGTGAGGAGATTTTGAAGCTAGAAAAAGAAATATGGCAAACTCCGCCAACCATTTTTTCCAAAGAGATCAGAGTTGATTGCCAAAATCCCAAATTTTGGGGTAACAATATTTGTCAACCATCCACAAGTGTTTACACTGCTTAGGGAGGAGGATAAAGAGGCACTGCATTATTTGACCAGAGTTGAATTGACAGAATATGAAGATATTTATTAGATTACAGAATAGATGTTTGTTTTGATGAAAATTCTTACTATGAAAATAAAGTTCTCCAAAGAATTTCACCTGAATGAGAGTGGTGATCCATCTTCAAAGTCCACTGCAATCAAATGGAAATCTGGAGGGGATTTGATAAAGCATTCAAGTCAGACACAGAATACAGCCAGAGTGAGGAATTGGAGAGCTTTTTTACCTGGTTCACTGATCATTCTGATGCGGGTGCTGGAGAGTTAGGAGAGGTCATCAAAGATGATATTTGGCCAAACTCATTACAGCTCTACTTGGTTCCTGATACGGATGATAAAGAAAAAGAAGAAGATGATGATGATGAAGGGTTGGAAGATACTGACAAAGGAGAGGAGGATGAAAGAGGAGATGGCTAATAGAACACTGATGGATTCCAACCTTCCTTTTAAAAAATGTTCCCCATTTTCTGGGATCAAGTTGCGGTCTTTTTGTTTTTTCCCTCTTGTGCCCAGTCACACTGTTCCTGAGGTTTCTTTTATTTATACCATGGGTGTTATTTTGGGGGGATGCACCTTGAGCAGAACAGAGTGGGAAAAGAGTCTATCCCTTTCCATCCCAAATTCATTTTTATCCCTTCCTGTCTGAACAAAAACTGTACGGAATCAACACCACCAAGCTCTGTGGAAGAAAAGAAAAACCTACTTCCTTCGCTCTGCTGGAAGCTCGGGGGTGCTAGGCCCCTATGTAGTTATGCTTAGAATTCTTGCTTTTTTCCTCCTTTCTCTGTGTATTGGGCTCAGAGAGTTCACTGTGTCTCTATGTGAACATGGACAGTTAGCATTTACCAACATGTATCCATCTACTTTCTCTTGTTTAAAAAAAGGAAAAAAAGGCCAGGAGAAGGGAGTTAAATGTGAATTGAGACTGGGCGCGGTGGCTCACATCTGTAATTCCGGCACTTTGGGAGGCTAAGGTGGGTGGATCACTTGAGGTCAGGAGTTTGAGACCAGCCTGGCCAAAATGGTGAAACCCTGTCTCTACTAAAAATACAAAAATTAGCCGGGCATGGTGGCGGATGCTTGTAATCCCTGCTACACAGGAGGCTCGGGCAGGAGAATCATTTAAACCTGGGAGGTGGAGGTTGCAATGAGCCGAGATTGTGCCACTGCACTCCAGCCTGGGGAAAAGAGTGAGACTGTATCTCATTAAAAAAAAAGGGAGAAAAAAACCTTTAAAAAACAGGGTTATAGAAAATCAGCAAAGGGAGAATTTGAGATATTTCGGTGGGTTAAGTAGGCATTTTGACAACATGGCTTCTCCTTTGGCATATTTAATGATATTGTTTAACAGACATTGTTAAGATAACACTTTTATTTTGAGATGGAGTTTCACTGTGTCGCCCAGGCTGGAGTGCAGTGACATGATATCAGCTCACTGCAACCTCTGCCTCTTGGGTTCAAGTGATTCTCCTGCCTCAACCTCCTGAGTAGCTGGCTGGCATTACAGGCATGCACAACCATGCCAGGCTAATTTTTGATTTTTTTTTTTTTTTTGAGACGGAGTCTCACTCTGTCACCAGGCTAGGGTGCACTGGCACAACCTTGGCTCACTGCAACCTCCACCTCCCGGGTTCAAGCTATTCTCCCGCCTCAGCCTCCCCAGTAGCTGGGACTATAGGCGCATGCCACGCCCAGCTAATTTTTGTATTTTTAGTAGAGATCACCAACTTGGCCAGGCTGGTCTCGAACTCCTGACCTCAGATAATCTGCCCACCTTGGCCTCCCAAAGTGCTAGGATTACAAGCGTGAGCCACGACGCCTGGCCAAGATAACACTTTTAAAATAAAGTTTTACATTTATTTATTTATTTAGAGATGGAGTCTCACTCTGTCGCCCAGGCTGGAGTGCAGTGATGTGATCTCAGTTCATTGCAACCTCCGTCTCCTGAGTTCAAGCTATTCTTCTGCCTCAGCCTCCCGAGTAGCTGGGACTACAGGCATGTGTCACCACGCCTGGCTAATTTTTGTATTTTTAGTAGAGACGGAGTTTCACCATATTGGCCAGGCTGGTCTCAAACTCCTGACCTCATGATCCACCTGCCTCGGCCTCCCAAAGTGCTGGGATTACAAGTGTGAGCCACCGTGCCTGGCCTACTTACTTCTTTTTTTGATACAAGATCTTGCTCTGTCACCTAGGCTAGAGTGCAATAAGGCAATCACAGCTCACTGAAGCCTCAACCTCCCAGGCTCAATCCATCCTCCAACCTCAGCCTCCCTAGTAGCTGGGAGTACAGGTGTGTGCCACCATGCCTGGCTAATTTTTGTATTTTTTGTAGAGATGGAGTTTCACCATGTTGCCCAGGCTGATCTCAAACCCCTGAACTCAAGCCATCTTCCAGCTGGGGCCTCCCAAAGGGCTGGGATTACAGCAGGTAGCCACAACCCCTGGCCCAGATGCTCAGTTTTAAACGTTAAAAATGTACAAGTTGCCTTGTGGCCAGGCGCAGTGGCTCACACCTGCAATCCCAGCACTTTGGGAGGCCAAGGAGGGTGGATTAACTGAGGTCAGGAGTTTGGGACCAGCTTGGCCAACATGGCGAAATCCTGTCTCTACTAAAAATAAAAATAAAAATAAAAATAAATTGGCCAGGTGTGGTGGCGTGCACCTGCAGTCCCAGCTACTGGGGAGGCTGAGGCAGTAGAATCACTTGAACCCGGGAGGCAAAGGCTGCAGTGAGCTGAGATCATGCCACTGCACTCCAGCCAGGGCAACAGAGTGAGACTGTCTCAAAAACAAAAACAAAAACAAAACAAAACAAAAATGTACAAGTTGGTTTGTTACAATAAAACTAAACATATACAAACACACAAAATAAATAAATCCACGTTTGGGGGCTGGGTGCGGTGGCTGATGCTTGTAATCCCAGCACTTTGGGAGGCCGAAGTGGGTGGATCATGAGGTCAAGAGATCGAGACCATTCTGGCCAAAATGGTGAAACCCCCATCTCTACTAAAATTACAAAAATTAGCTGGACGTGGTGGCACATGCCTGTAGTCCCAGCTACTCGGGAGGCTGAGGCAGGAGAATCGCTTGAACCTGGGAGGCAGAGGTTGCAGTAAGTCGGGATCATGCCACTGGACTCCATCCTGGGGGACAGAGTGAGACTCCATCTCAAAAAAAAAAAAATCCATGTGTACTTGTCTCCAAAACTTTTCTTCTCTCACCCAATTCTCCATAATTTCTCATAAATTAGTTTAAATAATTACTACACCTACAAGTTCTTTCAGTGCCCTAGGAGGTAATTTATCTGGGCCCAAGAGTCTTGAACTCCTTGAAATACACAGAGGCTCACTTACTATCTTTCCCACACTTTGGGCTTCAGTTTACATTTAACTCCTTTCTCCTGGCTCCATGTGCCCAAGCACTAGATTAATATCTTACCTACTTGCTCTAAACTATGAAATCCAGCTTCATTGAAGTAGAATTCACATATTATTTAAGTTTGTTTTTTTTTTTTTCTGAGACAGCATGTCACTCTGTCTCCCAGGCTGGAGTGCAGTGGTACGGTCAAAGCTCACTGCAGCCTCAATCACCTGGGCTCAAGCAATCCTCCTGCCTCCTTCCAAGTAGCTGGGACTACAGATGCATACACTATCATGCACAGCTAATTTTGTTTTTTTAGTAGAGATGGGGTCTCACTACGTTGCCTAGGCTGGTCTCAAACTCCTGGGCTCAAGTGATTCTCCCACCTCAGCCTCCCCAACTGCTGGGCTTACAGGCATGAGACACTGTGCCTGGTCCATCACATATCATTTAAAGAATACACATACTTGGCTGGGCGCGGTGGCTCATGCCTGTAATCCCAGCACGTTGGGAGGCCGAGGCAGGTGGATCACGAGGTCAGGAGATCAAGACCATCCTGGCTAACATGGTGAAACCCTGTCTCTACTAAAAATACAAAAAATTAGCCGGGCGTGGTGGCAGGTGCCTGCAGTCCCAGATACTTGGGAGGCTGAGGCAGGAGAATGGCGTGAACCCGGGAGGCGGAGCTTGCAGTGAGCAGAGATCTCACCACTGCACTCCAGCCTGAGCGACAGAGTGAGACTCCGTCTCAAAGAAAAAAAAAAGAATACACATATTCAAGTGTACAATTCAATCTTTTTTTTTTTTTTTTTTTTTTTGAGACAGAGTCTTTCTTGTTGCCCAGACTGGAGCACAATGGCGTGATCACAGCTCACTGAAACCTCCGCCTCCCAGATTCAAGTGATTCTCCCACCTCAGCCTCCCAAGTAGCTGGGACTACAGGCACCCACCATCATGCCCGGCTAATTTTTGTGTTTTTAGTAGAGACGGGGTTTCACCATGTTGGCCAGGCTGGTCTTGAACTGCTGACCTCAGGTGATCCACCCGCCTCAGCCTCCCAAAGTGCTGGGATTACAGGCATGAGCCACTGCACCCAGCGATCATTAACTTTTTTTTTTTTTTGAGGCAGTGTCTCACTCTGTCGCCCAGGCTGGAGTGCAGTGGCAAGATCTCAGCTCACTGCAACCTCCACATCCTGGTTCAAGCAATTCTCCCACCTCAGCTTCCTGAGTAGTTGGGGCTTCAGGTGTGCACCATCACACCTGGCTAATTTTTTTGTATTTTTTGGTAGAGACAGGATTTCGCCATTTTGGTCAGGCTGGTCTTGAACTCCTCAGGTGATCTGACCTCCTCAGCCTCCCAAAGTGTTGGGATTACAGGTGTGAGCCACCGTGCTAGACCTCAATCTTTTTTAGTATATTTACAAGCCTGTGGAACCATCACTACCATCTAATTTTAGAACATTTTCATACTCCATTAGCAGTCAATCCTAAACACTTTTGAAGTGTTTAAAGGACAGTGTCTTTTTATTTTTTATTTTTTTTTGAGACAGAGTCTCACTCTGTCACCCAGGCTGGAGTGCAGTGGCACGATCTCGGCTCACTGCAAGCTCTGCCTCCCGGGTTCATGCCGTTCTGCTGCCTCATTCTCCAGAGTAGCTGGGACTACAGGTGCCTGCCAGCACGTCTGGCTAATTTTTTGTATTTTTAGTAGAGACAGGGTTTCACCATGTTAGCCAGGATGGTCGCAATCTCCTGACCTTGTGATCTGCCCGCCTCAGCCTCCCAAAGTGCTGGGATTACAGGCGTGAGCCACCGCGACCGGCCTAAAGGACAGTGTTCTTTATTACAGTCTTTAGTTGTTTCTCTTTTTAGTCTAAAGAGGGCTTCGCCCTCCTGAGAATTGCTCCTATGACTGGTACACACATGCTCTGCTATTTGTCTTTGAACTTGCCCTTCTGTTTTCTTTCTTTATTTTCTTTTTGATTTATTTATTTATTTTATTATTATTTTTTGAGACACAGTCTCGCTCTGTCACCCAGGCTGGAGTGTAGTGGTGCAATCTTGGCTCACCGCAACCTTCGCCTCCTGGGCTCAAGTGATCCTCCCACCTCAGCCTCCCACATAGCTGGGATTACAGGCGCATGCCACCACACTTGGCTAATTTTTGTATTCTTAGTAGAGATGGGGTTTCACCATGTTGGCCAGGCTGGTCTCCAACTCCCGACCTCAGATGATCTGCCTGCCTTGGCCTCCCAAAGTGCTGGGATTACAGGAGTAAACCACCGTGCCTAGCCCTTCTTTTTGATTAAAAAAATTGTTTTGTTTGTTTGTTTGTTTTTTAGTAGAGACAAGGTTTCACCATGTTGCCCAGCTGGTCTCAAACTCCTGGGCTTAAGTGATCTGCCTGCCTTGGCCTCCCAAAGTATTAAAAAAAATTTTTTTATAGCGATGGGGTCTTCATATGTTGCCCAGGCTGTTCTCAAAGTCTCAAGTGATCCTCCCATCTTAGCCTCCAAAAATGCCGGGATTACAGGAATGAGCCACCATGCCAGGCCTGCCCTTCTGTTTTCTTCTTTTTTACTATATATTTTTTCAATTTATTTATTTATTTAAAAAATGTAGAGACAGGGTGTCACTCTGTCGCCCAGGCTAGTGCTATAGACGTGTGCCACCACACCCAGCTAAATTTTTTGTATTCTTTATAGAGACAGGCCATGTTTCCCAGGCTAGTCTCAAACTCCTGGACTCAAGTGATCTGCCTGCCTCGACCTCCCAAAGTGCTGGGATTACAGGTATGAGCCACTGCGCCCAGCCGTGAGCCACCTGTTTTCTCTTTGCCCTTAGGACCATAGTGGATGGTCATAGTGGGTGTTGTCTCCACAATATCCATTTCACTCTCCCTCAACTGTGTAGCAGCATGTACAGTTGGAGCTCCAACTGCTGGGGAAGGAGGTTTTGACTGTACCACACCTAAAGTCTTTATTTCCTCTATACTTTTCAGTTAAATGAGCCAATACATTTCCTTTATTCTTTAAGTCCATTTGTGGTGTGTTTTTGTTAAATTGATACAGCATCCTACTTAGGAGTCATTCATTTGTTTTTTTTGTTTATTTGTTTTTGTTTTTGTTTTTTGAGACAGAGTAAGACTCTGTCTCCCAGGCTGGCATGCAGTGGCATGGTCTTGGCTCACTGCAACCTCCACCTCCCAGGTTCAAGCAATTCTCCTGACTCAGCCTCCCGAGTAGCTGGGACTATAGGCACGTGCCACCACACCTGGCTAAGTTTTTGTATTTTTAGTAGAGACAGGGTTTCGCCATGTTGGCCAGGATGGTCTCGATCTCTTGACCTTGTGATCCGCCTGCCTTGGCCTCCCAAAGTGCTGGGATTACAGGCAGAAGCCACCACGTCTGGCCTCATTTGTTATTTTTTAACAGCTTTATTGAGACGTAGTTTACATACCATGCAATGTACCCATTTAAAGTACACATACAGGCTGGGTGTGGTGGCTCATGCCTATAATCCCGCACTTTGAGAGGCGGAAGTGGGGCAATCACTTGAGCCCTGGAGTTGGAGACCAGACTGTGCAACACAGAGAGACCTCATTTCTTAACAAAATTAGCCAGGTATGGTGGCGCATGCCTGTGTCTCAGCTACTTGGGAGGCTGAGGTGGGAGAATCCCTTGGGTCCAGGAGGTTGAAGCTTCAGTGAGTTGTGATGGTACCACTGCACTCCAGCCTGTATGTGCCTGGGTGACAAAGTGAGACCCTGTCACAAAACAAAACAAAATAAAACAAAAACAAAACAAAACAACAAACAAACAAGAAAATCCCAAACAACCCAAGATGGGGTACATACAAAACGGTTTTTTAGTTTATTTACAGAGCTGTGCAACCACGGAAGCAGGCAGATCACTTGAGCCCAGAAGTTTGAGACCAGCCTGGGCAACATGATGAAACATTGTCTCTACCAAAAAAATCACTACAATTAATTTTAGGATATTTTCCTCACCCCAAAAAGGAGCCCTATACTCATTAGCAGTCACTTTCCATTTCTACCCATGTTGAGCTCCTGACTTCCAGAACTGTAAGATAATAAAGTGGTATTGGGTTAAGCCACTACATTTGTTACGGCAGCAATATTTATATATCTTCTTTGCAGAAATTTCTATTCAAATCTTTCCCCATTTTTTTTTCTTTCTTTTCTTTCTTTCTTTCTTTCTTTTTTTTTTTTTTGAGACGGAGTTTCGCTCTTGTTGCTCAGGCTGGAGTGGAATGGTGAGCTCGGATCACCACAACCTCTGCCTCCTGGGTTCAAGCGACTCTCCTACCTCAGCCTCCCAACGAGCTGGGATTACGGGCATGTGCCACCACGCCCAGCCAATTTTGTAGCTTTAGTAGAGATAGGGTTTCACCATGTTGGTCAGGGTGGTCTCAAACTCCCAACCTCAGGTGATCCACCCGCCTTGGCCTCCCAAAGGGCTGGGATTACAGGCCTGAGTCACTGAGACCGGACTTTTGCCCATTTTTCAATTGGATCATTTATCTTTTTATTGTTGAGTTGTTAGAGCTCTTTATTTATTTTGGATACAAGTCCCTTATCAGATATATGGTTTGCAAATATTTTCTCATATTCTGTGAGTTTTTTCACTTTCTTGTTTCTGTCTTTTGAAGCACAAAAGTATTTAATTTTGATGATGTCCAATTTATTTTTGTTGTTGTTTGGGTTTTTGGTGTCATATCTAAGAAGACTTTCTCTGACTTAAGATCATAAAGATTTACTCTCGTTTTCTTCTAAAAATTTCATAGTTTTAGCTTTTACATTTAGGTCTATGATCCACTTTAGTTAGTTTTTGTATGTGGTGTAAAGAAGGGGTCCAACTTTCTTCTTTTGCATGTAGATATCCAGTTGTCCCAGCACAATTTATTGAAAAGATGATTTTTTTCCTCACTGAATTGTCTGAGCACCCTTTTTGAAAATCAATTGACCATAAAGCTAACAGTTTATTTCTGAACTTTCTGGTCTGTTCCATACAGTACCATACAGACTTGATTACTGTAGCTGCTCATGATTTTTCAATAAAATTTAAAACATTTTTAAAAATTTTGCCAGGCATGGTGGCTCATGCCTATAATCTCAGTACTTTGGGAGGTTGAGGCGGGAAGATCATTTGAGGTCAGGAGTTCAAGACCAGCCCAACCAACATGGTGAAACCTCCTCTCTACTAAAAATACAAAAATTACCTGAGCGCAGTGGTGTGCACCTGTAATCCCAGCTACTAGGGAGGCTGAGGCAGGAGAATTGTTTGAGCCCCAGGAGGCAGAGTTTGCAGTGAGCCGAGATTGTGCCACTGCACTCCAGCCTGGGCGACAAAGTGAGACTCTGTCTCACAGATAAATAAATAATTTAAATTTTTTGTAGAGATAGAGTCTCACTATGCTACCCAGGCCCGTTTCAAACTCCTGAGCTCAAGCAATCCTCCTGCCTCGACCTCCTAAAGTGCTGAGATTATAGGCATGAGCCACTGCATCCTGCCTAAATACAATTTTTATTCTAAAGACAGTATATTATTATTACAGATAAATAAGAGGAAAAGGGAAGAAGAAAAAAATTACCAATTATTTCAAGACAACCATTGTTAACGAATTAATATGTTTTATCCCTTTCTTGTTTCTACGTTTTATTTTTTAACATAACTGAGATTAGAATGTACAGTCAGCTCTTTGTAACTGTGAGTTCTGCATCCTGGGATTCAACCAACTACAGATTGAAAATATTTGAAAAAGGAAAGGATGGCTGCATTTGTACTGAACATGCACAGGTTTTTTTGTCCTGTCATTATTTCCTAAACAATACAGTAAAACTACTATTCACATAGCATTTACATTGCATTAGGTATTATAAGTAACCTAGAGATGATTTAAAGTATATGGGAGGATGTCAGTAGGTTGCATGCAAATACTACATTATTTTATATTAGGAACTTGTGGCCAGGCACAGTGGCTCACGCCTGTAATACCAGCACTTTGGGAGACCGAGGCGGGGGGATCACCTGAGGTCAGCAGTTTGAGACCATCCTGGCCAACATGGTGAAACCCATCTCTACCAAAAATACAAAAATTAGCTGGGTGTGGTGGTACCTGCCTGTAATCCCAGCTACTCAGGAGGCTGAAGCAGGAGAATCGCTTGAACCCAGGAGGCAGAGGTTGCAGTGAGCCGAGATCGTGCCACTGCACTCCAGCCTGGGCGACAAGAGTGAAACTCTGTCTCAAAAAAAAAAAAAGCAACAACATAAAAAGAAGGAACTTGTATATTGTGGATTTTGGTATCTGTGGGGACAGGGGGAGTCCTAGAACCAATCTTCCACAGCTACTGAGGGATGACTGCAAATACAATTTTGTATTTTGCACCTTTTAATTAACATTGTAATAGGCCAGGCGCAGTGGCCCACAACACTTTGGGAGACCCAGGTGGGTGGATCACATGAGGCCAGGAGTTCGAGACCAGCTTGGCTAACATGGCAAAAACCCATCTCTACTAAAAATATTAAAAAATTAGCTGGGTGTGCTGGCACACACCTGTAATCCCAGTAGGGAGGCTGAGGCACAAGAATCATTTGAACTGGGGAGGCCAAGATTGCACCACTGCACCCCAGCCTGGATTGTAAAAAAAGCATTTTCTCGTGGTACTAGAAAACTTAACAAAGCATCTTTTTTTTTTTTTTTTTTTTGAGGTGCAGTCTCGCTCTGTCACCAGGCTGGAGTACAGTGGCGCGATCTCGGCTCACTGCAAGCTCCACCTCCCGGGTTCACGCCATTCTCCTGCCTCAGCCTCCCGAGTAGCTGGGACTGCAGGCACCCGCCACCACACCTGGCTAATTTTTTTTTATTTTTAGTAGAGACGGGGTTTCACCATGTTAGCCAGGATGGTCTCAATCTCCTGACCTCATGATCTGCCCGCCTCGGCCTCCCAAAGTACTGGGATTACAGGTGTGAGCCACCGCACCTGGCCCACAAAGCATCTTTCCCAACAGTTGCATTAGTGTTCTACTGTGAGAATATATTATCATTTATTTAACCAGTCTCATATTTTTTGATACTTAAGTTATTCCCATTTTTTCTTATAAATAACGCTGCATCATTGTGAATAAATTTGTGTTATGTTCTGGATAACTTTCTTAGGATAATTTAACAGGAATATGATTGATACGCATCACCAGATGGTTTCCCTAAAAGTGGCATCAATTTAGCCCACCACTAGCAGGGCATAAAGACAGCCACCACACTGCATGCTTGCCAATACTGGGTATTTTCTCACCACCCCCAACCCTTTTTTTTTTTTTTTTTTGAGATGGAGTCTTGCTCTGTTGCCCAGGCTGGAGCACAGTGGTGCAATCTCGGCTCACTGCAAACTTCGCCTCCCAGGTTCACGCAATTCTCTGCCTCAGCCTCCCAAGTAGCTGGGATTACAGGTGCCTGCCACCATGCCCAGCTAATTTTTTGTATTTTTAGTAGAGACGGAGTTTCACCACTTTGGCCAGGCTGGTCTCGAACTCCTGACCTCATGATCCACCCACCTTGGCCTCCCAAAGTGCTGGAATTATAGGCATGAGCCACTGCGCCAGGCCACACATTTTTAACTTTTGCAAATTTTATAGATGAAACGGTACCTGGTTCTTAAAATTTGCATTTCTTTTGTTATTAGTGAAGTTGAACATTTTCCCACGTGTCTTTTAGCCCAATATATTTCCTCTTTTGTGAACTGTTCAACTTCATTTATCTTTCAGCTGGGTCCTTGATCAATTTTGACTACTTTCCTTGGACCCTACCTTTCCTATCACTTCCCAACTCTTAACACATGGGAGTAATTCACTCAGAACATAAAGAAAGGAGCTTTCTAAATAATGAGAATATTTAAAAATATATAGACATCTGAAAAGGGACTTTTCTTCAGAAAGTGTAGAGATGAACAAATGGGGTCAGAGGAAATCTACCACCTCTGACAGGAATATTAGCCCTCTCTGACCTGCTCCAGCAGCCAGAAAAGTTGACAAATGTAGCCCTTCCTGGGCAAAGCACTTGAGAATTTCTGTATTTAAAAATCTCCAATTCTGGCTGGGCACGGTGGCTCACACCTGTAATCCCAGCACTTTGGGAGGCCAAGACAGGAAGATTACTTGTGTCCAGGAATTCAAGACCAGTCTGGACAACATGGCAAAGCCCTGTCTCTACAAAATATAAAAATATTAGCCGAGCATACTGGTGCATACCTGTGGTCCCAGCTACTCAGGAGGCTGAGGTAGGAGGATCGCTTGAGCCCAGGAGGTTGATGCTACAGTGAGCTGTGACTGTGCCACAGCACTCAGTCTGGGCAGCAGTGAGACCTTGTCACACACACACACACACACACACACACACACACACACACACAAACACAAAAAAACCCCTCTGAGTTCAAGTTCCCCATGTCTTACATATAATCTTGAATATCAGCTCCTCAGGATGATGATAAAGATCTAAGCGGTCTTGTATTTGGAAAAGACAAGAGAAGGAGGGGCCACTGTAAACGGGGAATGAGAAGCCATTATCTATTTATGTCCAAGGCTAAATTGATTGACTGATTTTTCATGTCATGAGTTTATTCACAAACATATCTAGTATGCTACATGAGTTCAAGAGTTTGATCCATTTTTCAAAGGGATTGCATCTCTTGAAACACTCTTCATGTCTGTTCAATGGATAAACTAAAACATTCTTATTTCTTAAGCAGTTGGTGTTTTACTTTAAAGAAGGGTGCCGCAGATCCCGATCCCAGTACAAAGTCATCATAATTAGTAACTGCCACGTGTTTTTCATTGAAAATGGCAAATTCTTCCCTGGGCCCTCCGCATAGTGGCTCCTGCAGACCACAGATGTTGTCAACCATCTAATGCTCCGTCCCCACATGGAGCTCTTGGAAGCTCCACCAAAGTTGCAGAGACCCAAGCCAGAAGCAATGGCGGCACCAAACCCACTTGTTCATACCAAGTCCTCCTTTGCTCAGGACCTTGTTCCCCTGTGTCTGAAAGAGTAAATGTAAACGGTATTAACACAGGTATGGGGTAGATATGAACAAGGACTAGCCAACTTTCAGGAGTTTGAACTTCTACACAGACAATTGTAAAGATCTATGTAGGACTCCTCAGTTATTTTGTAGGAAGAAATTGATAATTCCTTGATAATTGATAATGCCTTTTTTTTTTTTTGAGATGGAGTCCCACTCTGTTGCCCAGGCTGGAGGGCAGTGGCACGATCTCGGCTCCCTGCAACCTCTGCCTCCTGGGTTCAAGCAATTCTCCTGCCTCAGCCTCCCGAGTAGCTGGGAATACAGGTGCGTGCCACCACACCCGGCTAATTTTTTGTATTTTTAGTAGAGACGGAGTTTCACCACGTTGGCCAGGCTGGTCTTGAACTCCTGACCTTGGATGATTCACCTGCCTCAGCCTCCTAAAGGGCTGGGGTTACAGGCATGAGCCACTGCGCCTGGCCAATATCCTCTATCTTTAATAAGCATGTCCAAGCAAGAATGGGATGGCTAACTAATCTGAATTCCAGCCAGTCCATGGAAGGTGATGTAAGGTGAAAAAATATGATTTCACAGGGCCAGGCATCATCACATCACCGAGCTACTTGTGAATTAGATAAGCCTATTCGCATGAGGGGACTCTGAGCATGAGTGGGAATCCCACAAAAGTCAAGCTACAAGGTTGAAGGTAGAGGGGGAATACCAAACCGGAACCTGACATTTCATACTGCTTCCCTGACAGGTCCTTTCAAAGAAACAAGAACTGAAATGCAGGCTTAACTGGCATGCAAAACAGGCAGCTATTTCAGTCTGAATCATGAGCAGGGGCCACAGTGGGCTATCTGAAACTGAGGGGCAAAGGAAATCTGCACACCAAGGCCTGAGCTGCTTATGACAAATAATTGAAACTGTCCAGGCAACTGGTCCATTCCAAGCATTAGCTGTGCTGGGAGCTGAGCCATGAAGCAGAATTTTAGATTTTCTTTCTTGCTAGAGCCGTGCAACAATGATCCTTCCCCTCCACCCCTCCCCTCTTCCCCAATATTCCTGCATTCCCCTTGCCTGTCACAGGACTGCGGGGCAGTGGCCTCTTAGCATGGCTTTCCTTTGACTGCGGTGTTGCCACGTCACCTGGTGCTCGGCCCCTCCCCCGCCCTGGCACAGGGTCATAACAGCCTGCAGTGTTGCCAAGGAGCTGGCACCGTCCAGACCCAGTGCACAGGGATGGGCCTGAGATGGCCGGCCACGTCATCTGTCACCCAGGGTGTTTATGCACCCTGCAGTCCAGCAATGCCAGGATCTGCCAAGAATCTTCAGGTTTATTATGCTTTCTTTGGCCTTCAAGAACTGGATGGCTGGCCAGGCGCGGTGGCTCATGCCTGTAATCGCAGCACTTTGGGAGGCCGAGATGGGTGGATCACAAGTTCAGGAGTTTGAGACCAGCCTGGCCAATATAGTGAAACCCTGTCTCTACTAAAAAAACCACAAAAATTAGCCGGGTGTGGTAGTGGGCGCCTGTAGTCCCAGCTACTCAGGAGACTGAGGCAGGAGAATCGCTTGAACCCAGGAGGCGGAGGTTGCAGTGAGCTGAGATCGCGCCATTCTACTCCAGCCTGGGCAACAGAGTGAGACTCCATCTCAAA
Organism: Homo sapiens; assembly: GCF_000001405.40. Classification (NCBI taxonomy): domain Eukaryota; kingdom Metazoa; phylum Chordata; class Mammalia; order Primates; family Hominidae; genus Homo; species Homo sapiens. Next base: position 118,820,135 of record NC_000011.10, on the reverse strand, counting down.
ATAAAATAAAATAAATAAATAAAATAAAAAGCCTGGATGGCTATCATTAAAACAAGTCACAGAAAGCTCTGATGGAAATAATTTTCAGACTTCCCTCTTGAAATATACCTTTTCTGCCTTTTTCCTGCCAATTCATTTTCCTCTCTCCCTCATCTCCCCTTCTGAAAAGGCTTCCTTCACCCTAAGACCTACTCACGCAGGCTCCTAGTCCTCTGTTCCGTACATCAGAAAGGAAGTTTTCTTTCAAGGCCCAGCCGCCTCCTAATCAGGGAAGCTGAAGGAGTGCTTAGAGAAGGTAAATACATTGTGATATTATCTTAAGTTATATAAATGTCTTCGGTACCTAGTCGGCACCAAATGTATTTAGCTTAATTGAAATCAGATGCAAAAATACATGTCCTTGAGAGCCAAAGAAAATTTAATTTTTAAATTATTTATGCACACATAATTCTTAAAATCTCAGGCTCTAGACAGACCTAAGTTTAAATTGAGGCTTTAACAATTACTGGTTGTGACCTTTAACAACTCACCTCATTTCTCTGAACTGCCTCATTTATAAAATGAAGATTATAATAACAAGCCCCTTAGGGCTTTGAGAGGATTAAATGTGATACTCTATGTAAATGAGCCATTTATTCACACTTGTAAACAGTTAAGCCACATGCATCATTCTGAGTGTGTGTACATATTCTTTCATAAATTATCTCTTTTTTTTTTTTTTTTTTGAGACAGGGTCTCGCTCTGTCGCCCAGGCTAATCACAGCTTACTGTAGCCTTGACTTCTCAGGCTCAAGAAATCATCCCGCTTCAGCCTCATGAATAGCTGGGAAGTGCAGGTGCATGACACCATGCATGGCTAAATTTTTTATTTTTAATGGAAATGAGGTCTCACCATGTTGCCCAGGCTGGTCTCAAACTCCTGGCCTCAAGTGATCCTCCCAACTCGGCCTCCCAAAGTGCTGGGATTACAGGCTTGAGCCACCGTGCTTGGCCTATGTCTACTGTTTGACCAGGATCTCTATAAGGGCAGTGCCAGGCTGACTGTCTGAGGGAGTGGGGTTGTCCAGCCTATTGATCCTCCATGTATAATCCCAAGAGAGCTCCAATATAGTCTCATGGTATTTGGGGTAGACTCAGGAGAAAGGCCTGGATCATTGAATTTGAGACACAGCATAATGAACCAACTATGCTACATCAGGTCATGATAGATAGTTGCTAAGTTTTAGGAAACTGATTCATTTATTTATTCATTCATTTATCCAAACATTTATTGAGCATCTGTTATGTCTGAGGCTATAATGTTGAAGAATGTACAAGGTCCCTTTCCTCTTAAGCTTACAGTTTAATTGTTTAACCTAAATAAATAATGAGGCAATTTAATTCATATTTGTTGGAAAACAATTCAGTTCAACTATGTAAAGGAACACTGTGTTTTATTAAAACAGAATTAGAACCCCCAAAGCTTAGCTCTTGAAAGAGAATATCTTACAGGAAGAACTGGCTGGCCAAACAGTCCTGAATCTGTCCCAGTTTCCTCCTCCCTCAGGTTTCCTGTGTCTTTGCTGTTCTTTTTCCATCCCTTTGGTCTAAGCATAGATTTTTAAACTTTTGTTTGTAGATGAAATGAGTTGGAGTCCTCAACAAAATATTTTGCTAAATATAAGGGAAAACAAAAGAACATTTTTGAAAGCAGTATGAAACAATGGTATGACTTTAGAAAATTGTTTGGCCGTATTAAAACTGACCATAATCATATACTATTTATATTTGTAAGTCAAATATTAATATTAATATTATTTTTATTATAATATATTTTAATATATTATAATGTATTTTAATATATTTTTATTAAAATATATAACATTTGTAAGTCAAAAAGAGACAATCATATTTTTTGTTTGTTTGTTTTTTGAGAGAGAGTCTAGCTCTGTCACCTGGGCTGGAGTGCAGTGGCACTATCTCGGCTCACCGCAACCTCCACCTCCCGGGTTCAAGTCATCCACCTGCCTCAGCCTCCTGAGTAGCTGGGATTACAAGCATGCACCATCATGCCCGGCTAATTTTTGTATTTTTAGTGGAGACGGGGTTTCACCATGTTGGCCAGGCTGGTCTCGAACGCCTGGCCTCAAGTGATCCACCCACCTCGGCCTCCCAGAATGCTGGGATTACAGGCGTGAGCCACCGCGCCCGGCCATTGGAGACAATCTCTATCTCCACATGCAATAGAATGGATAAACTAGGTTATTTCACTCAATGGAACAGCACAACAAGAATGAACAAACTACAACTACATGCGACAAATGTGTGAATCTTACCAACATAATGTTGAGCAAAAGAAGTCAGAAAGGAAAATATACCGTATAATTTTATCTAAAGTTCTAAAATAGTTAAAACTAATCTATGGTGTTTGAAGTCAAGATGGTTTTTTGTTTGTTTGTTTGTTTGTTTGTTTGTTTGTTTTGAGAGAGTTTCACTCTGTCACCCAGGCTGGAGTGCAATGGTGTGATCTTGGCTCGTGGCAACCTCTGCCTCCTGGGTTCAAGCGATTGTCCTGCCTCAGCCTCCTGAGTAGCTGGGACTACCAGCGCGTGCCACCAGGCTCAGCTAATTTTTTTGTGTTTTTAGTAGAGACGGGGTTTCACTGTGTTAGCAGGATGGTCTTGATCTCCTAACCTCGTGATCCGCCCGCCTCCGCCTCCCAAAATGCTGGGATTACAGCCATGAGCCACCACGCCCGGCCCAAGATGGTTTTATCTATCTCCCAACTGAGGGATTTTTCAGTCTCCAGAAGATTGGTAGAATTATGGTGAGTATTTATATCCAGTGAATAAGCATATCTTTTGGGTAAGATCCCAGCTCCTATATTTAAAGTGTCTGTGTTCTCAATATAAATCAAATAATAAAATAATACTTCAACAAAACAATAATTATTGCATTAATACAGTAAATTCTCCCCCTTTACAATAGAAGCTCCATGGGAGCTGGGATTTTGTCTTAATCACTGCTTTATTTTATTTTTATTTTACTCATGGGTGCCATAGGACACCTAGAACACACAGCACCTAGAACAGTCCTTGGCACATAATAGGCACTGAATAAAAATTTCTTGGATGAGATAACTATATTCAAACAGAACAGCATAGCACAGAGGATAACAGTATGTGTTCTGGAACCAGATTGCTTTGGTTCAAATCCCAACTCTGCCACTTTCTAGCTATGAGACACTGGACATGTTATGTAATCTATCCATGCCTCAGTTTCCTCATCTGTAAAACAGAGAGACTACTAGTATATTCCTCTTAGGGTTGCTGTGAGGTTTAAGGAACACTTGTAAAGATAACGTATGGAATTATTTGATGACTACCATGACAAAAGAGGGCTTGCCCTACCTCTTAGAAACATAGGAAATTTGGTGTCTTCTGACCATCTGTGTGACATACAATAGAATAAATCATTTTAAAAGCTAATACACATTAAATAAATGAAATGAAGAAAACTTTAAAATTATTAAAATTGAAGAGTCCAGCAAGATTTTCTGTAAGTGAAGACAAGCTTATTCTAAAATTTATACAGAAAGTCGAAGGAGCTAGAATAGCTAAAACAATTTGGAAACAGAAGAATAATCTGGAAGCAATCATTCTGTCTGATGTTAAGATTTACTGTATTGCTACAGACTCACTGTAAAGATATAGTAATTTAAACAGTATGGAGTAGTGACAGATACACAGGTCAATGGAACAAGCCAGAAATTGATTTTTGACAAAGGAGCAAAAGCAATTCAATGGAGGAAGAATAGTCTTTTCAATGAATAGCCCTGTAGAAATTGGACATCCATAGGCAAAAGAAAAAAAAAAAGAACCTTGACCTAAATGTCACTTTTTTTTTTTTTTGAGACAGAGTTTTGCTTTTGTTGCCCAGGCTGGAGTACAGTGGTGAAATCTTGGCTCACTGCAACCTCCACCTCTTGGGTTCCAGTGATTCTCCTGCTTTAGCCTCCTGAGTAGCTGGGATTACAGGTGCACACCACCATGCCCGGCTAATTTTTTGTATTTTTAGAGGAGATGGGGTTTCACCATGTTGACCAGGCTGGTTTTGAACTTAGCTTAAGCGATCCATCCACCCACCTCAGACTCCCAAAGTGCTGGGATTACAGGCGTGAGCCACTGCACCCGGCCTAAACTTCACATCTTACACAAAAATTAATTCAAAATGGATTGTGAATTTATATACAGCATGTGAAAAAAGTTAATCACTGTATGATTCCATTTCTGTGACATTCTTTTTTAAAAATTTTAATTTGATTTAACTTAATTTGGCCAGGCACGGTGGCTCACGCCTATAATCCCAGCACTTTGGGAGTCTGAGGTGGGTGGATCGCTTAAGCTAAGTTCGAGACCAGCCTGGTCAACATGGTGAAACCCAGAGTATACAAAAAGTACAAAAATTAGCTGGGCAGGATAGCATGCACCTGTATTCCCAGCTACTCGGGAGGCTGGGGCGGATCACTTGATCCCAGGAAGTTGAGGCTGCAGTGAGGCAAGATGGCACCACTGCACTCCAGCCTGGGCAACAGAGTGAGACCGTCTCAACAAAAATAATTATTTTTATTCATTTATTTATTTTTGGAGACAGAGTCTCGCTTTGTCACCCAGGCTAGAGTGCAGTGGCACTATCTCGACTCACTGTAGCCTCTGCTTCCCGGGTTCAAGCGATTCTCATGCCTCAGCCTCCTGAGTAGCTGGGATTACAAGGGCATGCCACCACGTCCTGCTAATTTTTCGTATTTTTAGTAGAGACGAGGTTTTGCCATGTTGACCAGGCTGGTCTTGAACTCCTGAGCTCAGGCAATTTGCCTGCCTTGGCCTCCCAAAGTGCTAGGATTACAGGCGTGAGCCACCTTGCCCAGCCCTGATTTTTTTTAACTTAATTTTATTTTTTGTAGGGATGGGGTCTCCTTATGTTGCTCAGGCTGGCCTTGATAAACATTATTCTCTTTTAAGTTATTATCATTATTATTATAACAGGAGAACCATTCAGCCACACACTGCCTGACATAGAGTAGGCAATCCATACATATTTGCTGAATGAATAAATTATAGGTACAGGGAAAAGATGGAAGAGTGATAGATTTTCTTTTTTTTTCTTTTTCTTTTTGTCTTTTTCTGAGACAGGGTCTCATTCTGTCACCCAAGCTGGAGTTCAGTGGCATGATCTTAGTTCATTGCAGTCTCCACCTTGCTGGCTCAAGTGATCCTCCCATCTTAGCCTCTTGAGTATCTGGGATCACAGGTGCACACCAACATGCCTGGCTAATTTTTGTATTTTTTGTAGAGGTGGGGTTTTCCCATGTTGTCCAGGCTGGTATCAAACTCCTGGGCTCAAGCAATTTTCCCGCCTGGGCCTCCCAAAGTGCTGGGATTACAGGTGTGAGCCACCCTGCCAGGTTGAACTTATGTTCTAATGAGGGAAACAGACTTAAGGCCTTATGGCTTTGAGCTGAGGTTTTGAGGATAAGCAGATGAAGAAGGATGAAGAATATACTGGGAAATGAGAATATAAAGATTAATTGAGGCTGGCCATGGTGGCTCACGCCTATAATCCCAGCACTTTGGGAGGCCAAGGCAGGAGGATTGCTTGAGCCCAGGAGTTCAAGACCAGCCTGGGCAACACAGTGAGACTCTGTCTCAAAAAATACAAAAATTAGCCAGGCATGGTGGTGTGCACCTGTGGTCCCAGCTACCCAGGAGGCTGAGTGGGGAGGATCACCTGAGCCTGCGGAGGTCAAGGTTGCAATGAACCGAGATGGTGCCACAGCACTCCAGGTTGGGCGACAGAGCAAGATCCTGTCTCAGAAGAAAACAAAAGAATCAGGTTACTGTACAGCCCAAATATGAAGAAAATGGATTCAGGCAAGTAATCAAAGCCTAGGAAGTTAATAAATGAACTATGAATTAATTATTCTCTCCTTTGCCTTCTCCTTCTCTCTTCTCTTTTCTTCTCCCTACGATATAGTCATAACTTGGGGAAGGATATGATCGCACACGGCATAAAGTGTGGTGACATTGCTAATGGGATGAGAAGCAGATCAGCTGGGGAGGAGATTGGACTTTCTGAGGAAAAGCTCCTGAAATGTCCTGAAGTAACAGGTGGATCTAATGTCAGAGCTGTTTGTAAAATGGAAAAAGGGTGAGATGTGTCATCTTCTGGGATAAGTGCTATCAGCATGATAATCCACATGTTATGCACCTGCTTGTGTTTTTGCTGCTGGGAGCACTTTCCACCAACACACAACTTACTAATGAGGAAATTGCTAAAGAGAACCCAAGAGATTAAACACAGATCTGCAAAGAGGGATGTGTTTACATCCTACATGTGAGTAGAGTGAGTATATTTTTAGGGTAGCAAGTTCTGGCCAAGCAAGCTTAACATGTAAACATGAGAATTGCCCTACTTTAAGGGACCCACCCAATTCGATATTCTGTTTTGGAGTGTGGAACTGAAAACATAATTAGTATATAGAACTTAATGTATAAATGGCCAATTTAGTTTTCACTGTTTGCTGTCCTGTAATAAACCTACATCATCTTCTGAATGAGATTGACTCTCCACTAGGACAGGGTCCCTATTAAATCACCAGCTACCTGGCAACTTTGGAAAAAGTCATTCTGGATAGACAAGTTAAACACACAGACAAGGATGACTTCTCCAGACATGAATTTTAAAATGTATATTACACTTTTCCGCCTCACACCTGTAATCCCAGCACTTTGGGAGGCTGAGGTTGGAGGATCACTTGAACTCAGGAGCTTGAAACCAGTCTGGGCAACATAGCAAGACTCAGTCTCCACAAAAAAATTAAAAACTAGCTGGATGTTGCGGCACATACCTGTAGTCAGAGCTACCCGGGACGCTGAGGTGGGAGGATTGCTTGAGCCCAGGTAGGTTGAGGCTGCAATGAGCCGTGACTGCACCATTGCACTTCAGCCTGCGTGACACAGTGCGACCCTGTCTCAAAACAAACAAACAAACAAAAACAACCAAAAAAACCCAAAACCAAAACAAAAAACCCCCAAACCTTTTCTAAATAGATCATGGTGATAACAATGTTATATAATAAAGTTTGTAGAACCATTTTTTTCTACAGCAAATGTCCCAGAATGCTGCACTTCTATGTGGAATTTGTATAGTTTTTCCTGTCAGTCTCCCTGTTATCCACTTCTACTTCTCTTTGCTGTAAGGGTAGAGCTTACTTAATACAGACTCTCTTTCCTTCTAATATACGGTCTAATCTGCTATGGACAGGTGATAATTGTTACATTTGCACACTTTACCAATTACAAAGTGCTCATCAGACCTTTGCAGGTGATATCATTGTCTTTGGATCATAGCCCTGGGGCTGGGGACTTGACCTTGCCTGGCCAATCAGAATATTCCATCTCCCTTACCAATGATTGGTTGTGGGATGGACACATGACCCAAGCTGGGCCTGTTAGAATCTGCCCTGGGAGTTTCATGAGCGTCATCAGGAAAGTGTTATCGTGACGTTATCATGATGCTTTTGTTTTTCTTTCTGTATTTTTTGAGACAGGCTCGTGCTCTATTGACCAGGCTAGAGTCCTCCAGTGGCATGATCACAGCTCAATGCTAGCCTCTAACCTCCTGGGCTCAAGGGATCCTCCCACGTCAGCCTCCCTAGTAGCTGGGACTACAGGCACAGGCCACCTTACCTGGCTAATTTTTAAAATTTTTTGTAGTTTTGGTAGAGATGGGGGTCTCACCATGTTGCACAGGCTGGTCTGGAACTCCTGAGCTCAAGCAATCCTCCTGCCTCAGCCTCCCAAAGTGTTGGGATTATAGGTGCGAGCCACCATACCTGGCCCTGTTGTTATCTTATGCATAAACTAGCAGGTAAACCTGAGCTTCCAGAGTCCCTCTTGCTGCCACACAAAGAGCCTAAATACAGGAAAACAGCCGAAAGAGAGACAAACTTGACAACAGCATTTGAAAACCTGAATCTTGGACTTTTCAGTTTGCACAAACTCCTTCACCTACCCCACCACACATATCAACATTTTGTATATATATATATATATATATATATATTTTAAATATATATATTTTTTGAGACACAGTCTCACTCTGTCACCCAGGCTGAAGTGCGGTGGCGCTATCTTGGCTCACTGTAACCTCCACTCCCAGGTTCAAGCCATTCTCATGCCTCAGCCTCCCGAGAAGCTGGGATCACAGGTGTGTGCCACCATGCCTGTCTAATCTTTGTATTTTTAGTAGAGACGGGGTTCCACCATTGTATTATTCCGTTCTCACATTGCTGTGAAGAAATACCCTTTATAAAGGAAAGAGGTTTAATTGACTCACAGTTCCACATTGCTTGGGAGGCCTCAGGAAACTTACAATCATGGCAGGCAAAGGAGGAGCAGGCACCTCCTTCACAGGGCGGCAGGATGGAGTGAGTGCAAGCAGGGGAAATGTCAGATGCTTATAAAACCATCAGATCTCATGAGACTCACTATCATGAGAATAGCATGGGGAAACTGCCCCGTGATCTAATTACCTCCAACTGGTCCTGCCTTTGACACGTGGGGATTATAGGGATTACAATTCAAGAAGAGATTCTGGGTGGGGACACAGCCAAACCGTATCAGCCATGTTGACCAGGCTGGTCTCGAACTCCTGGCGCCAAGTGATCCACCCACCTTGGCCGCTCAAAGTGCTGGGATTATAGGCGTGAGCCATCATGCCAAGCCAATATTTTTATTTTGCTTAAACTAGTTTGCATTCGGTTTCTGTCATTTGCTACTACTCCTGGTGCAGAGCTGTCTTCTGACCTCTCCTCATCACCTTCTAGAGATCCCCTTTACCTTTTTCTCCCATTGTATCGCCTCATCCCATATTTTCCTCCTTCTTGGCTTATGTCCTTATTTTGGTGACACATATCCCCCAGTAGCTTCCTGAATAAAATATAGATGAGAAATAAATTTTTGGAGACCTTGCATGCTTGAAAATATGTGTGTTTGCTTTCATACTTCATACAAAAGTTTGGCTCTATTTAGGATTCTAGGTTGTACAGAATTTTCCTTCTGAATCTTCAAGGCACTCCTTCATTGCCTTCCGGTGTCAGTGTGGCTGTTAATAGGTCTAAAGTCATTTTGATTCCTAAGCTCTTCTATGTGGCCTGTTTTTGTTTAGTTTAGGTTTTCCCTTTCTGAGACCTCTTCTCTTTGTCTTTGATTTTCTGATATTTCTTGATGATGTGCCTTGCTGTGGGTCTGTTTTCATTGACTGTGCTGGCACTAGATGGGACGTTTCAATCTAGCGATTCGTATCCTTCAATATGGGGATTAGTCTTTATTACTTGCTTGATGATTTCTTCCCTTCTGATTTCTATGTTGTTTTTCTTTTGAACACCCATTAGTTAGATGCTGGATCTCCTGGCCTAATCTAATTGCCTTGGAGCTTGTATTTTGTGTTTTCCTCCTCCATTTTCTTTTTGTTTGTTTGTTTTTGAGACAGGGTCTCAGCTCTGTTGCCCAGGCTAGAGTGCAGTGGTACAATCATAGCTCACTGCAGCCTTGACTCAAGGGCTCAAGCGATCCCTCCCACCTCAGCTCCCCTAAACCCCTAGTACCTGGGACTATAGGTGACTGCCACCGCACCCAGCTAATTTTTAAATTTTTTGTAGAGACATGGACTCACTGTGTTGCCAAGGCTGGTCTTGAACTCCTGGGCTCAAGTGATCCTCCTGCCTTGGCCTCCCAAAGTGCCAGAATTACAGGTATGAGTTACCGCACCCGGCCATCCTCCTCTGTTTTCTATGTTTGTCTTTTATCTCTAAGATTTCTTCAATTTTACTTTGTACATTTTCTGTTGAACACTTAAACAAATTTTCTATCATATTTTTAATTTCCAAGAGCTCTTTCTTGTTTATGAAAGTTTCTCTTTATGTGTACTGTTTTTGTTCCATTAATTCAATAGCTTATCTTATTTATCAGAGGAATTACTGATAGATTTTAAAATTTTATTTTTCATTTTATGCTGAAAGAATTTTAAATTTAAAAAAAATTTCAAGAACTTTTTTTCTGAACCATCCAAGATTAAATTTCCAACACAATGCCCATCCTCCCAACATGAGTACACACTCAAACAAGTATATGACAGCCATCTAACCCACAGGCCCAGATCAGATTTCTCTAATTGTCCCACTACTGTCCCCCCTACCCCCCCTTTTTTTTTCAGACAGGGTCTCACTCTATTGCCCAGACTGGAGTGCAGTGGTGCCATCATAGCATAGTCTGGAACTGTTCTTCCCAAGGGATCCTCCTGCCTCAGCCTCCTGAGTAGCTAGGAGTACAGATGTGCACAACCATGCCTGGCAAATTTTTAAAAAAGTTTTTCATAGAGATAGGTCCCTATATTGCCCAGGCTGGTCTTGAACTCTTGGGCTCAAGCAATCCTCCTCCCTCAGCCTCCTAAAGTGCTAGGTTACAGGTGTGAGCTGCCATGCCCGGCCCTAATACTGTCCTTTATATTAAAAGGGTCTCTTCCAGGACCATGCATTGCATTTGTTTTCATGTTTCTTTCTTTCTTTTCTTTTCTCTCTCTTTTTTTTAATTGAGATGGAGTCTTGCTCTGTCACCCAGGCCAGAGTGCAGTGGCGAGATCTCAGCTCACTGCAACCTCCACAGCCTGGGTACAAGCGATTCTCCTGTCTCAGCCTTCCAAATAGTTGGGACTACAGGTACCTGCCACCGCACGCAGCTATTTTTTTTATTTTTAGTAGAGACGGGGTTTTGCCACGTTGGCCAGGCTGGTCTCAAACTCCTGACCTCAGGTGATCTGCCCGCCTCAGCCTCCCAAAGTGCTGGGATTACAAGCGTGAGCCACTGCACACCTGGCTCATGTTTCTTTCAATCTGGAACAATTTCTCAGTGTTTCTTTTTTTTTGGCAGGAATAGGACAGAAGTGATACTGTGTTATTGCCTCCCATCTGGTGGTACCTGATTTCAATTTGTACCATTATTGAGAATGTTAACTTTGTTCTCTTTTTAAAAAAAATTTGATACAATCGTTTATTTTGTTTGCATATTTGATTTGTTTTTAATCCAAACCTCACCAGAATGTTAACTTTGACCTGGATTAAGGTGGTGTCTGCTAGGTCTTTCCACTGTAAAGTTACTCTTTTGCCCTTTGTAATTAGTAAGTGTTTTGTGGAAAGGTACTTCTTTGAGGTACATATCCTGTTCCTTATCATAGTTTTCCTCACTATTTTTAGTTTTTTTTTTTTGCTGAATGAATTATTACTATGAAGTTTGCCTAATAGTGGTTTTTTCAATTTCATTGTTCCTTCTAAATTTATTAGTTGTTATTCTGCTGTAAAGAAAGATGTTCTCATTTGTTTATGTATTCTTTTATTCTTATCAGTATGAACATGTGGATTCCCACTTCATTTGATAGATTATGACCTTTTACTGTCATTATTTATTTTGATGCTCAGAGTTGGTTAGGGGAGCCCCCTTCAAGCCCCTTTGACATCCTGTTGACATATCTCTGTCATTCTTTAAGCACTTCTTTACTTTCTGCCACAGCAAGATGGTCTGAGTTCATCTTGTACTTTCCTTGTCTCAGCCCTGAAATCAATCATTTCTCCAAGGATCCCTGGTTTCTTTTAGTGGAGAACGGTATTTAGAGACCAAGATTTGGGACTAGGGGTGTTAACTGCTATTAGAGTATGACCATTTCCAAACTGTCTTGGTGCATAGAGCTAAGGAGTATGCATATATGTCTACACTTTTTTTTTAACTTTTATTTTTGGTTTGGGGGTATATGTGAAGGTTTGTTACGTAGGTAAACATGTGTCATGAGTGTTTGTTGTACATATTATTGCATCACCCAGGTATTAAGCCCAGTAGCCAATAGTGATCTCTTCTGCTCCTCTCCCTCCTCCCACCCTCCACTCTCAAGTAGGCCCCAGTGTCTGTTGTTCCCTTCTTTGTGTTCATAAGTTCTTATCATTTAGCTCCCACTTAAAAGTGAGAGCATGTGATATCTGGGGCTCTGTTCCTGTCTTAATTTGCTAAGGATGATAGCCTCCAGCTCCAGTCCAGTTATGTTCCCACAAAAGACATGATCTCATTTTTTATGGCTGCATAATATTCCATGGTACATATGTGCCACATCTTCTTTATCCAATCCATCATTAATGGGCATTTAGTTTGATTACATGTCTTTGCTATTGTGAATAGTGCTGCAATGAACATTCATGCGCATGTGTTTTTATAGCAGAATGATTTTTTTCTTTTTTCTTCTTCATTTATCTGAAATTCTAATATGATGAAGAATCCTGCTTTTATTTTTTTTTTGTTTTTGAGATGAAGTCTTGCTCTTGTCCCCCGGGCTGGAGTGCAATGGCACGATCTTGGCTCACTGCAACCTCCGCCTCCTGGGTTCAAGCGATTCTCCTACCTCAGCCTCCTGAGTAGCTGGGATTACAGGCACCTGCCACCATGCCTGGCTAATTTTTGTATTTTTAGTAGAGATGGGGTTCCGCCGTGTTGGCCAGGCTGGTCTCGAACTCTTGACCTCAGGTGATCTGCCCACCTTGGCCTCCCAAAGTGCTGGGATTACAGGCATGAGCCACCGCCCCTGGCTTTTTTTTTTTTTTTTGAGACAGGAGCTCACTCTGCCACCCAGAACTGGGGTACAAGGGCATGGTCTCAGCTCACTGTAATCTCCGCCTCCCGGACTCAAGCAATTCTCCTGTCTAAGCCTCCCAAGTAGCTGAGACTACAGGCGCGGGACACCACTCCTGGCTAATTTTTGTATTTTCAGTAGAGACGGGGGTTCACTATGTCGGCCAGGCTAGTCCTGGACTCCTGACATCGGGATCTGCCTGCCTCGGCTTCCCAAAGTGCTGGGATTGCAGGCCTGAGCCACCACTCCCGGCCGAATTTTTGTATTTTTAATAGAGACGGGGTTTCACCATGCTACCCAGCTTGGTCTCAAACTCCTGACCTCAGGTGATCCACCAGCCTTGGTCTCCCAAAATGCTAGGATTACAGGTGTGAGCCACTGCTCCCCACCTCAGCCAAGATTCTTAAAAGACTGTGTCCCCACTTCCTCACCTTCCATTCACTTGAAAGAAAGGATAAAGAAGAGTCATGAAGAGTATGGAGTTTGTATTGCCTCTTGGCCTTTTGGCTAAGATCAAGTGGAGTATGGAGTTTCTTGACAGACAGACCTGGGTTTATACCCCAACTGATTCTTACGATTAAGCCTGTTTCCCTCCCCCTAAAGAGAGAGATAACTGTGCCTGCCTCACTTTGGAGGGTTGTTGTGAGGATTAAATAAGATCATTCATATAAAACAGCGCACACCTGGTACATAACAAGCAGTCAATAAACATTAGGTATTATTATCAATATCAATTACCGTACTAAAATCTGTCTTCTGCCCCGGTGCTATACTGGAAATGCTCTTGCCAAGGTTAGCAATGACTTTCCAGTTGCCAAAACCAACAGTAGTTTTTGGCCCTCGTCTTACTTCCTTAAAATTCCCAACCACTCCTTCTTCCTGAAGTCCCCTCTCCTTCTGGCTGCTGGAACACCACTCTTTTCCTGTCCTCTGCCTGTCTCTCCCTTCACAGCCACCTTGCCAAATCCTGTTCCACTGTCTGACTCCACCTGGTGTTGCTCTTTCCTGAGCTCATCCTTTCTCCCCCTTCCCAGCTTTACCCACCTTTCCCTGAGAGATCATGTCTACTCCTGTGGTTCTAACTGCCATCTCTATGCAGAAGGTACCTTCCCTATCTCCACCTCTGACCTCTCTCCTACCTCCAGTCCCATATTGCCAGGTAGGTTCCCTAGAGGCACCCCAGATTCAGTATTCAACTTATGCATCTCTGAAAGCATTATTTACCATGCCCGCCATGAAACCTGCTCTTTCTCTTAGACTCTGACAGTTGCTATTGCCTCCAACCTCATCAAGTACACAGACCTAGTAACCTAGACATCATTCTTTCCATCTTCTTCCTCCCCAAATCCAACCTATCCCCAGGTCCTGTCATTTAACTTATCTGCTCAGTGAATTCTGCTCTCTCTCCTTCTTTCTCTTCTTGCTGGGTAGAGGATGGATTAGATGGCCAAAGAGATCAGTTAGGAGCCATTTTCCATCATAGTCTGAGAGATGATGAGGGACCTCCTCACTGATATGCTTGGCCCTTCTTAATCTATCTCTATTTGGTTGTCAGAGTAATAGTCCTTAAAGTCCCATTAAGTCATCCTGCTGCTGCTTCGAAATCTTTAATGGTTCCCCTCACCTATAAGATAATGTCCAAACTTCATAGCCCAAAACAGAGGCTGTTGATATAGTGACTCCTGATGCCTCTCCAGCCTCAGGTATCACCACTTCTCTCCCCAACACACACATACACACTAAAGCTACTTGCGGGACTTCACTCCAGATCCTAGTCAACCTGTTGTTGACTCGGCCAGTAATGTTTTTCCGTCCTTGATCCACCTGACCATTTCCTACCCAACTTTCAAAATCCTCAGAATTTCATCTTGAAACCTTCTCTGAAGCATCATGCCATTGTACCCTTGCAGAATTAATTACTTTTTCCTCAGTACTTCTTCTAGCCTTAGTATATATCTTCATTATGGAATGGAACATTGTGTTATATTTGTTCATATGTCTATCTACCTTTGCTACTAATAGAATATAAATTCCTTGAAGTCAGCTATCTGTTTTCATTCATATTTTCTCCCCCATAGTCAAGTACAGTGCCTGGAACACAGTGGATGTCCAGTTAATAGTTATTAAACTGAACTGAATTTCTGTAAAGGTGAGGCATGAAAGAGGGAGGGGAAAGAGGGTGCCAAGAGAGACAGGGAGGAAGGAATTAGGATTGGAAGAAGACATCTTGTGTGCCAATCCATGAAGTTTGGATAAATTGGCTGATAAATTTGTTTTAAGAAGCCAGTTCTGGCCAGGCACGGTGGCTCACGCCTGTAATCCCAGCACTTTGGGAGGCTGAGGCGGGCGGATCACCTGAGGTCAGGAGTTCGAGACCAGCCTGGCCAACATGGTGAAACCCTGTCTCTACTAAAAATACAAAAATTAGTCGGGCATGGTGGCGGGTGCCTGTAATCCCAGCTACTCGGGAGGTTGAGGCTGGAGAATTGTTTGAACCCAGGAGGCGGAGGTTGCAGTGAGCCGAGATCGTGCCACTGCATTCTAGCCTGGGCGAGTGAAACTCCATCTAAAAAAAAAAAAAAAAAAAAAAAGAATAAGAAGCAGCAGCTGTGTGAGGAGAGGGGAGGAGTGCTCCAGATAGAGGAAACAGTAAATTCAAAGGTTGTGAAGTGGGAAAGAGTTGAGCTGATCCGAACCTCTAAGGGCCAGCATGGCTGGAGCCGAATGAGCAACTAGGGCATGGCATGAGTTGAAGAGGGAGGGATTGGTAGAATTCAGATTGTGTAGGTCCTTGTAGACCAGAGCAGGGAATGTGGAGTGTATCCTCAGCTCATTGGGAAGCAACTGAAAATGCAGAGTAATGATACTTTCATTTACATTAAAATAATCACTAAGGCTGTGCGCAGAATAGATGGGGGCTAACACGAGAATAAATAGGGAGCCCTAGTTAGGAGACTACAGCAGTAAACAGGCCAATGAAAGATATCTGTCTGGATGAAGGTGGAGGCAATGGGGCAACAAGGAGTGGACATATTCAGAAAATATTTTAGAGGTTGAATTCATAGGGCTTGGTGATAGATTAGATGTACAGAGATCTAGGATAAGGAAGTGGAAATTGAGGTAGTGTGTAGGTCTTTTGGAAAGTTTATTTTTGAAGAGGAGACTAAAGGGAAGTAGTTGATTCAAAAGCTCTTTCTAGCCAGGTGCGGCGACTCATGCCTGTAATCCCAGCACTTTGGGAGGCTGAGCAGGGTGGATCATTTGAGGTCAGGAGTTGGAGATCAACCTGGCCAATATGGTGAAACCCCGCCTCTACCAAAAAATACAAAAATTAGCTGGGCCTGTTGGTGAGGGCCTGTAGTCCCAGTTACTCAGGAGGCTGAGGCACAAGAATCGCTTCAACCTGGTAGGCAGAAGCTGCAGCGAGCCAAGATCGCACCACTACACTCCAGCTTGAGCCACAGTGAGGCCCTGTCTCAAAAATGAAACAAAACAAAAACTCAAAAGCCCCTTCAGTAAGCATTTACTGAGCACCTACTAAATGCCAGGCCATATGTGAGGTGCTGGACACACAAAGAAGAATAAGACATAGACAGACTCAGTTCTTGTGGAAGGCAAACCTACAACCAAATCAACTCTGCTACTTTGCAGTAATAGAAATTTGCACGATGGTGGCACAGATGACTGGGAAGTGATTAACTCTGCTCTTGGGTACTGGAGGGAAGAGATATCAGGGAATGAGGTTAAGACCAGATTCAGTGGAAGACGGGTCTAGAGGAGAAGGGAAATTGAGGAACATTCAGCACTATGACCTTGATTTTTCCATTAAATATGAGGCAGTCATCTGCCTTGAGTAGGTAATAGGTTAGATAGCTTGAAGGAATGAATGCTGCACATCCCTGGCTGGGTTCCCAATAGGTGACACAGCTGGATTTGAACCTTCAGCATCCAGCATGGTGTCCTGGTCCTGGTCACGGGGTATTTTACACTCATTGACAGATATCACTGAGGGCATATCCTTAAAAAGCTCTTGGACAGGAGCGGTGGCTCATGCCTGTAATCCCAGCCCTTTGGGAGGCCGAGGCGGGCAGATCACGAGGTCAGGAGTTGGAGACCAGCCTGACCAACATGGTGAAACCCCATCTATACTAAAAATACAAAAATTAGCCGGGCGTGGTGGTGCAAGCCTATAATCCCAGCTACTCAGGAGGCAGAGGCAGGGGAATCACTTGAACCCAGGAGGTGGAGGTTGCAGTGAGCCAAGATCTCACCACTTCACTCCAGCCTGGGCAACAGAGGGAGACTGTCTTAAAAAAAAAAAAAAAAAAAAAAAAAGCTCTATTTTCCCCCAAGTTACTTACTATTATTCACTCAATAGCATTTAATAAGCATTTATTGTGTACCTGGTATGGAATAAATGAATGAATAATAAGTGAATGAACAAAAGAATCAATCGAACAAGTAAAGAATTATAGTTTGTCCTTGGCATTAGAAACAAGATTTAACTTAAAATTTGAGAACTTAATGATCTTAGCTAGCTTCACCTTTCACATCCAGGTTTTGTAGTGGCTCAGACTGCCTATTATAAAAACAGCTATTGCTGATTGGGGCTTGTAATGAGCCAGTCCCTATGCTGAGCATTTTATGTAAACTATTAATATTTATCATTTAAGGCCAGGAGTGGTGGCTCACGCCCATAATCCCAGCATTTTGGGAGGCCGAGGCAGGCGGATCACTTGAGGTCGGGAGTTCAAGACCAGCCTGGCCAACATGGTGAAACCCTGTCTCTACTAAAAAATACAAAAATTAGCCAGGTGTGGTGGTGCACACTTGTAATCCCAGCTACTCTGGAGGCTAAGGCAGGAGAATCACTTGAACCCGGGTGAGGGAGGTTGCAGTGAGCTGAGATTGCACCACTGCACTCCAGCCTGGGCGACAGAGTGAGACTCTGTCTCAAAAAAAAAAAAAAAAAAAAAAATATATATATATATATATATATATATTTCATATTTACTCTTCTTACAAGCTCCCCAGAGGCAGATGTACCATCCCCATTAAACAGATGAGAGAACAGGCATAGGGAAGTTATTTGTAAATAATTTAGGAATTCAAACCCCAGTCTTACTATTCCATAGTCAGATCTCTACACTAAGCATATTTTTCATTCTTCCCTTACTTCCAAGCGGCATTATACTCTTGTGTAAAGATTACTTGATCACTTGAATCTGTATCTTTTTAGTTACTGAAAACGTTGAGAGGATATATTAGAAGCTCCAACTTTTGCTTGCTAGAACGCATATACATGCATCTTCAAACAGGGAACATGATCCTTTACGCTTGTGCCACTGACTGTGGGCACCTAACCTGGTATCTTTGTCATCATTTCTCTCCTTCCTGCAAATTAACCAGCCAATAGATATTGAACATCTCAATATCAACCAATTTACAAGAAAGAACTAGTTCTGCTATCTGGAATTGATAATTATAAGATATGATACATGAAAGCTTCTGATGTGGTAAAAGAAACAACATCACAAAAAGCTCAATAAAGGCAAACAAGCTGGTACATACTTGGGTACTAAACTGTGTAGAGTAGTTGGTAAACAAAGGTCTTGAGAGATATGACACCTGGACCCATCTGAGGGAAGGGAAAGTAAGATTTATTAAACTTCAAGGCTGGGCATGGTGGCTTGCACCTGTAATCCCAGCATTTTGGGAGGCCAAGGTGGGAGGATTGCTTGAGCCCAGGAGTTTGAGATCAGCCTGGGCAACATAGCAAGACCATCGTCTGTACAAAAAAATAAAGAAATTAGCTGCATGTGGTGACATGCACCTGTAGTCCCAGCTACTCAGGAGACTAAGGCAAGAGGAATTGCTTGAGCCCAGGAGATTGAGGCTGGAGTGAGCCATGATCATGCCAGTGCACTCCAGCCTGGATGGCAAAGTGATACTTTGTCTTAAAAAAAAAAGGCGGGACACGGTGGCTCACGCCTGTAATCCCGGCACTTTGGGAGGCCGAGGCGGGTGGATCACGAGGTCAGGAGATCGAGACCATCCTGTCTAACACGGGGAAACCCTGTCTCTATCAAAAATATAAAAAAAAAAATTATCCGGGCGCGGTGGCGGGCGCCTGTAGTCCCAGCTACTCGGGAGGCTGAGGCAGGAGAATAGCGTGAACCTGGGAAGCGGAGCTCGCAGTGAACCAAAAAAGGGCCCCTGCACTCCAACCTGGGTGAAAGAGACAGAATCTGTTTCCAAAAAAAAAAAAAACAACTTAACATTATCTATTTATTTATTTTAATTTTTAGCACATACCACGTTTGGGAAAAAAGAATTTAACACATTTACCATGTATTAGATATCGTGCTAGTCTCTCCACATACATTGTCTTATTTTAATCAATTATCCAATCCCATTCAATAGATTCCTGAGCTTCTAATATATGTATACAAAATACCTTACTAGATGTTATTGGTGAAAGAAAGATGAACACAGGCTGGGCAGGGTAGCTCGGGCCTATAATCCCAGCACTTCAGGTGGGAGGATTGTTTCAGTCCAGGAGTTTGAGACCAGCCTGAGCAACCTAGGGAGCCCCTGTCTCTTTAAAATAAGGCCGGCACAGTGGCTCATACCTATAATCCCAGCACTTTGGGAGGCTGAGGCGAGCGAATTACTTGAGGTCAGAAGTTTAAGACCAGCCTGGTCAACATGGTGAAACCCCATCTCTACTAAAAATACAAAAATTTGCCAGGTGTGGTGGTAAACACCTGTAATCCCAGCTACTTGGGAGGCTAAGGCAGGAGAATCACTTGAAACCGGGAGGTGGAGGTTGCAGTGAGCTGAGATCGAGCCATTGCATTCCAGCCTGGGCAACAAGAGTGAAACTCCATCTCAAAAAAATAAAATAGCCTGGCGTGGTGGCTCACGCCTATAATCCCAGCACTTTGGGAGGCCGAGCCCGAGGCGGGTGGATCACTTGAGGTCAGGAGTTCCAGACCAGCCTGGCCAACAAAGTGAAACCCTGTCTCTACTAAAAATACCGACAAAAATTAGCCAGGCATGGTGGCACATACCTGTAATCCCAGCTACTGGGGAGGCTGAGGCAGGAGAATTGCTTGAACCCAGAAGGCGGAGGTTGCAGTGAGCCAAGATCGTGCCATTGCACTCCAGCCTGGGTGAAGAAGTGAGACTCCGTCTCAAAAAATAAATAAATTTAAAACAAAAAATACAAAAATTAGCTGGGCATGGTGGCACGCGCCTGTAGTCCTAGCTACTTGGGAGGGTAAGGCAGAAGAATTGCTTGAACTCAGGAGGCAGAGGTTGCAGTGAGCCAAGATCATGCCACTGCACTCCAGCCTGGGCGACAGAGCGAGACTCTGTCTCAAAAAATAATAATAATTAATTAATTAAAATAAAATAAAATTTAAAAATTAGCCAGGCATGGTGGTGCCTGCCTGTGGTTCCAGCTACTTGGCAAGTTGGGGTGAGAGGATAGCTTCAGTCCCAGAGATTGAGGCTGCAGTGAGCCGTGATTGTGCCACTGCATTCCAGCCTGGGCAACAGAGCAAGACCTTGTCTCAAAAAAAAAAAAAAAAAAAAAAAAAAGAAAGAAAGATGAACATGACTTTGTTCCTGTCCTCAGTGAGCTTAGAAATAACACATCTTTACAAATGGGTATGACACAAGACTATAAATCCAGTGATTATATAATTTATTGTCCCAATTGGGATAGTTCTGAGGATAAACAGGAGCACTAATAATAATTACCCTAGAAAATCCCAGTGTGTTCTGAAGAAATCTGATTTTATCACCTTAGCAATGAGCAAGCTCAAAGTGATGGGAGCACAAGGAGCACTGGGATGAATCAGCAAAGCTCAATGGTAGAAGTGGATTTGAGTTGGGCTTGCTGTTGGGGAGGGCATAGGCAATCAACATGTAAACAAAATAATTTCAGATCATTTAATGGGGTACAGAGTGAGGGAGAGGGGCACTACTTTAATATCATCAGGGAAGGCAACTAGGAGGAGGTAACATTTAAGCTGAAACAAATTATGAGAAGAACCAAGAAATTCAAAGATAAAAATATCACAAGACCTGTCTTATCCCAGCAATGATCAGAAGGTCAGATCACTCATGGGGTTTGGGGCAAGGAGGTCCCAAGGGCCTCCTACTTATTCTGAAGAGAGATGAGGGATCGAAATGTTATCCAGTAGTTAATGGAGAATTATGAAAGACTCTTCAACAGAATAGTGATCTGACTGGGAAGACTACTCTGGCATTACTGTACAGGATGGGTTAGAGAGGAAAAGAGGTTGAAGCAGGAAGTCCAGTAAATAGTCTAAGCAAAAGAAAAAAACCCTGGGTTGAGACAGTGGCAGTAATCATGGAGAAGCAGAGATGGAAGTGATATCCCAGAGCAAGAATGGCCAAGATTTTGCAACGGATGTCACCTAACATAGCGCCTGTCCCTGGGAGCCCTTCAGTGAATACTTGTTCTTCCCTCTTCTCTCATTCAACCTGGAACCAGAGTGAGGGAAGATTGTTTTTGTTTGTTGTTTAGAATGGAGAAAAACTTGGGAACAAATCCAGGTTGAGAGGAAGAAGCAACAGAGAGAGAAACATTTAATAATATTAAAAATATAAAGGAAAGGAGGTAATCAATGGAATATTTTATTTTAAAAAAGGATAGATTAGCCTTACATAGGAGGTGTGATGCTCTATCTTCCAAGAAAGGAACAAAATGAAGTTTGTCAGGGAGGGAGGTGGAAAGTTTATGAAGCTTCTGTGGATTTATGAAGGTGGGAAGTTTATGAAGCTTCTATTTGATTTGAAGGTAAGCTTATGGATAGAAGAAAAGATGTGGAATGCTGTAGTAGGAAATAATTGTCCTTGAAGAACAATTAAGTGGTTCTCATTCCTGGCTGGACATTAGGATCATCCAGGGAGCCTTAACACACACAAAAAAATGACGCTGGACCCCAGCCCCAAGGATTCTGATTTAATTCTCCTGGGATGGGGCCCAGGCACTAGTGGTTTCATAAGCGCCTCTGTTGACTCTAATGAGCATCCACAATTGAGAACCAGCAGTAAAGGGTTTGTGGAGCAGCAGAAAGGGCTCAGCTGAGGTTCAGAAGCAAGAATTTATTGTTGAACCAATCAGCCTGGTTACAGGGCTCTCTCCAGCATCAACATTCCTGGAGCAGAGGCTGTGAAATTAGAGTGTGGCACCTGTTTATTAAGGTTGGTAGGGCACAAAGCTGAAGAGCTGAGAGACAATAGAGGCTAGGGAAATAGAATTGAATTGGCCAACCTCAGGCTGTAATCTGATAGAATAAGAAGAGGTTCAGACAAAAGTCAACAAAATAACAATAGCAACACCAACTAATTTTTTTGAGTGCCATTTGCCAACTACTAAAATAAGTGATTTATTTCATTCACTTACCCTCATGACACTCTAGGTCCTATTATCCCCATCTTATCCACTTTATTGTTTCATTTTTTGTACAGACAGAATTTCTGTCTGTCGCCCAGGCTGGAGTGCAGTAGCACAATCATAACTCACTGCAGCCTTGAACTCCTGGGCTCAAGCAATTCTCCTACTTCAGCCTCCTGAATAGCTAGGACAATAGGTGCACGCCACCCTGCCCAGCTTATTTTTTGTAGAGGCGGGATGTCAATATGTTGCCCCGGCTGACCTTGAACTCCTGGCCTCAAGCGATTCTTCTGCCTGGGCCTCCGAAGTGCTGAGATTACAGGCCTGACCCACGTGCTGGCCACTTTTTACCCATTTTATAAATGGGAAAATTGAGGTTCAGAAGTTAAGAAATGGCCAGGCGCGGCGGCTCACGCCTGTAATCCTAGCACTTTGGGAAGCCAAGGAGGGTGGATCATTTGAGGTCAGGAGTTTGAGACCAGCTTGGTCAAAATGGTGAAACGCCATCTCTACTAAAAACACAAAAATTAGCCGGGTGTGGTGGCACACACCTGTAGTCCCAGCTACTTGGGAGGCTGAGGCAGGAGAATCACTAGAACCTGGGAGGCAGAAGTTGCAGTGAGCCAAGATCACACCACTGCACTCCAGCCCGGGCAACACAGCGAGACTCCGTCTCAAAAAAAAAAAAAAAAAAAAAAAGAGTTGAGAAATGTTTCCACATTTATGGAGTAATAGTTAATAAGTGGCAGAACTGGGATTATGAACCTAAATCTGTCTGACTCCAGAGCCTGAGCCCTGGTTGCACAGGAGCAAAGGAATGGGAAACATAGGAGGATAGGGGCTTGTGGTAATATATCTAGGATTCTGAGTGAGATTTAGATAGACCCAGAGGAAAGGAGATGAGAGGGTTTCTAAGGGAAACAATCAGAGGTGAGGGAATGTAACCTTTCAGGAGACCAGAGCAGCAAATGTATGGGGGGAGGAAGAGTAGGAAATCCGACTGGGTAGGCATATTGGCAGTCTCAGTCGGTCTATGGAGTGTAGACTAGATGTAGTAAAAGGAAACTGGGAGCCACTGAGGGGGTAGTTTACGGTGTGGAGATATGATAAAAAGTAGTCTTTAAAATTCATCAGGCAGATGAAAAGCAAGGAGGGTCACTGAGAAGATCTCTGCACTGAAATACTTTTGTCTTCCTTTGTTCCTTCCTTGTCCTGGTAGCCACAGATGTTACACAATCCAACCATGGCACTCAGGACAGAAGACATTGCCCATTCTTTAGCTATAAATTACATTCCCAGGGCCCAAACCTACAATCACAGTTGTATTTTCAAGAATCAATAAAAGTCTCTGCAGATTGACTAGTGGCAGGAAACCAGGGCTGGACACTTAATGATTGTTCAGACTCCTGTCGCTACCCCTGCACAGAAGGTTGTCAGAAGCAGAATCTTGTCACAGGTTCTTGGGCACAAAGGGGGCAGATTACACAAACCAACATCAGGCAGTTCAACAAGATCGCCATAGTGTGAACCCCCATCAGTGTTATTCCTCGGCAACTGCCCCTGAACTAACTTGGAAAATACCCAAGGAGAACAAGGTATCTTAGATGAGGACGATGTCAGTTCTTTCTTGATCTCAGTAAGTCAAAGTAAATTTATACCTAAATAGCTGTTTTCCAGATTTCAGTGTCTTCCAGCCACACATATTTTCTTTTTCTTTTTTCTTTTCTTTTTTTCTTTTTGAGACGGAGTCTCGTTCTGTTGCCCAGGCTGAAGTGCAGTGGTGTGATCTTGGCTCACTGCGACCTCTGCCTCCTGGGTTCAAGCAATTCTCCTGCCTAAGCCTCCCTAGTAGCTGGGACTACAGGTGCATGCCACCACGCCCAGCTAATTTTTTGTATTTTTAGTAGGGACAGGGTTTCACCATGTTAGTCAGGCTGGTCTTGATCTCCTGACCTCGTGATCCGCCTGCCTCGGCCTCCCAAAGTGCTGGGATTACAGGCGTGAGCCACTGTGCCCGGCCCAGCCACACATTATTTTCAAATTAATAAATAAGTTAAAATTGCTGGCATGCAGTCATCTTAGCGAAACTGAAGAGTCAAAATGAATAGCTAGAATTCTCTGGGTGATGACCAGAACATATACCATGCTGAGTCCCGATGTGGCCGAAGGACACCGTGAGCTGAGCCAGCTAGCTAGCTTGGTTGTGGTGTGCTGGGAATGAGGGTTATGTTATCTGTGAAAGAGAATACAAATTCTGCAAAGTAAACCTGGCAGTTTGGGGAAAATGTGTTTAACTCACCCACTCCCCTCCTCGTTTGTACTATTGCTTTCCTACACTTTTTTTTTTTTTTTTTTTTTTGAGACAGAGTCTTACTCTGTCACCCAGGTTGGAGTGCAGTGGTGCAATCTCAGCTCACTGCAACCTCTGCCTCCTGGGTTCAAGCAATTCTCCGCCACAGCCTCCCAAGTAGCTGGGATTACAGGTGCATGCTGCCACACCCGGCTAATTTTTGTATTTTTAGTAGAGATGGGGTTTCACCATGTTGGCCAGGCTGGTCTCGAACTCCTGACCTCACGTGATCCGCCCACCTTGGCCTCCCAAAGTGCTGGGATTACAGGTGTGAGCCACCGCGCTGGCCAACTTTCCTACTTTTCAATTTGAGTTTACTCAGGGGTTGGAACATTTATTCCAACAAAATGTGCCTGATGTAACCTCTCAGTGATTAAGCACGCCTGCTTAGTATGCATCAACTTCAGCGCAGTATGTGCACCTCTCTGAGGACATCTCTACTAAGCCCTCAGTGACTGATGCTGCTTCACTTTCTTCAGGTGTATAAATTGAAAAGGCAATTTTTACCTGCTATGAAGTCCCAAGAAAACGGGACTTGGCTCCTTGGGCATATTAGCCTTTAGTCTTGTTAGTGATGATCAGATGTTGCTTGAGCATATTTGGAAAATAACTTTGTATGTTGAAATTTTGGGAAATCAAAGTATTATACTGCAAATCACTTGAAAGAGGGCAAATACCAAATGGTAAAGCTTAGCCAGATGTGATATAATCATTTCACTGAAGATATGAGATAGGTAAAATTTTTTTCTTATAGGTAATGAACACATTTGATTGTAATTTGAGTTAAAGTATTATAGTCCCTTTTAAAAAAAAAGCCCAGAATGTTAAAAGTGTGAACTCCATTTCAGCAAGTTGAAAACATTTGAGTGTTTAAGATATTATCACAGGTCTGCGTATTCCAGGTTCAACTTACTAGGAATTCTGGATTCTAAGTATTTTAAATTGAAGTTAAAGTGAAATCAAGTGTAAATTAATCTGTGATTTTTTTTTCGTTCTGGTTATTTTTAGGTAAATAAATGAGGTCAGGATGTGAGACTGGCGAATAATATATGCTGAGATAACCCATTACTGTGATTGAATTCCAGGAGGAAATTGAAGAGGGGTGATGACGCAAAGGTGAATACAGACAACATGAAAACGGCTAATACATGTTGGGAAACTTTTTTTTTCATTTCTTTTTCTTTTTCTTTTTTTTTTTTTTTTTGAGACGGAGTTTTGCTCTTGTTGCCCAGGCTGGAGTGCAATGGCACGATCTTGGCTCACTGCAACCTCCGCCTCCCCAGGTTCAAGGGATTCTCCTGCCTCAGCCTCCCAAGTAGCTGGGATTACAGGCACCTGCCACCATGCCCAGCTATTTTTTTTCTTTTTTTTTTTTTTAGTACAGACGGGGTTTCACCATGTTGGCTAGGCTGGTCTGGAACTCCTGACCTCAGTCGACCCACCTGCCTCGGCCTCCCAAAGTGCTGGGATTACAGGCGTGAGCCACCGTGCCCAGCCCAAGTGAAAAACTCTTTACCACAATTAATAGGTGAGTTCATTAGGGATGATAGCACACCCTTCAGAAACCGTATTTACTACAGATCTCCCACAACTATCACACTCAATACTAACTAAAAGGCCAGAGGATTGGATTCATATAACTTTTTTAAAAGTACACATATATTTTATAAATATAAGGATATTATTTGCACTAGCAATTTATCTGTATTCCTAAAGTGTCATACAAATGATTCTTGCAAATCTGTTTTAACTAGGGAGAAAACAATGTATTGAGATAGTTGGACTAGACCTATCTACCACTAACACTAAACTTGGAAGAAAAGATCCAAGAGTTCATAGCTTAATTCTAAACCATCTATGCTTCTCACTTGAAAACAGAGAAGGGCTGATGTAAATGAGTTGTGAGGGTATCTGACTACCTTAAAAGCAGAATATTTGAAGGTTTTAGCCCTGGAAGGATTCCTAGGTGAGAAGGCAGCACCTATTTCATATTCTACTTTTGGTTGCCTCCTGGCTTTTGTTTTGTGACCTCAACCAGACTCCTTGTGTAGGTTACAATTTATTTGTGGATGTGAACCCGGGCTCCTTTTGTAGGTTATAGTTTATTTGTGGGTGTGAACCCCCTTCCTTTGCCTGGTTCAATTTCTTCAGTGGTTTAGGAAAGACACCCCTCCAAGCAGTGGCCTGTTTTAAATCCGTAGGCCTCTCTTCCTACCACTCACTTCTTGGCCCAACCCCCCTTCACATTCCTCTGCTTGGGAAGATATTGGGGCAAAAAAGGCCTCATACATTTTTTATTAAGAAACCATTTTCTCTCTAGGATGGGCACAAGGTGCAGGGCTATTTCCTTACATTAGAAGGTATTTTAAAACCTGGGCTGGAGACGCCATGCTGTAAATTTAAAATAAAAAAAAAATGTAAGCCGAACCTTCTTTTTAACCTTAAGAATAGTCTTCACTATTCTCCACCACCTTCCCACCGGCTGTGTAGAAATAACGACCACCAAATGAGAATAGGCTATTTACTCAGAGCTGGCAAGAGTCAGCCGCGACCCATCACTTGATTTAACAGACTCATAGGCAGGCAGGGGAGTGGAAAAGCTTTACATATACTGAAAAAAGGGAGAAACTTCAGGTTGGCTCTGATTGGAGGATGTTGGCATCGGGAAGTTGGAGGAGGGCTATACTAGAAGCAGGGCTTCTTACGCGATTGGTGTGAGGAGCACATTTGGCTTTCTCTGATTGGCCCAGAGCTGGAAGCAGGGGCAAGAAATAGGGAAGCTGCCGGTTAAAGATTAAGTCCTGACCCTTCTGGCCGATTACTGAAGAGGTTATGGGTAGGAGGTCATGGTTAGGTTTGGCCATTCTTTGTATATTCAGTCTCTCAATTGGGTGAGGATTAGATTTTGTTTCTCTTGACCTAGCTAGCTTTTAGCTCCAAAGTTTTGTTTAACTTGGAAGAAGACAGCAGTTCTATTATTTCTGTCAAGGATAAACACAGACATTGGGATCTGAAAAGTATTATGGGAACATACATAAATATCTTCATAGTGAGGGTCAGGCCGGAGAGTCACCCTTTGCCTTAAGCTTCTCCATTTCCTTACTGAATTCCTATTTCTATTATAACTGACGCTTCACTAGCTTCCCTCCCTTTAGTGGAGGGCCCGGCCTCCTCCGCCCCTACTTTCTTCAGTCTTGCCCTTCGAGGGCAGGAGAAGACGGTTGCGCCCTACTAACTCTTCACCTTACAGTCCAGCTTCTCCCCCCACCACCCCGGTGCGCTCTCTCGGTTTGCTACCCTCTCCACCAGGCCTCCCCACTCCACCTGCGCAACGCCCCCAGCTCCGTGCTCTCCGGAGTAATCCCCCCTCAGTCGCACTCTCACAGCCCGGCCCCTGCCCCCGCCTCACCCCCAGTTGTGCCTTCACCTCCCGGTTCCTCCTAGACAGGTCCCCCAAGATACGCCCTCACAGTCCGGTCCCCCGCCGTCCTCTCCCGGCGCACGCTCAAGTCCGGTGCCTTCCCCCCGCAGACCCCCGAGGCGCACCCTCAAGCTCGGTGCCTCTGCGCCCCCCGCAGGGGCGCCCTCAAGCCTGGTACCCTTCACATGAGAGCCCCCCGGGCGCACCCTCAAGCTCGGTGTACCCCCCCATACCACCCGCAGGCGCGCCCTCATGCCCGAAGACTTCCCCCGCCCAGGTGCACCCTCAAGCCCGGTGCCTTCCCCCACAACCAGCGCCCCCAGGCGCACCCTCAAGCCCGGAGCCTACCCGCCGCCAGGCGCGCCCTACAGGCTCGCCCCGTCCCACCGCGCAGCGCCCCCCGCGCACTCTCTGGAGTCCTCCCTCCTGCCTGGTGCGGCCTCCGGGCCCGGTCGGCCCCCCTTCCTGCCCCCACACTCAGACGCGCGCCCGGCGTCTCCGGGTCGCTAGTTCCGCGCCTTCCTGCATGGAGGCGCGCCCCGAGAGGCTCGGACGCGGCCCCTTAGGCCCGGCATCAGCCTCCCCGGCCAGCTGGAGAAGTCAGGTCAGCTTCCTGTCCCCGAGCAGCTGCCCGGGGGCCAGTTTTCAAAACATATCCTTAGTCATGTAATAAAGAGATGTTCCTCTGGTCTCAACTCCCGATTTTTACTTTGGAGGGGCGAAGGCAGGCCTACCCTTGCCAGCCACCATTTCTCAATCACGTCGCGGCTGTGGAAAAGCAGCCGTCCTGTCCCTTCAGAAAGGAACTCGTATTTCCCCCTCGAACTTTTCTCGTCGGTGTGAGAGAAGGGCCCTCCATTTTCTCCTCAGGAAGCTTTCGCGGCCCGACTTCCTCTCACCACCAGGCCAGGAAGGCAGTGACGCCGCGGCGAATATAGCCGCGGCGGCCGAGGTTTCGCCATCTTGAGTGGAGGAGGAGCCGCGGTCGCCGCCATGCGGAGAGGCAGGGAAAGAGGGAGGAGGCGGCGGGCGGGCGAACGGGCGAGCGAGGGAGGGGGCAGAGGAGCCGAGTTAGCTCAGCCAGGCGGCGACTTCGGCGGCGCCACGAGAGCGGGCAGCGGAGGAGGTAGGGCTGGACAGCCGGGGGAGCCGGCGGCTCGGGCGGCTGGCCTGCGCGCCCCTCGGAGCGGGGCGGGGGCGGGGGCGAGAGGAGGCCGTAGCGAGAGGGCTGGGTGGGGGCGGGCGGAGGTTTCCGAGGAGGAAGGAGCGTCCGCCATTTTGGGAGCTTCGAGTCAACAATAAAGGACCGAGGGTGCCGAGCGGGAGTGGCCTCGTTGGTAGGACACGGGCCCGAGTCGCGAGGCTTGGGGTGAGGTGGTGGGGTCGAGGTCAGCGGTGCTTTGGGGGCTGTGGGGAGCCCCCCGGGCCGGCTCTGGGGGACTCTCGGGCGGAGGCCTAAGGCCTGGCCGGGCCTGGGGAGGAAGGCGGTCGGCAGCTGTGTGGGGTGGGAGCGCCTGAGAGGAGGCGAATATAGGAATGTGGTGCGCAGCAGGGTCGGCAGGAGGAACAGGCTAAGTACTCGGAGTAGCTTTATCGAAGATGAGGGAATATGAGGCCGAAGGGGGCGGCAAGGACTTAGGGGGATGATGGTGGAGGTTATAGGGTACGAGGCGGCCCTATAGGGGGCGGCAGGGACATGCTGTATTGGAGGGCTCGGTTTAGAAGCAAACCGGCCGCTGCTTGATTGCAGTAGGCCTTGCGGGTCAATAACAAGAGGGTATTTATGGAGCCCCCGACTCTTGGAGGAAAGGAGGGGGATTTCTGGTTTAGGGGGTCCATTTGGGGCCTCCTTGGGGGAGTCCCTATTGTTTGCTACTAATGGAGCGGTTGCTGGCTCATATTGCGCAGATAAGATTGCAGAGCCCCAACCTTTTGTGTTTATGGTCAGAAGTGTGTGTGTTTGGGGCGTGGGGCGGGGTGCGGGGGGACAAGAAATTTCCTTTCAGTTACGGGGTTCCAGTCATTAGTCAATGACTCTTTCCCGTATCTCTCTCCTTTCTCTTCCTCAGCCCCCATTTCCCTTCAGAATAAAACCCAGTCACTCCAACTTGCAGGCAAAGCTAGAAAAACTGCGCTGCATTTGCAAACAAAAGCTCTTGTTGGCGATGACGATACTGTTTTGGGTGTGAAACTGTCAATTGCTAACTACGATCTGTGAAGTGCTGTAATTAACTCCGCTAGGGGCTCCTCCCAACTAGTCTACGTTTCTTGTTGTTTGTTTTTTGTTTTTTTGTTTTTTGTTTTTGAAAATGTAGAAAACTTGCAAATCTAAATTGGGAAGGGGTAGGAGGAATATTTCCTTCTCTGAGAAAAAGCTGCAGTGCAGGTTTCAGTTTAAGAAGGGAGCAGTTATCACATAGTCTCATTTTGGATTTAAGGATATAGGAGGTCTTACTGTGCATGATGGACAGTAATGATGATATCGTTCGGTCTTTAGAGGTTGCCCTTTTCATCCTCTTAGTGCTCTGCAAACAGCTAAGTCTCTGTGAACTGCGTGATATCGCTGATCATAATATAAAACCGTCAATACAGGAAAGTAGCTGTTAACCATATCTGCTTAAGAGGTCAGAGTCTGAAGTAAACAGCTTTGTGTATGTGATAATCAGGATTTGCTTGTGAGCAACTTGTTCATTTTTTTTTTAAGGAAGGCATAATCAAGGAGCATTTTCTTCATAAATGTTGAGATCTGTTGACTTTAAAATTTTGAGTTTCACATGCCTTGGTGTATGGCAGAAAGAATCAGCACTCGTAAGCTAGTGTATTTTATATAAGAAATGTAACGGGGTTGCTGGGAGCGGTGGCTCACACCTGTAATCCCAGCACTTTGGGAGGCCAAGACAGGCGGATCAGCTGAGGTCAGGAGTTCGATACTAGCCTGGCCAACATGGCAAAACCCCGTCTCTACTAAAAATAGAAAAAATTTAGCTGCGCGTGGTGGCAGGCGCCTGTAATCCCAGCTACTCGGGAGGCTGAGACAGGGGAATCGCTTGAACCCAGGAGGCGGCGGTTGCAGTGAGCCAAGATTGTGCCACTGCACTCCAACCTGGGCGGCAGAGCGAGACTCCGCCTCAAAAAAAAAAAAAAAAAAAAAGTGTAACGGGGTTAAATCAAAAGCCAACAGAGTAGGGCTTTGTTTTCGTGTCTTTGTATGTTTTTATTAACTCCAATTAAAAGTAAGATTTCAGCCGGGCACGGTGGCTCTCGCCTGTAATCCTAGCACTTTAGGAGGCTAAGGCGGGCAGATCATTTGAGGTTAGGAGTCCAAGACCAGCCTGGCCAACTTGATAACACCCCGTGTCTACTGAAAAATACAGAAATTAGCCAGACCTGTAATCCCACCAAGCTACTTGGGAGGCTAAGGCATGAGGATCGCTTGAACCTGCGTGGTGGAGGTTGCAGTGAGCTGAGATCGGGCTACTGCACTCCACTCTGGGCAACAGAGTGAGACTCTGTCTCAAAAATAATAGGCCGGGCGTGGTGGCTTACGTCTGTAATCCCAGCACTTTGGGAGGCCGAGGCGGGCGGATCACCTGAGCTCAGTTGTTCAAGACCAGCCTGGCCAACATGTCGAAACCCCGTCTTTACTAAAAATACAAAAATTAGCTGGGCATGGTGGCGCATGCCCGTAATCCCAGCTACTCAGGAGGCTGAGGCAGGAGAATGGCGTGAACCCAGGAGGCGGAGCTTGCAGTGAGCTGAGAGCGCGCCATTGCACTCCAGCCTGGGTGACAGTGCAAGATTCTGTCTCAAAAAATACAATAAAAAATAAAAGTAAGTAAGATTTCCATTTACGGGATAATTTTAAACTGAGGTTGACTAGTTTTGTGGGTTTTGTTTGTTTGTTTGCTTTGTTTGTTTTTAAGTCAGAGTATTGCTCTTGTTGCCCAGGCTGGAGTACAATGGCATGATCTGGACTCACTGCAGCCTCCACCTCCTGGGTTCAAGTGATTCTGCTGCCTCAGCCTCCTAAGTAGCTGAGATTACAGGGCCACCACGCCCAGTTAATTTTTGTATTTTAGTGGAACGGAGTTTCACCGTGTTGGTCAGGTGGTCTTGAACTCCTGACCTCAGGTGATCCACCAGTCTTGGCCTCCCAAAGTGTTGGGATTACAGGCGTGAGCTACCGTGCCCCTCCTACCAGTTCTTTTTTTTTTTTTTAAACTATTAATTAGCTTTACTACTCTGGATTTCTTGGAAAGTTTTCTTAAAATTACTAGTGTGTTTAGTCTTCCGCGGATTTTTTTTTAAACAGGAATTTTCCTGTTTTTTTAAATTTAAAATTAGAATAGTTATTAGCTAAGTTTGTTATAAATGAATAAAATTATTAGAGTCATCTTGGTTTTGTCAATTTCAAAATAAAAATTCATTTATACAAAATTTGTGTATATCATCCGTCCTTGGGATCATTACTTGCTGGATGCATTATGGCAGAAATACACTATTCTCTTGACTGCTTCATTTATTGTTTTAAAGGACAAAAAGGAAAAAAGAAAATACATTTTTCTTCTTAAAGTTTTTTGTTGTTTTTTGAGACAAGGTCTCTGTCACCTGGCTCACTGCAGCCTCCGTCTGCCAGGTTCAAGCGATTCTCGTGCTTCAGCCTCCCAAGTAGCTGGGACTCCATTACAGGTGTGCACCACCATGCCCGGCTAAATTTTGTTTTTTGTTTTTTTTTTCTTGTTTGTTTTTGTTTTTGAGACGGAGTCTGGCTCTGTCGCTGAGGCTGGAGTGCAGTGGCACAATCTTGGCTCACTGCAACCTCCGCCTCCTGGGTTCAAGCAGTTCTCTGCCTCAGCCTCCCAAGTAGCTGGAATTACAGGCGCTCGCCACCACGCCTGGCTAATTTTTGTATTTTTAGTAGAGACAGGGTTTCACCATCTTGGCCAGGCTGATCCTGAACTCCTGACCTCATGATCCACCTTCCTCGGCCTCCTAAAGTGCTGGGATTACAGGCATGAGCCACTGCACCCGGCCTAAATTTTGTATTTTTAGTAGAGATGGGGTTTCGCTATGTTGTCCAGGCTGGTCTCTAACTCCTGACCTCAAGAGATCGCCCGCATTGGCCTCTCAAAGTGCTGCGATTACAGGCCTGAGCCACCAGCACCCAGCCCATAAAGTTTAATAGTTGAAATTTGTAAGGGCACAAAGGTGTTTTTTTCTGGAAGTGTGAAGTTCAAGTCAAAAGCTCACTTAAATCTATAAGGACTCTCGGTTGCTATTACAAGTAGAAGAAAATTAATGAATTGTCTTGTTTAAATTGTGTGATACTTCAGTGAGTTGTAATGCAATTAAGTATAATGAATCACTGACTTTTAGAGATGTCAGAGACTTAGAGAATTCATGGGGAGGAAACTGAAGAGAAGAGATTATCATTGACGAGTAGTGCTAATTTACTAGTCTCTTTCTACTTAATCTCTGGATTGCTTTGAATTAACAATTTTAAATGTTTGATATTGGCCTCATTGTGTTTTTGAGATAGTTCAAAGTTGTGTCTATCCTAGCTTGGCTCGTGATTTGGTCTAAGTGTAGCTGTATTATTAATTCTTTAATATAAAAGATGAGAATTCTTTTAAAGGGGTTCTTTTAAAAGGGAAACAAAGTTTTTCTGTTGTGTTTGCTAATTTAATTTTGTTTGTTTGTTTCAGATTGACGTGAGTGAATTCAGATATAACTCAAGCTTGTTAGAGGGCTTTTTAAAAATAAAAAGTTGATTCCGTGCAAGAGAGCAAGTTACTGCTGCTTACCGTTCAGAGACTTACAGGTGCTTGCCTGCATTGCAATAAAGGACTCATTTATTGAGCAAGACTTATATTTATCTCTTCATTTTGGAGAGCCTAATAAACTGTTATTACAGTTTCTCTACTGACTTTCAAAAGTTTTGAAGTTTGAAAGACCTTTGCAATTAAAACAGCATGAGCACGGCCAGAACAGAGAACCCTGTTATAATGGGTCTGTCCAGTCAAAATGGTCAGCTGAGAGGCCCTGTGAAACCCACTGGTGGCCCTGGAGGAGGGGGCACACAGACACAGCAACAGATGAACCAGCTGAAAAACACCAACACAATCAATAATGGCACTCAGCAGCAAGCACAGAGTATGACCACCACTATTAAGTAAGTGTTAGAGTAAATTATTAATAAACACTTGTGGGGAACCAAGATTTGTGTTACTTTGGTGTTGACTATTAATACTTATGCCTTAATTTAACCATTTTGATTCCAAATAGAGGACAGATGACTTTGTTTTATGGCCAGTAGGTATTTGCAATAGAATAATATATTTCTGCCATAATTTGTTCAGCAAGTAGTCATCCTGAGGTCAGATGATACACACAAATTTTGTATAAATGGTTTTTGGAAACATTTCTGGCTTTCATAATTAGTGTAAAAGTTATTAGCTTAGTTTGTTGTAAATGAATAAAATTATTAGTCATCTCGTTTTTGTCAGTATAGTTTTTTTACGACTGCACCTTACCCTAGTTAAACAGCAGATAAAGCCAACTTTATGTATTAAATTTAAAGACTCAGTCTGAGTCTTTAGAGTCTTTAAAGACTTGCCCAGCCTTCTGAACTCCAAGCATTATTCACTCAGAAAATTTTCTCGTAACTTTTTTTAGCTTATGGAACTTAGCTTTTTTACTTTAAAAAAAAAAAAAAGTTGGCTGGTTGAGGTGACTCATGCCTGTAATCCCTGTACTTTGGGGAGGCCAATGTGGGAGGATCACTTGAGTCCAGGAGTTTGAGACCAGCCTAGGCAACATAATGAGACTCTGTCTCTACCCAAAAAAAAAATTTTTAATTTTTTTCCTCCTTTTACATATAAAAAGGGAACTAAGAATTTTGAACTCACAGAACACAGTTCTGAACAGTCTCAGAAACCTTTTGTTAACCTTAAAATTGAAGAGCCTCCTCTTACTAGAGGATATTTTTTCTTTTAAAGCTGAAAGTATGTAGGCTATTTGTTACTTTTAAGTGCATAGTTTAAATTACAATATTTGAATGGTAACCATCACTTTAAAGATTCAGTTATAGGAAATTAACATTTAAGATTCTTGACTCCAGTTGATGTTTGGCTTTTGTTAAGAACTTGCCATATAGGTCCGGGTGCAGTGGCACACGCCTGTAGTCCAAGCACATTGGGAGGCCAAGGTGGGCGGATCACCTGAGGTCGGGAGTTCGAGACCAGCCTGACAAACATGGAGAAACCTTGTCTCTACTAAAAATAAACCCCGTCTCTACTAAAAGTACAAAATTAGCTGGGCGTGGTGGCACATGCCCATAATGCTACTTGGGAGGCTGAGGCAGGAGAATCACTTAAACCCGGGAGGCGGAGTTGCAGTGAGCCGAGATTGCACCATTGCACTCCAGCTTGGGCAACAAGAGCGAAACTCCATCTCAAAAAAAAAAAAGGCCAGGTGCGGTAGCTCACGCCTTTAATCCCAGCACTTTGGGAGGCTGAGGCAGGTAGATCACGAGGTCAAAAGTTTGAGGCCAGCCTGACCAACATGGTGAAACCCTGTCTTTACTAAAAATACAAAAATCAGCTGGGTGTGATGGCATGCGCCTGTAATCCCAGCTACTCAGGAGGCTGAGGCGGGAGAATCACTTGAACCCGAGAGGTGGAGGTTGCAGAGAGCCAAGATCGTGTCACTGCACTCCAGCCTGGGCAACAGAGAAATACTCCATCTCAAAAAAAAAAAAAAACTTGCCATATAAAATAATTTAACCCTGGGAATCTTTATAAGATGTTGACACTGGGTTACTGAACTGAGGTATATGTTTTATTACAACCTAGATCTTTTCACTTCCTACAGAAAAATAGCTTATACAAGCTACCAGACTGTCATATAGTTACCGTATGTGGTTCACTAGGACCTCTAAGAACTAATTTTCAGCAGAATTGGTTAGGTCATTGGGAGAATTGGTATTAGTGTATATTCTGTTATTTTTAAGGTGAATGCTTTAATTGGTATAGAAATGAATACTACTTCAGTTGTAGTTTGTCTTGGCAGAATGTAAGTAGGTTAGCAAAATTTAGACTATTTTTAATTTTTTTTATAACTTTTTTTTTTTTTTTTGAGACAGGGTCTCACTTTGTTGCCTAGGCTGGAGTATGGTGGCACGATCATGGCTCACTGCAGCCTCAACTTCCCAGGCTCAAGTGATCCTCCTGCCTCAGCCCTACAAATAGTGGGGACTACTGGCATGCACCAGTAGCGACGGCGTTTTGTCATGTTGCCCAGGCTGGTCTGGAACTCCTGAGCTCAAGTGATCTGCCCACCTCGACCTCTCACAGTGCTGGGATTACACATGTGAGCCACTGCGCCCAGCCTATTTTTAATTTTTTTTTTTTTTGAGATGGACTCTCACTCACTCTGTTGCCCAGGCTAGAGTGCAATGGTGTGATCTCGACTCACTGCAACCTGCACCTCCTGGGTTCAGTTCAAGCCATTCTCCTGCCTCTGCCTCCCAAGTAGCTGGGATTACAGGTGTCCACCATCACGTCTGGCTAATTTTTGTATTTTTAGTAGAGATGAGATTTCAT
Organism: Homo sapiens; assembly: GCF_000001405.40. NCBI lineage: Eukaryota > Metazoa > Chordata > Mammalia > Primates > Hominidae > Homo > Homo sapiens. Next base: position 118,783,620 of record NC_000011.10, on the reverse strand, counting down.
CATGTTTGCAGGCTAGGCTTGAATTCCTGACCTCAGGTGATCTGCCTGCCTCGGCCTCCCAGAGTGCTGGGATTACAGGCGTGAGCCACTGCACCTGGCCTATGAGAATATTTTCTATTTAAAAAATTCTGGGGCTGGATATGATGGCTCATGCCGTTCATCCCATCACTTTGGGAGGCTGAGGTGGGAAGATCACTTGAGGCCAGGAGTTTGAGACTAACCTGGGCAACATAGCAAGACCCTGTCTCTACAAATAATAAAGGCTGCAGTGAGCTATGATCGCACCACTGCACTCAAGCCTGGGTGACAGGGTAAGACCCCATCTCAAAGAAATAAAAAATAAATTCTGATTTGGGGACAACAGTGGATTTTGATTTTTCTTTTCTGGTTTTCCTACGATTAATGGTTTCTTTTCAGTTCTGCGGTTCTTCAAATCTCATTTTCTCTGCCCTCTCTTCCATGAAGTCCTCTAGATCCCATCAAGTGTCTCAGAACACTTCTAATACTTAACCTCCGTCACTTACTTTCTCATTTTAAATAGTTTTTTCATCTCATAAGATTATAAATTTCTTGTGGTCAGGTTTTGCATTGTATCTTACGCATTATTATTCACTATTTTGTTGAATTCAACGGTATGTCAAACTGACATCAGAAACTTCGATGATACAGGCTTAGATGAAAGGCTTTAGTAGGCCGGGTGAGGTGGCTCACGCCTGTAATCCCAGCACTTTGGGAGGCCAAGGCAGGAGGATCACGAGGTCAGGAGTTTGAGACCAGCTGAATCCCCGTCTCTACTAAAAATACAAAAACTAGCCAGGTGTAGTGGCAAGCTCCTGTAATCCCAGCTGCTCTGGAGGCTGAGGCAGGAGAATTGCTTGAACCCCGGGAGGTGGAGGTTGCAGTAAGCCGAGATCATGCCACTGCACTCTAGCCTGGGTGACATAGCAAGACTCCATCTCAGAAAAAAAAAAAAAAGGCTTTAGTACAGTAGTAGTCTTGGAATTGGTAGCAAAAAGTTACCAATGTTAGAGTATGCATTATGTAGGACCTAGTTTTAAGTAAAATAAGTGGTCTTTTTGTCTGTGAATGGAGCATTTGAGATGTTTTGGGGACTCTGGTTATGTAAGAACAGCTGCAGTGAAAACTTTTTCGAAGATGTCACAGTTAAATACTTTGTCTGCAGATGTTCCCTGATCTTTTTTTTTTTTTTAAAGATGCTTTGAGTATTTATTACTTGAGGTTTTTACCTGGCCAAAAAGAGAGTTTATTTATATTCTCCTTGTTTTTATTCTCTTTCATGATTTCTAGCATTTCCAATAAAAAAGAAAGATTAAGAGATGCTCATTGGCTAATACTGTGCTATTATTTTGCCAGGCACTGTGCTGAGTGCATTATATCAATTGTTTGATGTAACTGTTAACCTATTTTGTTTTATTTATTTATTTGGAACGGAGCCTTGCTCTGGCGCAGGATCTTGGCTCCCGGGTTCAAGCAATTCTCCTGCCTCAGCCTCTTGAGTAGCTGGGATTACAGGCACATGCCACCATGGCTGGCTAATTTTTGTATTTTTGGTAGAGAGTGGGTTTCACCGTATTGGCCAGGCTACTCTCGAACTCCTGACCTCAGGTGATCCGCTTGCCTTGGCCTCCCAAAGTGTTGGGATTACAGGTGTGCGCCCACCTTATTTATTTTTGAGACAGAGTCTCCCTCTGTCACTCAGGCTGGAGTGCAGTGTCGTGAGCTTGGCTCACTGCAGTGTCCGCCTCCCAGGTTCAAGTGATTCCCCTGCCTCAGCCTCCCGAGTAGCTGGGACTACAGTTGTGTCCCACCATGCCTGGCTAATTTTTGTATTTTCAGTAGAGGTGGGGTTTCACCATATTGGCCAGGCTGGTCTCGAACTCCTGACCTCAAGTGATCCGCCCACCTTGGCCTCCCAAAGTGCTGGGATTACTGATGGGAGCCACCACGCCTGGCCTGTTAACCTATTTTAAAAATGAGAATAGCCGGCCATGGTGGCTCACACCTATAATCCTATCACTTTGGGAGGCCGAGGCAGGTGGATTTCTTGAGCCCAGGAGTTATATAAGATATATAAAATCTTACAGTTTTTAAATGTTGAGAACTAATTTAAACTCATTTAAATTAAAACACATGCTGTGTAGGTCAAACAAAACACCTTTTGACAACAGTTACACTGTATACAATATTGCTTAAGAGGATGGATGCCTTAATCCCTTCTGTTCTTGATTTTTTTATCCTCCTGAGATTCTCTATAAGAACACTTTTTCTAAAGTTGTTTAATTATCTTGTTAGATATATTAAATGGAATATATTAAACTTACTGTGCTTTTTTAACACTTAATTATAATTGAGATGAATCATCTTTGTTAGGATGCTATGAATTTTGATACTTCAAGTTTACTGTATTCTCTCTAGACCTGGTGATGACTGGAAAAAGACTTTAAAACTCCCTCCAAAGGATCTAAGAATCAAAACTTCGGTAAGTTGGTTGTAAAATACAAGTAGAATAATGGTGGGGAACTAGAAGTGAGGTATAGCTGTCCCTCGGTATCTGGAGGGAATTGGTTTCAGGACCATAACACCACTGCCACCCTCCTCCTCCAACCCAGTAAGATAGATATTCAGGCTATATATTCCCATTTTGTGGATGAGAAAACAAATGCTCAGCAGTTAGTTCTCTTAGCCTATTGTTTTCAACCGGGAGAATTTTTGTCTCCCGGGGGCATTTAGCAATTTGTAGAAACATTTTTGCTTATCATCAATAGGGGGGAAGCTAAAGGACAGCCCTTTACAACAAAGAATTTTGTGGCCCAAAGTGTCAGTAGTGCTGAGCTTGAGAAATTTGACTTAGCCAAAGATATTTGTAGCTCATGAGTGGTAGAGGTGGGATTTAACTTCATATCTTGTGATTTGCAATTCATGGCATGATATTTGTGTAAAAAAATAACACTATTCCACCAGTCCTTAGGAGACTGTGACCAAGGGCCGGGCACAGTGGCTCTTGCCTGTATTCCCAGCACTTTGGGAGGCCGAGGCAGGCGGATCACCTGAGGTCAGGAGTTCAAGACCAGCCTGGCCAACATGTTGAAACCCTGTCTCTACTAAAAATACAAAAATTAGTCGGGTGTGGTGGCGTGCGCCTGTAATCCAGCTGCTCAGGAGGCTGAGACAGGAGAATTACTTGAACTTGGGAGGCAGAGGTTGCAGTGAGCCGAGATCACGCCACTGCACTGCAGCCTGGGTGACAGAGCGAGACTCCATCTCTCGAAGAAAAAAAGAAGGCTATGACCAAGTGCTCTTTCCCCAAAACATAGTTTTTTAAAAAGCTTGTGTGTCAAAGCAGGGACAGTGGTTTTTCTTCAGGAAAAGTTGAAATACAGATTAAAACAAGTAATCTGCATATATTTATATTTAAGATTGGGCAGGTAAAGTACTAAAGTCAGAGAAGTTTTCTTTCCTTTTTTTTTTTTTTTTTTTTTTTTTTTGAGATAGAGTCTGGCTCTGTCCCCCCAGGCTGTGCAGTGAGTGCGATCTCACCTCACTGCAACCTCCGTCTCCTGGGTTCAAGCGATTCTCCTGCCTCAGCCTCCCAAGTAGCTGCGACTACAGGCGTGCACCACCACCCTGGCTAATTTTTTGTATTTTTCGTGGAGTTGGAGTTTCACCATGTTGGCTAGGCTGGTCTTGAACTTCTGACCTCAGGTGATCTGCCCGCCTTGGCCTCCCAAAGTGCTGGGATTACAGGCATGAGCCACCATGCCTGGCCCAGATAAATTTTCTTAAACACAGATAAATTTACCAAAGGACACCAAATTTACCAACAGTGTTATTTATTCTTTTATTGTTCCTTTTTGTTTGACTAGGATGTGACCTCCACAAAAGGAAATGAGTTTGAAGATTACTGTTTGAAACGGGAGTTACTGATGGGAATTTTTGAAATGGGCTGGGAAAAGCCATCTCCTATTCAGGTATGTTAACCCTTTTTATCACATATGTAAGGTTATGTGTCAACCATTAAACAGTTTTCTTTTTGCTCTGCAGAAGTGATACAGTGAACTAACATTTCTCTCTCACGTATACACACTTTTTCTGAAATTTTTAAGGGTAAATTAGAAAATCATGGCTTTTACAACTCTAAATATTTCGGTGTGTATTTCTTTAGGATATTCTCTTACGTAACCACAGTACAGTTACCTTCAGTTAACATTGATAAAATACTTCTATCTCATCTGTCATTCTAATTATTAATGGACCCAAACATGTCCTTTATAGCAGTTTTTTTCTTCTATACAGGATCCAGTCTAGGGTCAGGTATTATTTGTAATTATGTCTTTTTTAGTCATTAGCGTTTCCCTAGTGTTTGTTCTTCTTTTTATGACATCAGCATATTAAAAATACAGCCTACAACCCCTTCCCCCATCCCTCTTTTTTTTTTTTTTTTTTGGCAACTGGGTCTTGCCCTGTCACCCAGGCTGGAGTTCAGTGGCCTGATCTCGGCTCACTGCAGCCTTGACCTCATGGGCTCAAGTGATCCTCCTGCGTCAGCCTCCTAGTAGCTGGGACTACAGGCATGTGCCACAACACCCGGCTAATTTTTCTATTTTTTTGTAGGGATAGGATTTTGCTATGTTATCCAGGCTGATTAAAACTCCTGGGTTCGCCATAGTGCTAGGATTACAGACATTAGCCACCATGCCTGGCCCCCTTTTTTTATTAATAGTACATTTCCCGTTTTGGGATTTTGTGATATTCCCAAGTAATTAGATTCAAGGTAGGCTTTCTCAGCCCGAATAATGCAGAAATCACATTATGGCCTTCTCAGGGTATCATGTTTGAAGGTGTGCCTAGTGTCCATTTATTCCTCTTTGGTGATGTTAATTTTGATTACCCTGTCAAGATGTTGTGTGGTTTTTCCCTTCTATAATTACTGCTCTTTCCCCTCTCCCTTGAGACGAATAAGCAATCTGGGGTGCATTTTAAGACCATACAAATACAATAATACTATGGCCACCCTCCTCCTCCAACCCAGTAAGATAGATGTTCAGGCTAGGTATTATCCCCGTTTTGTGGATGAGAAAACAAAAGTTCAGAGCAGTTCTCTTAGCGTATTGTTTTCAACCAGGGAGGATTTTTGTCCCCCAGGGGACATTTAGCAATTTGTAGAAACATTTTTTATTATCATCAATGGGGGGATGCTAAAGGACAGCCCCTTACAACAAAGAATTTTGTGGCCCAAAATGTCAGTAGTGCTGAGCTTGAGAAACTTGACTTAGCCAAAGATACTTGTAGCTCATGAGTGGTAGAGGTGGGATTTAACTTCGTATCTTGTGATTTGCAATTCATGGCATGATACTTTTTTAAAAAAATAACAAAATTTCCCCCCTAGTTTTAGCACCCATTGGTGATTCTTGCTTGATCTCATCTCTGCTCTGATGGGTTATGATGACTTTCCAATTCTAGCACTCCCTCTGTATTTGCCCCTATAAAGAAGAAACTTCCCTTCCCCTCATCCATATATATCTGTTATCAGTATGGACTTATACTCACCATTTTTTTCAATTTTTTTCAATTTTTTTTTTATTATTATTCTAAAAATAGCCTAGATCTGGCCAATGTAAGCTCTTTCAGCCTGGTTCCTATGTTTTTATGATGTGTCCCCTTCATTTTTCTTGAGTACTTTCTTGGTTTTTTTTTTTTTTTTTCTCTTTTTTGAGATGGAGTCTAGCTCTGTCAGAGAGGCTGGAGTGCAGTGGCATGATCTTGGCTCACCGCAGCCTTCCCATCCTGGGTTCAAGCAGTTCTTGTGTCTCAGCCTCCCCAGTAGCTGGAATTACAGATGTGTGCTACCACACCTAACTAATTTTTGCATTTTTAGTAGAGACAGGGTTTCACCCTGTAGACCAGGCTGGTCTTGAACTCCTGACCTCAAATGATCGCCCACTTTGGCTTCCCAAAGTGCTGGGATTATAGATGTGAGCCATCGTACCCGGCCCCTTTCTTGCTTTTTGACATATCATGATGCAGGCTTATCTTATACCTATCCTGGCCCAGCATTGGCATCCAAGGATCCTTGATTCTTTTTAGTGTGGAGTAGTATTAGGGACCAAGACCCAGGCATTAGGTACCCTGTTTGCTACTTGGTCCTTTCAGTGGAAAGAGCAAGGAAATAAATGCATGTATATACATATCCACACACACATACACATAAATATACACGTACATATAAACATGCATTATACATAGGCCAGTTTGATAAATGATGACAACAGACATACTTAAATTGATGAAATGATTGAATTCAGGCTGTGCTAAGGACAAACCCTGTGACATCACTGAGTACTTTTTCATTGAGCCAACATGTGTGGAGTGACCTAGAAAGTGTTTGACCTTGGGAATTCTATAATGAATAAGACAGATATATGGTTGCTGTCTTACAGTCTGGAAAGGACAGCTAATTGTACAGGTAATTCACTGTAATATGATGAGTACCTTTCTAGTTGGAATTGCGTATGTATGTAGTCATTAGAGGAAGATGGGACAACCTGGAAGAATTGAGCTGTGTTCCAAGCAGAGAACGCTGGGTAATGATTGCCCAGAGTTGAGAGTGTGCTTTTGGCTGGATAAAGTATCAAAACAAGGATATGCATCATCAGAGGGGTAATTTGGGTGTAGGTATTAGAAATACCTAGGAATCTACTATGATGTAGTTCATGTTAAGCCATTTTATCTACACTGAAGTCTTTTTTTTTCTTTCTTTTTTTTTTTTTTGAGACAGAGCCTTACTCTGTTGCCAGGCTGGAGTGCAGTGGCGCGATGTCCACTCACTGCAATCTCCGACTCCTGGGTTCACGCGATTCCCCTGCCTCAGCCTCCCGAATAGCGGGGACTACAGGCGTGCACCACAGCACCCGGCTAATTTTTTGTGTTTTAGTAGAGATGGGGTTTCACCATGTTAGCCAGGATGGTCTCGATCTCCTGACCTTGTGATCTGCCTGCTTCAGTCTCCCAAAGTGTTGGGATTACAGACGTGAGCCAACACACCTGGCCCACTGAGGTCTTATGAGAGTTCCTTTACAGTAGGAACTGCATCATTCAACTTTTATCTCTAGTACTTAGCATAGTGCCTGTGCTTATTTAGCGTGCTTTGATGAAACTTAGGTAACTCATGTCTGCAGGTGAACTTGGTGTAGGGAACTGCCCAGATTAAATCCCAGCTCTACTCCTTCATAAATTGGTTATTTGGGATCTATAAGTCTTAGACTCCTGACCTATATAATTGAGGTAATAGTATAATACCATAGGGTTGTTGTAAAGATTAAGTGAGATAATTCACATGCTTAGTACAATGCCTAGTACGTGATAAATGCTCAAAAATGTTATGGGTTATTTTATATAATAGTTTCAAAAAAGGAAATTAGTTAATTTAGGAGACGTAATTGTTTTAAATTTGTTTTAAAGAGACTGAGTCTTGCTAAGTTGCCTGGGCTGGATGCAGTGTCAGAATCTTAGCTCACTGCAGCCTCAAACTCCTGGGCTCACGTGATACTCCTGCCCCAGCCTCCTGAGTAAGGATGATAGTGTAGTACCAGCACACCTGGTTGTTTTTTGTTTTTGTTTTTGTTTTTGTTTTTGGTAGAGTCAAGGTTTTGCCATGTTGACCAGGCTGGTCTTGACCTCCTGGGCTCAAGCAGTCCTCCTGCCTTGGCTTCCCAATGTGCTAGAATTATAGATGTGAACCACTGCACTTAGCCCAGTCCTCATTCTTAGTGGATATTTGCTGACTCCTATTTCTTACCTTGTATTAAAATTTAAAATTAACTTTGTTACTTGTACTCTGAGTGTTGTTATAGCATATAGGCAATTAACTCTTCAGCCACTTAACCAATCTGACATCCAGCTTTTTCTGTAAAGTAGAAATAAGTACTCTCCCTCACAGGATTTTTATTGTTAAGATCAAATGTAGTGTACAACCAAAGTATTTTGAAATAGCAAGGTATTGTATGAGTATATTGTTTTAGATACTCAAGGTCACCACTTGTATTGCCTTTTTCTTTTTTTTTATTGCCTTTTTCTTTCCTATTGTTTTGTCCTGGGGATCCATGGAAAGCACAAGATTATGTGTTTCTTAGAATCAATCAGAGTTACAAGTCACAAATATTAGGATTTTAGAACCGAAACAAAATTTACAGATCCCCTAGTAAAAAAATTTTTTAAATTTTTATTTTCATAGGTTTTTTGGGGGAACAGGTGGTGTTTGGTTACATGAGTAAATTCTTTTGTTTTTGAGACAGGGTTTTGCTCTGTCGCTCAGGCTGGAGTGCAATGGTGTGCTCTCGGCTTACTGCAACCTCTGCCTCCCGGGTTCAAGCGATTCTCGTGCCTCGGCCTCCCAAGTGACTTGGGATTACAGGCGGGCACCAGCATACCCGGCTGATTTTTGTATTTCTGGTGGAGACGGGGTTTCACCATGTTGTCCAGGTTGGTCTTGAACTCCTGACCTCAGGCGATCCACTCTCCTCGGCCTCCCAAAGTACTGGAATTACAGGCGTGAGCCACCACGCCTGGCCAAGTAAATTATTTAGTTGCTATTTCTGAGATTTGGGTGCACCCATCACCCCCCTGGTAAAATATAACCTCATGGCAGGCTGTCTTCTAGTATTCTTTCCATTCTTATCTACCTTCTCGTTTTATTTTTGTCATCCCTCCCCCATTCCTAAAAGTATCTCTTCTATCATGCTTGGTTTTACAGTTTTATCCAGGCATTTTTTTTCCCCTAAATATTAAAACTGCCTTGATTAGATGGGTGAGTCTTCTGCATTTGAATATTTGTTTGAGATGGAATTTAGTTGCAGTTTGGCTGTGAGATTTGGAGAATTGGCTGGGTGCAGTGGCTCATGCCTATAATCCCAGCACTTTGGGAAGCCAAGGTGGGTGGATTGCTTGAGTCCAGGGGTTCAAAACCAGCCTAAACAACATGACAAAACCCTGACTGTACAAAAATTAGCTGGGCATGGGGGACATGTAGTCTTAGATGTTCAGGAGGTTGAGGCTGTAAGTGAGCCAGGATTGTGTCACTGCACTCCATCCTGGGCAACAGAGCAAGACCCTGTCTCACAAAAAAAAAAAAAAAAAAAAGACTGTTAGAGAATTAGGCACTTAAAATTATATGCTCTCAAAAGAGCTTTTACATTGACAGGCTGGAACCAGATATACTACAGATTGCTCCCACAACGTATTTCTAGAGCCATCTGTGACCAGTTCTAGGTCTGGATGCTGTGGCCAGTAGAATAATTGCCATTCTAAAGGTATAGCTTTATAGGAACCTAGACTTCTTTGGAAGGCTTAAGAATATACTGTTTTTGTCTGCTTAGCATTATTTGAAACTTTATATTAACTTTGGGGTTATGATTGAGAAAGATGGCCTCTCTCGTTGCTTCTAAACCCTGGGAACACCTCTTGAAGACTTTTTCGAAACTCTAAGAAGGTGAAGAAATGAGAAGTAGTTGATTATTGAGGGAAACATGGAAGCTCCGTACTGTTGGCAACAAAATTTTGTGCCAGGTCAGCTAAGGTCTAATGAGGATTAATAGTTTACTATTTATAGTTAGGAATTATAGCATTCTGAATCCTGTAAATAAGTCATTCTTCCTGCTAACAATCGGTTTATCATGATTGAAAAAAATATTTCCTAAAAACTCAAAGGTTTTTTTTGTTTGTTTGTTTTGTTTTTTTTTTTGGTGTGTGTTTTGTTTTGTTTTCTTTTTGGGTGGGGTCGGGGAGACAGAGTCTCAGTTTGTCACACTGGCTGGTCTTGAACTCCTGGCCTCAAGCAGTTCTCCTGCCTCAGCCTTGCAGAGGGTTGAGATTACAGGTGTGAGCCACCATCCCCAGCCTAAATTAGAGATATAATTAGAAATTACCATCTCCCTTTTTTTTTTTCCTGTTAAGCAGGGGACATTTGTAACAATCATTGCTACCTCGTCTGGAGTAACCATAGGTTGTTTTTTTGTTTTGTTTTATTTTGTTTTGAGACAGAGTCTCGCTCTGTCGCCCAGGCTGGAGTGCAGTGGTGCAATCTTGGCTCACTGCAAGTTCTGCCTCCTGGGTTCACGCCATTCCCCTACCTCAGCCTCCCAAGTGGCTGGGACTGCAGGCGCCTGCCACCACGCCCGGCTAATTTTTTTGTATTTTTTTAGTAGAGACGGGGTTTCACCATGTTAGCCAGGATGGTCTCCATCTCCTGACCTCATGGTCTGCCCACCTCGGCCTCCCAAAGTGTTGGGATTACAGGCGTGAGCCACCGCGCCCGGCCTTTAACCATAGGTTTTTTTTCCCTCTTGGAAATTAAGGTTTGGAAAATAAGAGGAAGCAGTCAGTGTAAATGCAGCTAGTTGGGTGATGTTGAGCTTTTGTTGGTACCACACTTTTGTAAAATGCCTCTCAATGCTAGGAGATTGGAAAATAAACCATTCTTTAATTATAGGCATCAGAAACCAACTCGATCTAACTTAAGCAAAAGGAAATTTATTGGAAAAATAACGGGAATTCACAAGATTGAGAAGGCTAGAGAAACATACTTGGAAATGACTAAGAATTGAGATAGCTCTGAAGGACTTAGGAAGCTGTAATGGATGCACTATAACAATTTAGATTCTTAGGAGGCAACATTCCGCTGGCCCAGTGTGGGCTATGTGTCTACCACTTGGCTTAGAAAATTGGTGAGGCTTGGTCTGTTGGGACAGGGGAGACCAGGGCATATGTAATTCCTTAGAAGGAAATTGGGGTGTTACTTAGTAAAGGGATACTAGAGTAACCAAAACACAACAAATACTCTTCAGTCATTATCTAAACGTTACAGTGAATGTGAATTTGGAGACCTAAGGTGGCAGATGTCAGCCCTAAGCTTGTGGGGTTGGTTTTTTGGGGTTTTGTTTTTTGGGGGTAATAGCTTTATTGAGATATAAATGACATCACACATCAAAAGTATACAATTTAATGCTTTTTAGTGCATTTAGAGTTCTGCAACCATTACCACAATAAATTTTAGAACATTTTGATCAGTCCCACAAAAGAAACCCTTTTAGCAGTCACACCTCATTTTCCCACACCCCTAAACAACCACTGGTATACTTTCTGTCATTCTAGCTTTGCCTAGTCTGGACATGTCATATAAATAGAATCCTATAGTATGTGTTTTTTTTGTGACTGGCTTCTTTGACTTAGCGTAATGTTTTCCGAGTTCATCTGTGTTGTAGCTTGTATCAATATTCCATTCCTTTTTCCTGAATAATATTTTATTGTATGGCTCTATTACTTCTGATTTATCCAGTCATCAGTTGGTAGACATTTGGGGTTGTTTTCCAAGGACTGAGGATTTAATGTGCTATTTTGTGAAAATCTGAGAAGTAGGAAGGGGATTTAATGATCTCAACTGTCATCCGTCTGAAAAACCTAACTTGTGATTTTAAATAAAATAGCAGGCTGCCTTCCCCTGTTCCCTTTTTAAAATAGGAACTGACCCTGCTTTAACCTTATGAAGTTTTATTTATGAATAAAGTTTGTACTATTATAAAAAAAAACATAGAAGGAACTGGCTATTAAGGATAATGCTGCTATGAAAATTCAGGTGCAGGTTTTTGTGTGGAGATGTTTTTATTTCTCTTCGCTGTATACCTAGAATTGCTAGTTCATATGGTAACTCTTTTTAACCTTTTGAGGAACTGCAAGGCTGGTTTCCAGCGTAGCTGTACATTCCCACTAGCAGTGTATGAGAGTTCCATTTTCTCCAACTTCTTGCCTACATGTTATGTGCAGATCTAAGTTCAAATACTGGCTAAAGCATTTCTTGCTTTGTGACCTTGGGCAAACTAATCCTGTTTAGGATCCATTTTGTCAGTTGTAAAACAAAGTACCTAACTTGAAAGTTGTGCTGAGCACATAGTAAGTTTTAAAAAAAGTTTTCGTTTCCTTCCTCCTTTGCCTTCTCCCTGGCAGTTCCTCATAATTTCCTCTTGTATTTCACAGCTTTTTGAACTTGACTTGAATTCTCTTGCTTTTCATTATTTCCTGAGAAACACTGGTAAGAGGCAGTGTGGATGTGCTGAATTCACTGACTGTTAATCATAATGGCCATCATATAAGGCAAAATATCAGGGTGTCTTAACTTACAGTCTATCACATGTACTTTGTTAAAGCTTTATCCTTGAACAGTTTTTGTAGGGTATAATCCCTGTCAAAGAGGGCAAAGGAATAGAAGTCAATGGCCTTAATCAAGTCAGTCAAAAGATGAACTGAAAAGGGGGATTAGGATACCTCTAGTCTAATTCTGTTCTGCCTCACTTGATTGAAAAAAAGGTTTACACTTTAAAGAACCTGACCCAGCAAGTCGTTATGAGACCATCAGAGACCACCTATCTTACTTTTTCAATACTGTAAAACTGAGTAGTGTGCAGGCAGCCTGTTAAAAACTACAGACTACTGGCACCACAGAACCACAAAAGAGAAAACCTGAGGTGACAGGGTAATGGGAGCCTCTGGAACAACTGGAAATAATGGTTCACTTATCTGTGATGAGGGAAGAAATTTAAGACCAAAGGGTTAAAGCCAAGGTTTTCTTCTTTGTTTGCTTTACCTTAATAAGCAGAGTCTTTAATGCTGGCTGTAAGAACAAGACAACAGTATTTTCTTTTCTTTTCTCTCTCTTTTTTTTTTTTTTTGTGAGACTGAGTCTTGCTCCATTGCCCAGGCTGGAGTGCAGTGGCGCAATCTTGGCCCACTGCAACCTCCTCCTCCTGGGCTCAAGCAGTTCTCCTACCTCAGGCTCCCAAGTAGCTGGGACTACAGGTGCGCACCATGACCATTTTTGTATTTTTAACAGAGATGGGGTTTCACCATGTTGGCCAGGCTGGTCTCGAACTCCTGACCTCAGGTGATCTGCCTACCTCAGCCTCCCAAAGTGCTGGGATTACAGACATGAGCCATCGTTCCCAGCCAACAACAATATTTTCACAGTTGTTCTGGCAGCTGTGTTGTTCTGACCATATGGAACCCATTTATATCCTGTGATTGGAGCTCTAGGTAGAAAGAGTGTTGTCGTGGGAGATGGAAGTCATCCTGCTTATTTAGTCATTTCTACCAATAGCAGCTTTAAAGGGCTAAAGCTGTTTTTTGTTTGTTTGTTTGTTTTTGTCGTTAGCCCAGGCATAGAAGGGACAAATGTCAGTGACTGTGAATTTGGTTCCTAGTATCTTAGTTTTAGAAATTAAAAATTCAGGCCAGACACAGTGGCTCATGCCTGTAATCCCAACACTTTGGGAGGCCGAGGTCGGTGGATCATCTGAGGTCATGAGTTCAAGACCAGCCTGGCCAACATGGTGAAACACCCCGTCTCTACTAAAAATACAAGAATTAGCTGGGTGTGGTGGCACACGCCGTTAATCTAAGCTGCTCGGGAGGCTGAGGCAGGAGAATCGCCTGAACCAGGAGGCGAAAGTTGCAGTGAGCCAAGATCGCACCATTGTACTCCAGCCTGAGTGACAAGAGCGAAACTCTGTCTCAAAAAAAAAAGAAAAAAAATTAAAATTCCACATCATGGCCCGGCGCGCTGGCTCACGCCTGTAATCCCAGCACTTTGGGAGGCCAAAGCGGGTGGATCACGAGGTCAGGAGATCAACACCATCCTGGCTAACACGGTGAAACCCCGTCTCTACTAAAAATACAAAAAAAAAATTAGCCGGGTGTGGTGGCGGGCACCTGTAGTCCCAGCTACTCAGGAAGCTGAGGCAGGAGAATGGCGTGAACCCGGGAGCCAGAGCTTGCAGTGAGCCGAGATTGTGCCACTGCACTCCAGCCTGGGCGACAGAGCGAGACTCTGTCTCAAAAAAAAAAATTCCACATAATTTCCTTTTAACAATTTTTCAACGATCAAGCTTTTTCAACGATCTATTGTATTTTATAGTTTGTTGTTGTTGTTTGTTTTGTTTTTGCAAAGAGTGGGGGTGCTTGCCATGTTGCCCAGGCTGTTCTTGAACTCCTGACCTCTCTTTGTATATGTCTATTTATTTTTAAGTAACTTTTGGGAATCCTTTGCTGTTGTCTGGGAAATTTAAGTTAGTATGAACTACTGTTATTATTTGCAAAATAGATAACAAAGTAAGCCAAATATTAAAATGAGAGGTCACCTTTAGTGATGTGACCGTATTTGAGGTAGCTGCAATAGAATTGAACCTTCAATAGAGAGCACATTACAGAACAGAGAAGTAGGCTGTGGGACAGACATTGGAGATTTACTTATTATATAAATAAATGACAAATAGGACCTGAGGTTAAACTTTCCCAGCCTATTCGTGTTTTGTTGCAGGGATGAGGTGTCCAAGCTACAATTTTTCACTGTGGTCAAATTGGTGTGCTAGTCTCAAAATATATATAGTCTTACCTTGGAATTGTTTTTGTTTTTTCCTTTAAAAATTTTTGTAGAGATGGGGTCTCACCATTTTGCCTAAGCTGTTCTCAAACTCCTGGGCTCAAGTGATCGTTTTGCTTTGGCCTCCCATAATGGTGGGATTACAGATGTGAGCCACTGTATCTAGCCTTTTTTTTTTTTTTTTTTTTTTGAGATGAGACGAGGTCTCTTTCATGCTGGAGTACAGTGGTGCAATCATGGCTCACTTCACCCTTGACCTCCTGGCTCAGCCTCTCAAGGTTTATGGACACCCACCACCACACCCAGCTACTTTCTGTAATTTTTGTAGAGTTGGGGTTTTTCCATGTTGCCTAGTTGCCCGGGCTGGTGTTGAACTCCTGGGCTCAAGTGATCCCCCACTTCTGCCTCCCAGTGTGCTGGGACTACAGGCATGAGCTGCTGTGCCTGGCCATTTTTCCAATTTTTATTTGAAGGAGGCTTTGCTTTTGTTTTGTCTGTATTTTCAAGTGCTATTTATGGGTCAGCCTGAGTTCCTCCATTTTCTTTGTTGTTCTCTTCAGATACACACATAACACAGTTCTTATGACATTGGGTTACAATTTAAAATTCTGTGAGCAGTTCTGGTAAATACTGGTTTATAATGATGTTGATGTTGACTGGTCGTGCTGATTTACTTGGATCTCTGCTATTCATGTAGAATTCAAATGTAGGATACTTAGGACACTTAAAGCAATACCGAAAGAGGTATCCTTCAGTGTATTTCAGAGAGGAATTTGCTTGTGTACTACATTCAGAAGTAATTTTGTATTGTCTTATCTCTTTTAGGAGGAGAGCATTCCCATTGCTTTATCTGGTAGGGATATCTTAGCTAGAGCAAAAAATGGAACAGGCAAGAGCGGTGCCTACCTCATTCCCTTACTTGAACGGCTAGACCTGAAGAAGGACAATATACAAGGTTAGTTGAATAAAAGTTTGTTTTTAAACTAAAAATGGGAGTTTCAGCCTTGGAGCCATGTGTAGAAGATACTCTTTTTTTAGTCAGAATTTACATTATCTAAAATTTGTATTCTTTCTTTTCAGGTTTTTTCTTTTTTTAGCCTGATGATGGTCTTTTTATTAAAAATGATTCCCAGCTTTTTAGAGATTTCTAGTTTTAAGAGTATTCTTATATGATACACACTTGTGACAGCATTCCAGTGAGACAGGAAAAATAAGTATTAGTGCCCTATAGGTAGGAAAGCTGAGGCTGGGCACGGTGCCTCACAGCCTGTAATCCCAGCACTTTGGGAGGTCAAAGTGGGTGGATCACCTGAGGCCAGATATTTAAGACCAGCCTGGCCAACATTGCGAAACCCTGTCTCTACTAAAAATGCAAAAATTAGCTGGGCATGGTGGCGCACAACTGTAATCCCAGCTACTCAGAAGTCTGAGGCACGAGAGTCACTGGAACCCAGGAGGTGGAGGTTGCAGTGAGCCAAGATTGTGCCACTGCACTCCAGCCTGGGTGACAGAGTGAGACTCTCAACTCAAAAAAAAAAAAAAAAAAAAAAAGGCGGCTGAGGTCATGAGAAGTTAAATTAGTTGACATTGCTACTTATAAACTATGGAACTATTTCTTGTGGCAGATGAGTGTTAACAGAATTCCTTGTAGAAACATGAACTTCTGTTTAAAGGCTGTGGATTTTGGGATTTTAAGAGCCTAGGCAGTGGGGAATAAAAAATTTTCATAGTTATATTCAATGTAAGTTAATGGAATTAAGATTTCATCTCTGAAACTTTACATTTTTAGCTTTCGTGATCTGTAATTATCTTTTCTTCCCACTTTCATATGATGTAAATAGAGCCTAGGTAGCAGGAGTTTCCTACCTAGGTATTTTACACAGTGAATCTGACTCAAATGTAGTTGGGGCTTTTAGAAATATTGTTAATAAACTTTGAGCTAATAGTTGCGAACTCAACATGCTGAAAGTTTGTAATTAAGAACAGTATTGGCTGGGTGTGGTGGCTCACGCCTGTAATCCCAGCACTTCGGGAGGCCGAGGCAAGGCAGATCACCTGAGGTCAGGAGTTCAAGACCAGCCTCGCTAACATGGTAAAACCCTGTCTCTACTAAAAATACAAAAATTAGCTGGGTGTGGTGACATGTGCCTGTAGTCCCAGCTACTCAAGGAGGCTGAGGCAGGAGAATTGCTTGAACCTGGGAGGTGGAGGTTGCAGTCAGCCAAGATCATGTCACTGCACTCCAGCCTGGGTAACAGAGCGAGATCTGTCTCAAAACGAAGAAGCAGCAGCAGCAGAAGGCCAGGTGCAGTGACTCACACCTGTAATCCCAGCACTTTGGGAGGCCAAGGCAGGAGGATTGCTTGAGGTCAGGGGTTTGAGACCAGCTGGGCCAACATGATGAATCCCCGTCTCTACTAAAAATACAAAAAATTAGCTGGGTGTGGTGGCGGTTACTCAGTAGGCTGAGGCAGGAGAATTGCTTGAACCTGGGAGGCAGAGGTTGCAGTGGGCCGAGATGGCAGCCACTGCACTTCAGCCTGGACAACAGAGCAAGACTCCATCTCAAAAAAAAGAAGAGGAAGAGTTTAATATTTATATAATAGTATTGCTGAGGGAGAGTCTAAATCTGGGACACTATAATAGGTTCTCTTTTCATAAAGAGATTTGTACATTTGAGTTTTCATAATGTCCTGTGTAATGATTCAACTTTTTATTTTTATTTCTTAATTTTTTTGGCGGGGGAGACAGAGTCTTGCTGTGTCACCCATTCTGGAGTGTGGTGTCATGATCATAGCTTAATGCAGTCTTAATCTCCCAGGCTGATGTGATCCTCCTGCCTCAGCCTCCCCAGAAGCTGAGACTATAGGCACATGCCACCATTCCCAGCTAATTTTTTTCATTTTTTTTTTTAGTAGAGATGGGGTCTTGCTATGTTGCCCAGGCTGGTCTTAAACTCCTGAGCTCAAACGATCCTCCTGCCTCAGCCTCCAAAAGTGCTGGGATTCTAGGCATGAGTTACTCACTGTGCTGCCCAGCCCAATTTTTTAATACATCTCGGTATCTAGATTATAAGGGGCAGTGTTTCTTTTCTTTTTTTTTATTTGAGACGGAGTTTCGCTCTTGTTGCCTGGACTGGAGTGCAGTGGCACAATCTCGGCTCACCACAATCTCTGCCTCTCGGGTTCAAGCGATTCTTCTGCCTCAGCCTCCCAAGTAGCTGGGATTACAGGCATGTGCCACCCACGCCCAGCTAATTTTGTATTTTTAGTAGAGATAGGGTCAGGCTGGTCTCAAACTCCCGGCCTCAGGTGATCCACCCACCTTGGCCTCCCAAAGTGCTGGGCTTATAGGTAGGTGTGAGCCACCGTGCCTAGGCTATTTTTTTTTTCTTTCTTTCTTTTGAGACTGAGTCTCACTCTGTCGCCCAGGCTGGAGTGCAGTGGCGCGATCTTGCCTCACTGCAGCCTCTGCCTCCGGGTTCAAGTGATTCTCCTGCCTCAGCCTCCTGAGTAGGTGGGACTACAGGTGCGTGCCACCACGCCTGGATAATTTTTGTATTTTTAGTACAGATGGGGTTTCACCATGTTGGTCAGGCTGCTCTCGAACTCCTGACCTCAGGTGATCTGCCCACCTTGGCCTCCCAGAGTGCTGGGATTACAGGCGTGAGCCACTGCATCATAAGGTGCAGTTACAGGTGTGAGCCACTGCATCATAAGGCGCAGTATTTCTATAGCTTCTTAAATTTTGTAAATAATGATGTATAGCATGTTCTCCCACCTCACCCCATATTTTCTTATATATTCCTTGATACTGTTTCAGCAATGGTGATTGTTCCCACTAGAGAACTTGCTCTACAGGTCAGTCAAATTTGCATCCAGGTCAGCAAACACATGGGAGGGGCCAAAGTGATGGCAACCACAGGAGGAACCAATTTACGAGATGACATAATGAGGCTTGATGATACAGGTAAGAAATGATTACTAAAAGGTAGTGTAGCTCTCTGTTATTTTAGTCACAAGTATTTCAGTAAATTATTAAAAATTGTTTTTAAGAATTAAGGAACAGAAATACTGCAGTAAGAAAAGGAAATGACCACTGCATTCAAGCGAAAAAGACAAATTACCATAATTGAAAACGATATTTGACTTTATTAGTAATTGTAAAACAGCAAGTTTATAATAATTTTACCTGTTTAATTGGTAAAGCTAAAAGTATTAGTAGACGATAATGTGAGTTTGTGGACAAATAGGCTACATTGTAAATGTGGGGGTGTAAACTTACATCTCTATCATGGGCAATTTGGGAGTATATTTTAAAATTATAAATGTATATATAATGTGTGTGTGTGTGTGTATATTTTTTTTTTTTTTGGAGATGGAGTCTTGCTCTGTTGCCCAGGCTGGAGTGCAGAGGCGCAATCTTGACTCACTGCAATCTCCGCCTCCCAGGTTCAGGCCATTCTCCTGTCTCAGTCTCCTGAATAGCTGGGATTACAGGCTCCCGCTACCACGCCAGGCTAAATTTTTGTGTTTTTAGTAGAGACGGGGTTTCACCGTATTAGCCAGGATGGTCTCGATCTCCTGACCTCGTGATCCACCTGCCTCAGCCTCCCAAAGTGCTGGGATTACAGGCGTGAGCCACCGTGCCCGGCCATAAATGTATATTTTTAAGAATCTTTCCTGAAGAAAAAAGTTGGGTAAATGCAGGGCTGTAGGTACAAAGTTGTTTGCTATGGGGTGGTATTGTCGTGCCGAAAAATTGGCCAACTTAGAAGGAGATTGGCTAACTAAATACGTTAAGGTATAATCTGAATAGGATTCTACATAGTCATTAAAGAGTAAAGTTGACCTGTATTCATTTTCATGAAGAGGTTTCATGATACATTGCCGAGTGGAAAAAGGTAACAAAACAGCAAGAATGAGATCACTCATATAAAATTATATCTTGATTTTAGTTAGAATATTATATATGATAATTATGTGATACATTCTTTGTATTGCATAGGTTTTTAAAAAATTATCTTGTTTGATCCTTTTAACAATACTCGGCTCACTGCTCTAGATTAGAGGCATTGCTCTTATGTCAGAAGTCTGGTGTGCCTTCTGCTATTAATTGAGAATTATCCTAAGACAAGAAAGTATGCCTACTGTTGAAAGCAGCAGGTGATTTAGGAAGCTGTACCCCACCCAATGTAGAGGTGAAACAAATATTTTTTAAGCATCCTGTGGTGAAATGGAAGTCTTTATCCTAAAACACATCTTTGTGCCTTTTTGTGTTATTTCCACCTCTATAACACAATGTGTTTCTTCTCTTTCTTTCTTTTTTTTTTTTTTTTTAATTTGAGACACAGTCTTACTCTGTTGCTCTGGCTAGAGTGCAGTGGTGTGATCTCGGCTCACTGCAACGTCTGCCTCCTGGGTTCAAGCGATTCTCCTACCTCAGCCTCCTGAGTAGCTGGGATTACAGGCTCCCACCACCACACCCAGCTAATTTTTGTATTTTTAGTAGAGACAGGGTTTCACCGTGTTGGCCAGGCTGGTCTCGAACTCCTGACCTCATGTGATCCACCCACCTCGGCCTCCCAAAGTACTGGGATTACAGGGATGAGCTACTGCACCCGGCCTAGTTGTTTCTAATAAAAGATAGTCATGTGCTGCATACAATGTTGTGGTCAGTGACGGCTGCACGTATGTCGGTGTTCCCATAAGATTATAATGGAGCTATACAATGGAGTAGGCTATACCATCACATAGCAATGCATTTCTCAGAATTATCATTAAGCAGCTCAGGACTGTAATATTATAAACCTTTATCCTCTTTGCTCAAATTAAAATTAATGAGAATGTATGTTTTCTAAATCTTGCATAGTGCACGTGGTGATTGCTACCCCTGGGAGAATCCTGGATCTTATTAAGAAAGGAGTAGCAAAGGTTGATCATGTCCAGATGATAGTATTGGATGAGGTAATGTCTCTTCATTTGGCATTATACTGTTCTGTACTTTTCTGTGCTTTGCTTATAACTGCCAGTGAATGAAGCAAAAGCTGCTTGTGTTTATGATCTAATAAACACATAAACAATCAGTTTAAATTAATTTGCTTATAAAATGTGTTTTACCCGTCAGAGGGAGTAGATTATAGGCATTCATTGGAATTCAGCATTTTGTCTTTTTCTTAGAGATAGCAGACATTAGGTTTTAATTTTTTAGTAGAGGAGTGAATAACCTCAATGCCAAATTTATTCTAAGTCTCTTTCTGCTCTGTGATTAATTTTTAAAAGCATATAATATATATTGTCTCTTCTCATTTTGTGCATACTACTTTGTACTGTTTGGTTTTTAATCTCTGTTACATGTATTATCTCACCATGTTATAAATGCCTTTTAAAAACTTATTAAAATCTGTAGTCCTGGGATCTAGCCATGTTTTGTACATGTACAGATGGTCCCTGACTTAAGATGGTTCACTTTACAGTTTTTCAGTGGAAGTGATAAGCTTTCATTAGAAACTGTACTTTGAATTTTTAAGATTGATATTTTTCCTGGTTAGTAATATGCTATATGATACTCCCATGATGCTGGGCATCAGCAGCAAACTGCAGCTCCCAGTCAGCCACATGATGATTGAGGGCAGACAGCCGATACTCTACAGTATACGGCGTTGCAGGTGATTTTGCCCAACTGTAAGCTAAGGTAAGTGGAGCATGTTTAAAGGAGGCTAGGCTGAGCGATGATGTTCAGTAGGTTTGGGTAATATTTTCAACTTAGGATGAATTTATCAGAACATAATCCCATTGTAAGTCAAGGAGGATCTATAGTGATCAGCGTTGTTAATGTTTTGACATGAGGTTATTTTCACATTTGGGTTGAGGTTTATTATTATTATTATTATTTTTTTTTTTTTGAGACAGACTCACTCTGTCACCCAGACTGGAGTGCAGTGGCGTGATCTCGGCTCACTACAACCTCTGCCTCCCCGCTTCAAGTGATTCTTATGCCTCAGCCTTCTGAGTAGCTGAGATTACAATTATGTACCACCCACGCTCAGCTAATTCTTGTATTTTTAGTAGAGGCGCGGTTTTGCAATGTTGGCCAGGCTAGTCTCGAACTCCTGACCTCAGGTGATCCTACTGCCTCAGCCTCCCAAATTGCTGGGATTACAGGCATGAGCCACCACGCCCGGCCTGGTTTGTGTTTTAGGTAACATGATTTAATTCAAATCAGACTTTTATCTTTAAGTAATGAGAGAGAACATTTATTAATCACTGGGTACCAGCACTAAGTGCTTTACATGGTTTGTTTTTTTTTTTTTTTTTCCATTTAATTTTTACAAGAAACCTATAAGGTAGGTATCCTGTCAAGTAGTTACTATAGTATGTAGACATCCAACTTCTAATTTGCTTATAAAATACGTTTTATACTTCAGATGCAATAGATAGGCATTCATAGGAATTCAGCTTTTTGTCTTATAGATGCCAGAGTTTAGGTTTAATTTTTAAGAAGAGGAGTGGCTGGATAACTTGAAAGTCAAGTTTTTTCTTTTTTGTTTTGTTTTGTTTTGTTTTTGAGACAGAGTCTCGTTGCCCCGCTTGGAGTGCAGTGGTGCGATCTCAGCTCACCGCAACCTCCACCTCCCAAGTTCAAGCGATTCTCCTGCCTCAGCCCTCCCGAGTAGCTGGGATTACAGGCATGTGCCACCATGCCGGGCTAATTTTGTACTTTTAGCAGAGACAGGGTTTCTCCATGTTGGTCAGGCTGGTCTCAAACTCCCGACCTCAAGTGATCTGCCCACCTAAGCCTCCCAGAGTGCTGGGATTACAGGCGTGAGCCACCACACCTGGCCTTAGCCAAGTTTTTTCTAAATCCCGGTAAAGTAGTTACTACATTATGTAAACATCCAAATTTTAATAGTTTTACAATTTTAGAGTTGTGGAAACTGAAGTACAGAGTAGTTCTGTAACATTCCCACACAGCTGAGAAATGAAGGAGGCAAGATTTCAACCTGGCAGTTTAGCTCCAGAACCTGTACTTTTTTTTGAGACAGAGTCTTGCTCTGTTGCCCAGGCTGGAGTGCAGTGGTGCGATCTCAGCTCAACTGCAACCTCCATCTCCCAGGTTCAAGCAGTTCTTCTGCCTCAGCCTCCTGAGTAGTTGGAATTACAGGCGCTTGCCACTGTGCACAGCTAATTTTTGTATTTTTAGTAGAGACAGGGTTTCACCATATCAACCAGTCTTGTCTTGAACTCCTGACCTCAGGTGATCCGCCCGCCTGGTCCTCCCAAAGTGCTGGGATTACAGGCGTGAGCCACTGCACCCGGCCTCAGAACCCTTACTTTTTTTTTTTTTTTTTTTTTGAGACGGAGTAGTCTCGCCCTGTCGCCTAGGCTGGAGTGCAGTGGTGTGATCTTGGCTCACTGCAGCGTCCGCCTCCCAAGTTCAAGCGATTCTCCTGCCCCAGCCTCCCGAGTACCTGGGATTATAGGTGCGTACCACCACGTCCAGCTAATTTTTGTATTTTTAGTAGAGATGGGGTTTCACCATGTTGGTCAGGCTGGTCTCAAACTCTTGACCTCGTGATTCTCCCGCCTCGGCCTCCCAAAGTGCTGGGATTACAGGCGTGAGCCACCGCGCCCGGCCAGAACCCGTACTTTTAAACACTACACCATACTACCTCTTTAATGAGAATCATCACATTAAAATTCTGTTGTGGAGCTGGGCATGGAGGTATGTGCCTGTAGTCCTAGCTACTCAGTAGGCTCAGGCAAGAGGATCACTTGAGCCCAGGAAGTTCAGGCTGCAGTGAGATACGATTATGCCACTGCACTCCAGCTGGGTGACAGAGTGAAATGCTGTCTCTAAAAATAAATAAATTAATTAAATTCTGTTACAGAAAGCGGGGGAGGTTGTCTGTGTAGTGTAGAATTTTTTTTTTCCCCTAGAAGATGGGGATTATAGATTTTGCCCCCTTCTGCATATTTGACTCTCTGCAGTGTTGGAGAGAATTTATTGTTTTCCACCAGGAACATTTCATGGATGCTTTTGTTGGATGATGCCTTATTCTTTGACCATGTATTAACCAAGACCTTAGACATTATTTTATTGTTTTTAAAATTGTCTTTTCTTTCTACTGCAGGCAGATAAGTTGCTGTCACAGGATTTTGTGCAGATAATGGAGGATATTATTCTCACGCTACCTAAAAACAGGCAGATTTTACTATATTCCGCTACTTTCCCTCTTAGTGTACAGAAGTTCATGGTGAGTATAAATCTGTACTTGGAATCAGTGCCATCCTGTGACCTTTGAGTATGCTTTTATTTGTAATTACATCTTCATATCTGTGAATATACTTTATGCTAATTATTTCAAGCCTTTGGCTCTTTCTTCAGTTGATCAATTAAAGATTTGTTTTACGTAAATTAACTGACTTTTTAAGAAGGTTGTAATAGTAACTTAATTAAATTCCTCATCTTTCACTTAGTTTTTGGTGTCATGATGACATAGCCATTGGTGCTAGCTGAATTGATTCCGGTATTATTCTATATACAAAACAGAGCTTGAGTATCCTAAACTGAAATCCAAAATACTGCAGAATTTGAAACCTTTTGAGCCACGAACATGATGCTAAAAGGAAATGTTCTTTGGATTTTGAATTTTCAAATTAAGGATGCTCAGTCACTAAGTGTAATGCACATATTCCAAAATTAGAAAAAATTTAAAACCTGAAACACTTCTGTTCCTAAGCATTTTGGGTAAGGAATACTCAACCTGTAGTAACTTAGCTGCATTTTTGAGATCTTATATCTTAATTTATTTCTATCGGGTCGGGCATGGTGGCTCATGCCTGTAATCCCAGCACTTTGGGGGGCCGAGGCGGGCAGATCACAAGGTCAGGAGTTCGAGACCAGCCTGGGCAACATGGTGAAACCCCGTCTCTACTAAAAATACAAAAATTAGTCTGTTATGGCAGTGCATGCCTGCATTCCCAGCTACTCGGGAGGCCGAGGCAGGAGAATCACTTGAACCCGGGAGGTGGAGGTTGCAGGGAGCAGAGATCGTGCCACTACACTCCAGCCTGGGTGACAGAGCAAGATTTTGTCTCAGGGTGGCAGGGGGGAAATTCTGTAATGACAGATCATATATTTTGTTTTGAAGAGAGTTGCGTCCCTTACAGCAAGAGTTTATCGGACAGAAACGTATAGGGTATATTTTGAATTTGAGATGAACTCTGCTTTCATTTAAGACGACGACTCATCTTTTTCCCGCTCCCCCCCCAGAATTCCCATTTGCAGAAACCCTATGAGATTAACCTGATGGAGGAACTAACTCTGAAGGGAGTAACCCAGTACTACGCATATGTAACTGAGCGCCAAAAAGTACACTGCCTCAACACACTTTTCTCCAGGGTAAGAAGTAGGCTTCTGCTGTTGAATATTATCTCTCGAGTCCCAGTAAAACAGATGATTTCATCAATTTTCCCACCGTCTTCACTGTATAAAAGTTCGTAGTGTTTCTGGCTTGGCACGGTGGCTCATGCCTCCCAGCACTTTGGAGGCTGAGGCAGGCAGATCACGAGGTCAGGAGTTTGAGACCAGCCTGGCCAACATGGTGAAACCCCATCTCTACTACAAAATACAAAAAAATTGGGCATGGTGGCGTGTGCCCATAATCCCAGCTACTTGGGAGGCCGAGGCAGGAGAATTGCTTGAACCCAGGAGGCGGAGGCTGCAGTGAGCTGAGATTGCACCATTGCACTCCAGCTCTGGGCGACAGAGCAAGACTCCGTCTTGGGAAGAAAAAAAAAAAGATTAAAAAATAATTCATAGTGTTTCCTAAAAGGCAGGTTTAGTTGTTGACCTAAAGTTGATACTAAATGATTAACCAAGTCACAGATACACTTTTGAATAGTTTCTGAAATACTTTGACCTTAACTAGGGTTAATCCTCATTATTCACATATTCTGTATTTGTGAATTTGCTTAGTCACTAGAATTTATTTGTAACTCCGGAATTAATACTCAAGGTAGTTCAGCAGTCATTTGTGGACGTGTACAGTGTGGCAAAGAGTTTAAGTCACCTGACATGCACATTCCCAGCTGAGGTCGAAGAAAGCAATCTCTGTCCTCTTGTTTAGCTCTCATACTGTGAACAAGGGTCCTTTTCACAGTCTGCCATGTTTTTCAAGTTTTTGTTGCTGATTTCACAGTTTTAATTGGCCCCTACACATGGTGCTGAAGTGCTGCCCAATGCTGGTGGCATTGGTTGTGAGTATATTAAAGAAGGTATTCTTGG
The DNA here is from genome assembly GCF_000001405.40 of Homo sapiens. Taxonomy (NCBI): domain Eukaryota; kingdom Metazoa; phylum Chordata; class Mammalia; order Primates; family Hominidae; genus Homo; species Homo sapiens. Next base: position 118,757,888 of record NC_000011.10, on the reverse strand, counting down.
CTGGGCACAGTAGCTCATACCTGTAATCCCAGCACTTTGGGAAGCCGAAGTGGGCAGATCACCTGAGGTCAAGAGTTCAAGACCAGCCTGACCAACAGGCTGAAACCCTGTCTCTACTAAAAATACAAAAGTTAGCCAGGCATTGTGGTGGGTGCCTGTAATCCCAGCTACTCAAGAGGCTGAGGCTGGAGAATTGTTTGAACCCAGGAGGCAGCTGTTGCAGTGAGCTGAGATTGCACCATTGCACTCCAGCCTGGACAACAAGAGTGAAACTCCATTTCACAAAAAAAAAATAAAATAAAATATTTTTAAATGGAAACACATAAAACATAACTACTTTGAATCAGATAATCAATTGTATTACTCTTGTTGACAGTTATGTGGCCCTTAAGAAATATACTCTAATACGGTAAATCTTAGATATTATTATCTTCCATCTATTATTTACAATTTTTACAATTTACCATCTCTCTCATATCATGAGATTCTAAGTTTTAGACCATGTTAATGTTTCTTTTTTGCTGGTTCGTGTTTTCAAGATTTGGCAAACCAAATGAAGGTTTTTTTTATTTTTCTCATACTTATTTTTTTCTGTGCTCAGCTTCAGATAAACCAGTCGATCATTTTCTGTAACTCCTCTCAGCGAGTTGAATTGCTAGCCAAGAAGATTTCTCAACTGGGTTATTCTTGCTTCTATATTCATGCTAAAATGAGGCAGGTGAGTATAAAACTAGAACTTGCACAAATTTAATAAGAAATCTCTTTCTTTATTTTGTTTTAATGTTCTTTTAAATGTCCTGAGTTTAAGAATAAACTGTTCCTTAGTAGCCAAAGGACCTTTCATTTTGACCTCCCTCAGGTTCAATTTTCTAGCAATAAAATAGGGATAATAGTACATATTCATAACTTACAAGGTTGTTAGGAAAATTAAGATAAATGTTTAAATGAGTACTTTGGAAGCTGTCAGGCATGATACAAATGTAAAATTTTATTCTTCCCTTCCTTTCCATGTTTAATTCTCTGTTTAATACAGTAAATAGCCACATGTGGCAATTTAAATCAGTTAAAATTAAAATAAAAAGTCAGTTTCTCAATCACAGCCACATTTCAAGTGCTCAGTTAGGCACCTGTTGCTACTGGATAGTGTATTGGAATTGGAAGTACAGACACAAATATTTCCTTTATTATAGAAGTTTTACTGGACAGCACTGCTCTGGATTTTTAAATATGGCCCCTCAGCTGGCTGATTTTTCTTTTTTTCTTTACTGTTTGCCTTTAGAAAAAGATACAATATCTAAATTTCAGAATTTGATTTAGCAAAAAATAATTTAAAACTGTAACAAAAATGACTTTTTTGTTAACTACATTATGAAATTTCGTAAGTAAACAGTTTCTGTAGACGAAGATATCAAGAACTTAACTCATTTGGTTTTGAAAGCAGCTTAATATCATGGATCACTTATAAACAGATTTTGGGTAGAACTGATCGTCTGGGAGAAATAATTATGGGAAATTTGGGGCTGTATATGAGTGTTAATCAAATGGAATACATTGCTTTCTCCTAGGAACATCGAAATCGTGTATTTCATGATTTCCGAAATGGCTTATGCCGCAATCTTGTTTGCACTGGTAAGTATTTTTGTATTTCCTTTACCCAGTGTTTTTCTCCCAAGTTGTTTTTTGCTTTCTCTGTTCATATTACATAGTGCAACCTGTGACATAGTCCGACACACCCTACCACTACTTCTAGGATTTCTGAAGTTGAAAATGAACTCTTGTCAGCTCCTGATACTGGGTTCCATATCTGAAACTTTAGAAGACTTACTCTGGCACTCATACCTCATCTCTGTCTTTTTTTTGGGGGGGGGGGGGAGGGGGATGGAATCTTTGTCACCCAGGCTGGAGTGCAGTGGTGCGATCTTGGCTCTCTGAAACCTCCACCTCCTGGGTTCAAGTGATTCTCCTGCCTCAGCCTCCCAAGTAGCTGGGATTGTGGGCGCCTGCTACCGCTTAGCCCGGCTAATTTTTGTATTTTTGGTAGAGACAGGGATTTCACCATGTTGGCCAGGCTGGTCTCGAACTCCTGACCTCAGGTGATCTTCCTGCTTTGGTCTCCCAAAGTGCTGGGATTACAGGCTTGAGTGCACCCAGCCTCTTTTAGACACATTTTTTAAAACTTGCTTACAATTACTGGAAAAAAGTAACTTGGGAGCAGAAAGTTATTTATGATAATGTGATTATGAAAGGTAATGCCAGTAATGTGCAAATGCATTTGAATAACTGAATTAAATTAATAAACTTAGGTTATGCTAGAAATATGTGTTAGTATTGTACTGAGAGACATTTCTAAATTGAAAAAATGAAAATTATCTTTTTTTTTTTAAGATCTGTTTACCCGAGGTATTGATATACAAGCTGTGAATGTGGTAATAAACTTTGATTTCCCAAAGCTGGCAGAGACCTATCTCCATCGTATTGGAAGATCAGGTGAGGAAAAAAGAGGTGATATTCTTGGTAGAAGTTCTTTTTTGAGGCGTGTAATGACTAAATTTTGTTCTTTTGTGAAATAGAGTACAGTAGCTATGAGAACAGTGAATTAACAGTAATTCAGTTGTTTGGTATTTAAGACTAATTTCTAATTCTTCTGTAGCATTTATTAAGAAAAGTTAAAATAACTGCTTAATTTGAGATGAAATTAACACATGAGAACTTCACTCATTAGGTGGTATGTTCTGTGACTGTTGTTTAATGTGTATTTTATGGCAGTTTTGACTGCCATTTTGTCATTTGAGAAAGGTGAAATGAAGTACTATTTTGGGCTGCGAAACCTGAAGTTGTAGGGAAACCTGTGTTTGAAGACCATTAAGAAGTTGTTTTGCATACTAAGAATGGCACTGAACATCATTATCAATCCTGTGTGGTTTTGCCACTGCTTGACTTGCACAATTCACATTGATTTTCATATTTTATTCATTAAAATTTTTAAACGCATGTTTTTTAGGTCGCTTTGGTCATCTTGGCTTAGCCATCAACTTGATCACATATGATGATCGCTTCAACCTGAAAAGTATTGAGGAGCAGCTGGGAACAGAAATTAAACCTATTCCGAGCAACATTGATAAGAGCCTGTATGTGGCAGAATACCACAGCGAGCCTGTAGAAGATGAGAAACCTTAACAAGCATGTACGTCCCTGACAGAACAGCTAAGAGGAACCTTTAAATGAGGGAAATCAAAATCTTCTTTCCTGGGGGAAATTTGATGTCACACCATATATAATAGCAATAAAGGGTAAAATACCCACTAGCATAAATGACAGTAAATAATATCTCTTGTGGGAGGTTGTAGTCTCATTCGAGAATCTGTAAATGTTGTTCTTGAATGCAGCTTCCCGGGTAATGTGGTAGATTAGCAGTACTTAAATTCAGAGTCCTAAAATAATGAAAGCAAAAAAGAATGTTTTTCAGCAATTTGTTTTTCTTTTTGAGACAAGGTCTCACTGTCATCCAGGCTGGAGTGCAGTGGTGCAATCATAGCTCACTGCAGCCTGGTTCTCCTGGGCTCCTGAGTAGCTGGAACTGTAGGCACATGCCACCACGCCTGCCTAATGTTTTAAATTTTTGGTAGAAACAAGGTCTTGCTTTGTTGCCTAGGCTGGTCCAGAACTCCTGAACTCCAGCAGTCCTCCTGCCTTGGCTTCCCAAAGTGTTAGGATTATAGGCGCAAGCCACTGTGCCACTGTGCCTGGCCTTTTTTGACAGTTTTGTAGGGGGGATTTTTGTTGTTTTTGTTTTTTGAGAGTCTTGCTCTGTTGCCCAGGCTGGAGTACAGTGGCACAATCACGGCCCACTGCAACCTCTGCCTCCCAGGTTCAAGCGATTCTGGTGCACCTCAGCCTCCCAAGTAGCTGGAATTACAGGCATGCTCCACCATGCCCAGCTAATTTTTGTATTTTTTAGTAGAGTTGGAGTTTCACCATGTTGGCCAGGTTGGTCTTGAACTCCTGACCTCAAGTGATCTACCCGCCTCAGCCTCCTAAAGGGAGGCTGGGATTACAGGTGTGAGCCACCACACTGCCAGCAGTTTTGAATATGAAAGTATTTACATTTCTGAAAATGTAAAATGTTTTTAGCATTTACTCTTAATTTCTAGTAAGTACATTAATCACTCTGATAAAACTATCCATAATACCTTATTAGCAAATGTTTAATCAGATTATGAGGATGGCCATCTTTTTAAAATACCCACTCTGGGCCGGGTGCGGTGGCTCACACCTGTAATCCCAGTACTTTGGGAGGCCGAGGTGGGCGGATCACGAGGTCAAGAGATCGAGACCATCCTGGCCAACATGGTGAAACCCTGTCTCTACTAAAAATACAAAAATTAGCCGGGCATGGTGACACGCACCTGTAGTCCCAGCTACTCGGGAGGCTGAGGCAGGCGAATCACTTGAACCTGGGAGGTGGAGGTTACAGTGAGCTGAGACCGCACCACTGCACTCCAGCCTGGGTGACAAAGCTAGACTCCATCTCAAAAAAAAAAAAAAAAAAAAAGCCACTTGGGCTGGCTCAGTGGCTCACACCTGTAATCCCAGCACTTTGGGAGGCCGAGGTGGGTGGATTACCTGAGGTCAGGACTTCAAGACCAGCCTGGCCAACCTGGTGAGACCCCGTGTCCACTAAAGATACAGAAAATTAGCCAGGCATGGTGGCGGGCGCCTGTAATCCCAGCTAGTCAGGAGGCTGAGGCAGGAGAATCTCTTGAACCTGGGAGGCAGAGGTTGCAGTGAGCCGAGGTCATGCCATTGCACTCGAGCCTGGGCGATAAGAGTGAAACTCTGCCTCATATATAAATAACCCACTCTGATTTCCTAGGTAATAAGAGTGAAACTCCGTCAAATACATAAATAAAATACCCACTCTGATTTCCTGGACAACCTGTCTTCCCATCTTTTTTTTATTTTTATTAAGATGGGATCTCACTATGTTGCCCCGGCTGGTTTCAAACTCCTGGGTTCAAATGATCCTCCCACTTTGGCTTCCCAGAGTGCTGGGATTATAGGTGTGAGCCACCACGCCCTGCCTCTATCATCTTTTGGTGACTATTGGGCTCTAGTTAGAAATGCATGAAACAAGGCTCAGCTTTAAGCAAGGTAGGTTGTTTCAGTATTTCCTAAAGAAAATCTGATTTGACAAAGGATAGTTTCCAAGTTATAGGTGAACATCTTACCTATTTAAGTAACCTAATGTTACTTAAATTTTTTTTCTCTTTCTTTTTTAAATAGAGACGAGGATTTACCATGTTGGCCAGGCTGGTCTCAAACTCCTGACCTCAGGTGATCCGCCCACCTCAGCCTCCCAGAGTGCTGAGATTACTGGCAGGAGCCACCTCACCCAACCAATTGTTACTTAAATAATTTTTAAATTACTCTGTACTCTTTTTTTCCTTAAGTTAAACATCAAACACAAACTCTTGGACAAGCATGAAACTAGCCAATGTTTGCTAGTACTTTGGCAGAGTATTCAGTTTGTGTAAGGTTAATTTTTTTCCCCCGGATTTGTTACGAGTGAGGGCTGCCTGCTATCAGAACATTCACATTCATTCAGGCCCCCAATCTATCTCAGGGTTGCCTACCAGAAATTATTTAATCCTATAACCAGTAGATTCTATAGTAGGCACAGGGTTAGTAGAAACTACTAGAAAAGAGCATTTGGGATGAGGATTGTGAAAACCTATGTATCCTAGTTTGTGTTGCTTTCAGAATGTTAATTTTGTATTCTCTTCTTCTGTAGGCTTTGACAAATTACAAAAGGCTCGTTTGGATCTGTGACACATCGTTTTGGGGGGAATGCTCCTCTCTTTGTGGGTTTTTCATCTTTTATTTTGGAACTATGAAGACTTAAAAGAGCTCAGACATTTTCTTTTTTTAACTGGTGAAGAGAAAAAGGCTGAAAAGAAGGAATATACCTTTTTTGTTCCACTTGTTTGCACTGTGTGCTGACTGAACATTAGTTGCACTAACTGCTGGTTTTTAAAAAATGTTTTCTGGGGAAAGGGGACAAGGAAGGAAAAGAAAGAAGAGAAGGGGAGAAACCCTAAAAAGAGAAGAATCTTAATGAACACACAAGCTTGTCAATGATTTCAAAATTCTCCAACAGCTGACTCTCGTGCATTTCAACTTCTCCCTGATTCCTCATCCGTTTTTTAAGCCTGAAGAGCTTATTACTTATTTGTGCGAAGTGCCTTATGCTATGAGACCATTCAGAATATCATCTTTTAGACACAGCCCGAGGAATCAACAATAGTAACTCTTTCTTTCCGTTTTTTTTTCTTTTTCTTTTAAAAAATGTCTTCTTATTTTGGTTTCAGGTTGAAGTCTCTTCCCTTTCTACCCAGTACTCGAGCCCAGGGCTAGAAGTTGAAACTCACTAGTAATGTTAAACACCATTTTTTTTTTCTTTTTGGGGAGGAGTTGATATGCAACTGCAGTTCATCCGCACTGTAAATACATGTATTTAAAAAAACAATCCCAAGTAAAAATTTCTTCTGGGCTGAGTAGATAAAAAACATCATCGCTCCCAAAGGAAAGAGCAGTCTATCATTGCAGGAGCCATATGACAAGCCTTTGTGCTCTATAGCAGACACTAAAGACTGGGTTACATATGCCTCCAGTAGTAGTATGGCACTTGATGTGTAGACATGTCAGAGCCTTGGCCCTCTTTCCTCTGTGGCAAAGCGTGTCCCATAGAAAATTGGGTGTGTATACTTGTATAACTTTGTAAATAAGTTTTTTTTCTGGGTTCATATATATATATATATATACATATATATATATTTTTTTTTGGATGAAGGTTGCTGGGATTAAGGGGATTAGAGTGATTATGGGAGCAGCTAAAGATGAGAGGGGCTCAGTTTTACGCAACACTAAATTCTAGAAAGTACTTTGGCCTCGTGCTGTAGAGAGCAGATTTCTATGGTACCCTGTGTTAGTAAAGGGGCCCAGAAATCTGGGATGTACTGTTTGCTGCCACACTGTCTCATCTAGTACCTTTGGAGTAGGTTTACCAGAGAGAGCAAGGAAGCTTCAAAACATTGATAATTCAACATTTATTTTGAGAAGCTCTGATTTTGCTTCTTCCCCCTTTCTAAAAGTTTGAGGAATATTTCAAGCTCTGCAACAGGGGGCAAAGATTAATCTACCTTGCAGTGTAGGAATTCTATTGAGTGGCAGTGTCATTGAGCAGTATATATATAAAGCACAGATTTGCATTTCAGAATATTAGCCAGTACCAGCTTTGGTAATGTTAGCAGTTCTGGAGCTTAATTTTCTGTGGATCATTTCCTGTAGTGTGTAAATGTGTTGCCCTCTGCCCGCTTTGATACATAAACTTTTGCAGGAATGGGCAACCTGAGAGCTGTTAACTTTCATGCTACAGAAAGCTGCTTGCCATTCTCTTGCATTGTGACAAGAATTGTTACCTGTCATTTTGCACTGTAAATTGCTGGCAGATGCTTTACAGTCAATAGTGTTGCTTTAAATTGTGCCCCTCCCAACATGCTTGATGTTTGGCCTGATCTCCAGGCAAAAGGAGTGAGATGAATCAAAACCAGTGAACTTTTTTTTTTAATGTTTTTAATTCCCTTTTAACCCAGTGTACTAGGTCAATCAGGAGGCATCTGGAAAGGGGGGGAAAAAAGCAAAAAACAAAATTAAAAAAAATTGATTTCCATATTTTATTTTTCAAAACCCTAAAATATTACAAAATAAGTCCCGCATATACTTTAATGTTTTAACTCTTTTGGACAAAGGAATCAATTACTTGAAGTTGCTTTTTTGACTCTGCCTACTTCTGAGCAAACTATTTGCGACTCACCCACAATTCCTTGGAGATCAAAATCCTACAGATGCCTCCTGATGGGACATAGCCCTAACTCCTTAACAACTGTAGCAAGAACTGCACGGTACAAACCCAAAAAAGAACAAGCTCATCTATTTGGAACCCAAGCCTCATATTTTCTGTCCAGTCAATGTTGGTTACTAAATAGAAAACCTAATTAAGGAAGTAACTTTTTTCCAGGGAGGGGTGGGAGAGGGAATTTAAAAGGTGTCAACTTTTGACCAAAAAAATTGTGCCCTTGTACCGATGCAGCTCTCTTTCTCCCCCACCTCTTGCGAGATAAGAGGGATCATTCATGTAGAAGAAAAGAGTATAAATGCAATTCTGTATCTCGCTAGAGAACGTGTGGGTGACTAAACAAAAAGTGCAGTCTCCTTCACCAACTTTAGACTGCGTGGTGCCACATGCCTGTGGGTCCCTCTTAAAGCACAGACTTAAAATGGAAAGTATTACTGAAGTATAGCCTCTAATGAGGAGTGGCACTTAAACTATCTGGGACACCACTACTGGACACGGTCTTGTAGAGGCAGCTGTCCAGTTTTGGTGCTTGACTCTTGAATAGGAATTGTTAAATGGAAAGATGCTCTGAGGACTAGGTCAAAGCCTGGTCTTTTTTTTTTTTTTTTTTTTTTTCTTTCTTTTTTGGGCCCTCATAATAAGCATTGTTACTATTGGAAGTTGTTTTCACATTCTTTCCAATATTAAATATGTATTTTTTTAAGTAATGATAATATTTTCCAGTGGCTCATTTGGATGAGAACTACCCTCTATTTTTAATATTAAAACTACATCCAACTCATCATTTAGCCTTTGGTTGTACAGTTGTGTAATGGGCTATGGACTGTTACACACCTTACCACCTCTAGGCCTATGTTTTTTCTTTCCCCATATATTCTGATGGGGATAAATACTGTTTTGCCTCTCCCATAGGAATGGAATACATTTATTCTAAAATGATCTTTCACAGAAGTAAGAGAGAGGGAAACCTAAATATACCTCTAAATTGTTTGAAGTTGGTCCCAGCAGCATAAAATGGGTTGGCCCCAAAGGGTTGGAGGGTGGGCTTGGTTATCAGTATTTGTTTTCAGAATGAGATGGGAGCATCTTTCCTTTGCCACGTGCTTTGTGCTTGATAACATCATGCTTGGTTCAAACGACAACTCAGCACAAAGCCTTGAGTATAAATTGTTGGAATCAAAACATCTCATTCTGATGACGTGGTTTAATTTTTTAATTTTTTTTTTTAATAGGGGTGGGAGGGAGGGTACTTTGCCCCAGAAGGGAGGGTGTCTGCACTAAGGATTTAGAAACACTTTGGAAGCTCATAACCTCATCAGAAACTGCCTTTAGCCACACTCCTGACCTTCTAGATGAGTAACAAAAAAATGAAATAAGTTCTTGGAAATTAAGCCATTTATTTTAATTTGCTATTTTTTTCAATGTTCTAGGTATCTTTAAATTTGTTATTGTGGAATCATTTTCCTGCCAGATACCTTTATCAAAATTATTGGCCTCATGAGAGCTGAAGTAAGTCAGCTTTTTGGTGAACTTTAGTGGACTTCTGTGAGATTGTAGTTGTACTTTGTATCTCTAAATCTAAAGATAGTTTTTTAAAACTCCCAAAGAAAATCTGCTCTCCTTTCTGATCTAAAAACTCATCTTTGGGGTAAAGAGTTAAGTGTCCAAAGGTTGTCACAGTTCATGAGGTCAGAGGGAGCTAGCCTGGCACCTGGACTCTGCCCATCCACAGCTGACAGATTCCAACAGAAGTGTATTTAAATTCTCCAGTAGACAATGCTGGGTAAGGGAGGGGGTAGGGCTGGGTTATTAAGATACAGGCTGCTGTATTTTACATTGGTTGTGTGGGAAGGGGAGCCTGGAGAAAACAAAGTCACTATTCCCTTTTTTGAAACAGGAAAAAAAATTATTTTTTGTTCAGTAAAAATGGTAGAGAATTCCAATGTCCCTAGCCACAAGGGACCAGTTCCACTGAGAAGTGAACAGTGGGAACTCAAAATTTCAGAAACATTGGGGGAAGGGAAAATTGGCTTTCTCTTAATTGGCAGATGTTCCAGTGGGGGGGGGGGGGGCTCTGTTTTTGTTGGGATGTGTTATGTTGTATGTACGCATATATGGACCGGAGTCTGCTGAGTTTATAAGGTTCCAAAAATATGGTAAAATCTTGGTTTTTGTTAATTTATCTCAATAAAAGCCCACTGGAACTCCAAATGTGTGTGTGGTATGTCCTTAGTAGCAGCTGTGTGCATAGGAATCTGAGCATTTTGCTCAGGTAATTCATACTGTGAAACAGACATTTCTCAACCCATCATTCCTGTGAAGCCCAGTTGAATTCAGAGCCCCTTCATCTGTTGTAGATACTGTTCCACCATGCTGTCAGATTTCACAGCCTAAATGGAGAACCAAGATAATCGGTTGGGAAGAGGGGAGATGTGGTCCATAATATGTCCAAATACATCAGTAATTACCACCTCCTACAATTGTTCTCAAATGTAAAGCTGAACATACCCCCAAAACCAAGGCATACTACATCTTAACAGTATGAATGGAATTCATATGCTGAGAACTACAAACCACTGATGAAATAAAAGATTGGGAAATAAAAGTTGGGAAAAGCAGACACTTAAAGTTGAGCACATCACTCTCACTACCTCTCTACCCAAAGAAATGCTTAAGTATAACTAAGAAAATAGAGTCAGTCCCCTGTATCTGGGTTTTACGTCTGCACATTTAGTCAACTGCAGACCAAAAGTGTTAGGCCTACAATGGTTGGGTCTGTACTGAGTATGTACAGATTTTTCTTGTTCTCTGAACTACAGTATAACAACTATCTACGTAGCACTTATTGCACTAGATACGAGTAATCTGGAAATGACAAAGTGTGCAAGATGATGTCCAGAGATTATACGCAAACACTACATCATTTTATATAAGGGACTTGAGCATCTGAGGGTTTGGGTATTTGCAAGGGAGGGTGGAATCCTGGAACCAACCCCCATGGATACCAAGGGGCAAACAACTGCAATACCTATATGCTGGAGCTACAAAATAAACTGACAGAAAAATCAGACCTAGATAAATGGAGATGCCATGGTTCATGGACTGGAAGAATAAATCTTGAGTTTCACCAATTTGGTCCAGAGGGTCAATGCATTTCCAGTCAATCCCAATAGGCTTTTTTGTAAATACCCACAAGCTGATTCTATAAAATAACGTGGAATGCTGGGTGTGTTGGCATTCACCTATAGTCCCAGCTATTCAGGAGGATAAAATGGGAACATCAGTGGAGCCCAGGGGTTCCAGGCCAGCCTGGGCAACATAGACCTCTCTAAAGTAGTAAAATTTATATGGGAAGGCAAATTATGCTGTAACAATTCTGTAATAGGAAGAAATTGGAGGAGTCACTACCTGATTTGGACTCAATATAAAGATGCAGTAACGTATTAGCAAAAGGATAGACATGTATTGATGGAACAGAATAGCCGAAAAATAGACCCACACAAATATAGTTGATTTTTGACAGTGCAAAGGCCATTCAATGAAGAAAATAGAGTCTTCAATAAGTGATATTGAATATGTTGCAAAAAATCTTTCACCCATTCCTTGTGCCTTCTATAAAAACTCAAAATGGATCATACGGCCAGGCACAGTGGCTCAGGCCTGTAATCCCAATACTTTGGGAGGCTAAGGCAGGCAGATAACTTGAGGCCAAGAGTTCAAGACCAACCTGGCCAACATCACAAAACACCACCTCTACTGAATATATAAAAATTAGCTGGGCGTGGTGGTGCATGCCTGTAGTCCCAGCTACTTAGGAGGCTAAGGCACAAGAATTGCTTGAACCCGGGAGAGGGCGGTTGCAATGAGCCAAGATTGCGCCACTGCACTCCAGCCTGGGTGACAGAGCAAGACCCTATCTCAAAAAACAAAAGAAATGGATCATAGACCTAAAAGTAGAACATGAAACTATAATTTCTGGAAGAAAACGAGAGAATCCGTGACCTGTTTGGGTTTGGCAGAAAGCTGAACATGCGATGTTATGGAGAAGATTGATAAGCAGCTGTTAAAATCTTCTTATCAATTAAGTGAGCTGTGGAGGATATAGAATAAGTAGTAACTTAGAATAATAGGAATTAGAATTTAGTTCAAGTAAATTCAGAAGTTAAGGAGAAAGCTGGGCCCAGTGGCACACGTAGTCCCAGCTACTCAGAAGGTTAAGTCTGGGGGATCGCTTGAGTACCTGCAGTTCAAATCCAGTTTGGGCAACATAGATCCTGTGTGTGTGTGTGTGTGTGTGTGTGTGTGTGTGTGTGTGTGTGTCTCAAAAAAAAATGTTAAGGAGACTTCAAAGATTTACAGATTGTACATTGGAAAAGTACATTGGCCAGTCACAGTGGCTCACACCTGTAATCCCAACATTTTGGGAAGCCGAGGTGGGGGTATTACTTGAGGTCAGGAGTTTGAGACCAGCCTGGCCAACGTGGTGACACCCTGTCTCTACAAAAATGCAAAAATTGGCCAGATGCAGTGGCTCATGCCTGTAATCCCAGCACTTTGGAAGGCCAAGGCAGGCAGATCACGAGGTCAGGAGTTCGAGACCAGCCAGGGCAACATAGTGAAACCCCGTCTCTACTAAAAATACAAAAATTAGCCGGGCATGGTGGTGCATGCCTGTAATCCCAGCTACTCGGGAGGCTGAGGCAGGAGAATCACTTGAACCTGGGAGGCGGAGGTTGTGGTGAGCCAAGATCGTGCCACTGCACTCCAGCCTGGGCAACAGAACGAGACTCCGTCTCTAAAAAAAAAAAAAAAAGTCCAAAAAAATAAGCCAGGCATGGTGGTGGGCACCTGTAATCCCAGCTACTTGGGAGGCTGAGGCAGAGAATTGTTTGAACCCGGGAGGCGGAGGTTGCAGTGAGCCGAGATCGTGCCAGTGCATTCCAGCCTGGACGACAGAGCGAGACTCCGTCTCGAGAAAAAAAAAAAAAAAAAAAGCCGGGCATGGTGGCATGCACCCTGTAAATTCAGCTGTTCAGGAGGCTGAGGCAGGAGAATCACTTGAACCCAGGAGTCGAGGTTGTATTGAGCCGAGACCGTGCCACTGCACTCCAGCCTGGGCAGAGTGAGACTGTCTCAACAAAAAAAGTCAAGTCAGATAACCTGTCTCCAAATTCAGTTCTTTCACTGCACTACCCTGTCTATAAAGGAATGTGGGGGGACATGTCTTCAATCAGAGGAGCAAAGAGAACGGATATGAAAATCACTTAACAGTACTGTACAGTCTGGTCTAAGGTCAGACTTCCTTGTAGACTCTGTGGGAAAGTATTGATTCTTAGATTCCCCGGTTGTCTTTCCATTATCTCATTAATCTAATTACAGAATAGAGAGTGTAGCAGGTGCCTACATCTTCAGGGCTGTTCTCTAAGCTCACTGTCTCCACAGATTGGCCCGTATGAACCACACTAACATTCCCTTTGGTCCCTGGCTTCCATTTGGGTTTGCTCACCAGGGATTCCCCCCAGGAAATCAGTGGGAAGGAAGACAGTAAGGTCCTCTAATTCCCTAATTAGAGTGTGTCTGCCTCTAATTCCCTCCCTGCAAGATTGTCTCTAGCTGCTTCGTCCTTCAGCGTGAGGTCTCTTACTGAGTCTGAATCTACATGACTCTTGCCTCATTTTCTGGTAACTGTTGCCTCCCTTTGTTAAGTTCTGCTACATAAGTCCTCTTCAAATTATGCTATTACAAGTGCGCCATCTGTTTCTTTTTGGGATCCAGACTGATAGAGTAATTGGTACCAGAAGTGGCCCTGGGAAACAGACTCTTAAAATTAGATCTGGGATTGGGTTAGTCATACTTGAAGAGCTCAATAACCTCCTCATGGGAGGTGGTGGAGGGGAGGCCGGGAATGGGACATGAGTGATCCATGGCATACAGTGGTGTCACAATTCAAATTTTGACTGGTGGTACCATGGGATGGAGTGAGGTAAAGGGCAAGGCATGGGGAAAGGGAGCTGTGACAATTATAGTGACAATAGGCCCTCGAGTGCATGCAGAAGAATAAGAGAAATAAAAATTAGGGACATGCCAGCTGGGTGCGGTGGCTCACACCTGTAATCCCAACATTTTGGGAGGCTGAGGCAGGTGGATCACCTGAGGTCAGGAGTTCGAGACCAGCCTGGCCAACATGGTGAAACCCCCATCTCTACTAAAAATACAAAAATTAGCTGGGCATGGTGGTGGGCGCCTGTAATCCCTCGCTACTCTGGAGGCTGAGGCAGGAGAATCACTTGAACCCAGGAGGTGGAGGTTGCAGTGAGCTGAAATCGCACCATTGCACTCTAGTCTGGGTGACAAGAGCAAGACTGTCTTAAAAAAAAAAAAAAAGAAGGAACATGCAATTAACATTCAAAGAGAAAGAGAAGGCCTCCTTGGGAGTTTTGGTGAAGGGCCCTTATCTGTAGATATTTTTGGTGTTAGCTAATTGATTCCACTGTCCCTAGGACTGAAATAGATGGCAGCCTTTGAAAATCAAGTTTTACTTGATTTGTATAAACAGAAAAGCTCTAGATCTGTTGAAGAGAATTCTGACTTGAGCTAGTCTGTTGAACTCCCCTCAACAAGGCCAGTTCCTTGAATAAAAGGGAATCTGAATCTGGGTCCCCCTTCTAGCCTTTTTTTTTTTTAGACGGAGTCTCGCTCTGTTGCCAGGCTGGAGTGCAGTGGCGCGATCTGGGCTGACTGCAACCTCTGCCTCCTGGGTTCAAGCGATTCTCCTGCCTCAGCCTCCCAAGTAGCTGGGACCACAGGCACGTGCCACCACACCCGGCTCATTTTTTGTACTTTTAGTAGAGACGGGGTTTCACCATGTTGGCCAGGATGGTCTCGAATTCCAGACCTCGTGATCCGCCCGCCTCGGCCTCCCAAAGTGCTGGGATTACAGGCGTGAGCCACCAGGCCCGGCCTTCTAGCCTTATCCCAAAAGGGCTTGTGACTGTTTACCAGGGAGACAAGGGAAGAGGAAATAGACGTTTGAGGACTACTGTAGACCCAGAATAATACGGCTCAGAGTAAAGACTATGCTGGTCAAGTGATCCATGGAGTTTTGGCTTGGGCCCATCTCACAGTTGGCCTAGTGGGTCCCTGAACCCAGGTCCACACAGCATAGTGGGAATGGACAGCCTCAGCAACTGACAGAATCCCCAATTTAGTTCCCTGACCCATGAAATAAGGAATATTATGACAGAAAAGGTTAAATGGAAGACAGCAGAACTGCCTCTTTCAAAATAGTAAACCAAAAACAACACTGCATTCCTGAAAAGACTGAAGCGGTTAGTACCATCAACAAAGACTTAGAAAGTGCCGGATGGTGGTTCCTGCCATTACTCCACTCAACGCACATATTTTGTTTGTTCAGAAGATAAAGGATCATCAAGAACGACAGTGGATTATTGTAAACTTAATCATGTGGTGACTTCAGTGCAATCTGCTGTCCCAGATACTGTGTTCTGTTTGTCTTTTTACGGAAGCAAATCAACATCCCCTGCCACCTGGTATGTAGCTATTGATGTAGTGAACGTGCTTTTTTTTTTTTTTTTTTTTTCCCCCAGACCTGATAGTAAACACTACCAAAAGCCATTTTCTTTCAGCTAGCAGGACCAGCAATACAACTTCGTTGTTGTATGTCAGGGCTCTATTATCCCTCTACGTAGTGTGCAGAGACCTTCATCACCTCTAAATTCTATGGGGTATCATGCTGATCCACGGTATCATGGACGTGGTGAGCAGGATGTAGCATCTGCCCTGGATACTTTAGTAAAACTCAAGCCTGCCAGAGGATAGAAAATAAATCCAACAAAAAATCATGAACCTGCCTCCTCAGTGAAATTCCTGGGGATCCAGTGGGCTGGGCCATGTTGCAATAATCCCTTTCTAGGTAAAGGATAAATTACTGCATTGGCCCCTCCTGCCACTCAGAAAGAGGCACAATGCTTAGTAGGCCCCTTTGGATTCTGGAGGTAATATATATTTGGGTGTGGTACTTCAACCCATCTGCTGAGAAATCTGAATTGTTGCCATTTTTTAGGGTGGCCCAGAACAAGAGAAGGCTCTGAAACAGGCCCAGGCTGCATTACAAGTAGCTCTGCCACTTGTGTCTTATGGTCTGGCAGAAGTGTCTATGGCTGACAGGAATGCTTATATGGAGGCTTTGAAAGGCTTTTTCAGATGTGTGGTAGCACAGCCCTTTAGGAATGTAAAGAAAAGCTATGCCGCCGTCTACAGGTAACATTCTCCTTTTTTTCCCCCTTTTTAAATATATAATTATTCTTTAACGTAGTGATGGGGGCTTGCTATGTTGCTCAGGTTGGTCTCGAACTCCTGGGCTCAAGTGATCCTCCCGTCTCGGCCTCCCAAAGTGCTGGGATTACAGGCATGGGCCACTGCACCCAGCTTCATTCTGCTTTTGAGAAGCAACTTCTGGCTGGGTATCAGGCCTTATTAGAGCCTGGACTCTTGACTGAGAGTTACCAGGTTACCATATAACTGGAGCTGCCCATCATGAACTGGGTGTTGCTTGGCCTATCAAGTTATAGGGCAACTTTGGGCTCTCCTGGTCCAGAGGTCTGAGCTCCTAGAGGAGGAATACCTCTGTCAGGGAACTCAACAATGGTTCCATTAAATTGAAAATTGAGACAGCCACGTGCCTATTTTGGGCTTTTTATGCTAATGAACCAACAAGCAAAGCACTGTTGGGATGATTGATGCTGATGTGAAAGGTGAAATTGGGTCATGACCACACAAAGAAAATAAGGAAGAATATATCTGGAATGCAGTAGATCCCTCAGGGCTACCATAAATGTGATAAATGTTGATGGAAAATGACAACAACTAGGTAGGCTGTACCACTAACAGACCCTTCAGGAATGAAGTTTCAGATCTTATCACCAGGCAAGGAATCAGGACTAGCCAAGATATTTGCAGAAAGCAAAGGAAATGCAGAATGGGTGGTGGAAGAAGGCAGTTATAAATACCATTTATGACCACATGACCAGTTGCAGAAATGAGATTATAGTTATGAGTATTTCTTCCTTATTTTATCATAAATCTTGTAAGTATATATGAACCAATTCTTTCCTTTTCATCCCCTCCCATTCTCCTACTGAGATAAGATGTGTTAGCAAAGTTTAACCTTGGCCAGGCACAGTGGCTCACACCTGAAATCCCAGCATTTTGGGAGGCCAAGGCGGGTGCATCACTTGAAGTCAGGAGTTCGAGACCAGCCTGGCCAACATGGCAAAACCCCATCACTACTAAAAATATAAAAATTAGGCAGGTGTAGTGGCATGCACCTGCAGTCCCAGCTATTTGGGAGGCTGAGGCAGGAGAATCGCTTGAACCTGGGAGGTGGAGGTTGCAGTGAGCTGAGATCATGCCACTGCACTCCAGCCTGGGTGACACAGCGAGACTCTGTCTCAAAAAAAAAAAAAAAAAAAAAAAAAAGGATTATCTTAAGCTGGAGGCAAATGGGAATCAACAGGGGCAGAAAAAAAGCCTTCCCCTGGAGCTTCCCTCTTCAGCTTTAAGTGGAAACTTCTGGAAAATTCCCTCGCCTAGGGAAGTTTCATGACCATGAAGAAGAGGGAAAGTCAGTTGAGCTGGACCTGCATAAATAATCCTTATCTTCCATTAGTTTCCCCCATACATTTATCTTCCCATAGTTTTCTGCCCGTTCAAGCCTAAAGCCCTTTTTCTTTGTCTTAACTCTTATCTATAAATGTATTGTTCTTTGCTAAGATGTGATATAAGTCCAAGTGCTAACCATCCCTTTGGGTTGTTCACCACTGAATTTTCTGCCTTGCGATGTGCACTGCATGCACTGACAAATTGTTTTTCTCTTGTTAATCTGTTTTTTGTCAGTCTAATTTGCTACGCTCTAGCCAATGAACCTAAGATGAGTAAAGGAAAAAGAACATTTTTTCTCCCCTAGGAAGTGAAGCAGCAGGCATTACAATCTGAAGATCATCATCGTTAGTGGTGATGAGCGACAGACGTAGATGTGGCAGAAGGTTCTGGTTTCTCCTTGCTCTTTTCCCTGCTCCATGTCCTCATACTTGCTTTGTGTTTAGCTGTTGCTCCTTTTTGCCAGCTCTGCTGACCAACAGCAACGCTAGACCTACTGCCAGATATTTGGCTGTGAATTCACAGAGACTGTAGATATAAAGAGACAAGCTCTCATGGTCTTCTGCCCCAGCACCCTGGGTGATCCCAACACAGCAGCTGGATGTGTCCCACTTGCAGATTTCCCTGAAAGCATTAACTTGTGCCCCCAAGCTACTGTTTCACGAGAGCCTGTTCATGATTTTTCCGTTGGCTTCCTAGCACCCTTATTGGACCATGACTTCTCCGGGCTGTCTTCCATTAGTTATTTCATCTTGGCAGGAAGTAGAAGGCAGAAGTCTTTCTCCCCAGTTCCCACCCCAACTGGATGTTCCTTTTTTTTGTTTTGAGAGATGGAGTCTGGCTCTGTCACCCAGGCTGGAGTGCAGTGGTGCAATCTTGGCTCACTGCAACCTCTACCTCCTGGGTTCAAGGGATTCTCCTGCCTCAGCTTCCTAAGTAGCTGGGACTACAGATGTGTGCCACCACGCCCAGCTAATTTTTGTATTTTTTTAGTAGAGATGGGGTTTCACTATGTGTTGGCCAGGCTGGTCTCGAACTCCTGATTGCAGGTGGTCCACCTGCCTCGGCCTACCAAAGTGCTGGGGCTACAGATGTGAGCCACCTTGCCCAGCCTTTATGAGTTTTGTTTTGTTTTGTTTGAGACAGGGTTCTCACTCTGTCACTCAGACCAGAGTACAGTGGTAAGATCTCGACTCACTGCAACCTCCACCTCCCGGGTTCAAGTGATTCTCTTGCCTTAGCCTCCCAAGTAGCTGGGACTACAGGCATGCACCACCACACCTGGCTAATTTCTCTGTATTTTTAGTAGAGATGAGGTTTCACCATGTTGGCCAGGCTGGTCTCGAACTCCTGACCTCAGGTGATCTGCCCACCTCAGCCTCCCAAAGTGCTGGGATTACAGGCGTGAGCCACTGCAAACCGCCTCAACTGAATGCTTTTTTTTTTTTAGATGGAGTCTTGCTCTGTCACCAGGCTGGTGTGCAGTGGTGCTATCTTGGCTCACTGAAACCTCCACCTACCCGGGTTCAAGCAATTCTCCTGCCTCAGCCTCCCGAGTAGCTGGGATTACAGGTGTGCACCACCATGCCCACCTAATTTTTACATTTTTAGTAGAGATGGAGTTTCACCATGTTGACCAGGATGGTCTCAATCTCCTGACCTCATGATCTGCCCGCCTTGGCCTCCCAGAGCGTTGGGATTACAGGCGTGAGCCACTGTGCCCAGCCTAACTGAATGCTCTTAAGAGCACCCATGTCACCTCTTCAACACTTTGCTGCTTAGAAATTTCTTCCACCAGATACCCTAAATCATCTCTCTCAAGTTCAAAGTTCCACAGATGTCTAGGACAGGGACAAAATGCCATCAGTCTCTTTGCTAAAGCAAAGTAAGAGTCACCTTTATTCTACTTCCCAACAAGTTCCTCATCTCCACCTGAGACCACCTCAGCCTGGACTTCATTGTCCATATCACTATTAGCATTTTGGTCAAAGCCATTCAACAAGTCTCTAGGAAGTTCCAAACTTTCCCACATCTTCCTGCCTTCTTCTGAGCCCTCCAAACTGTTCCAACCTCTGCCTGGCACCCAGTTCCAAAGTTGCTTCCACATTTTTGGGTATCTTTATAGCAGCACCCACTCCCAGTACCAATTTATTGTATTAGTCTGTTCTCATGCTACTATGAATTACCTGAGACTGGGTAATTTATAAAGAAAAGAGGTTTAAGTGACTCACAGTTCCACATGGCTGGAGAGGCCTTAGGAAACACAATCATGGCAGAAGACACCTCTTTACAGGGCAGCAGGAGAGAGAATAAGTGCCGAGCGAAGGAGAAAGCCCCTTATAAAACCATCAGACCTCTTGAGAACTCACTCAATATCACGAGATATGAGGGAAACCCGCCCATGATTCCATTATCTCCTCCTGGTCTCACCCCTGACACATGGGGATTATTACAATTCAAGTTGAGATTTAGGTGGGGACACAGAGCCAAACCATATCACCAATCAAGCAAGAAGAGAGCTAAGTGAAATATTCAATGTGTTCAGAGAGAAAAACCACCAAACTAGAATTCTGTACCTTGTGCAATTATCCTTCAAAAGTAGACTTTTTCAAACAAAGAGAAATTGAGGGAATTTGTTGCCAATAGACCTGCCTTGAAAGAAGTGCTTTAAAAAGTTCTTTAGAGAGAAGGAAAATAATATAGGTCAAAAATTTGTATCTATATAAAGAAAGGGGCTGGGTGCAGTGTCTCATGCTTGTAATCCCAGCACTTTGAGAGGCCAAGGTGGGGGGATCACTAGGTCAGGAGTTCAAGAGCAGCCTGGCCAACATGGTAAAACTCCGTCTCTACTAAAAATACAAAAATTAGCTGGGTGTGGTGGCATGCACCTGTACTCTCAGCTACTTGGGAGGCTGAGGCAGGAGAATCACTTGAACCCAGGAGGCAGAGTCTGCAGTGAGCCAAGACTGTGCCACTGTACTCCAGCCTGGGCGACAGAGTGAGACTCAGTCTCAAAAAAAAAAAAAAAAAAAAAAAAAGGATGAGTGCTGAAGCAGGAATAAGTGAAGGTAAATTTTATTTATATTTATTTATTTATTTATTTTTAGATGGAGTCTCACTCTGTCACCCAGGCCGGAGTGCGATGGCGCGATCTCGGCTCACTGCAACCTCTGCCTCCCAGGTTCAAGCGATTCTCCTACCTCAGCCTCCAGAGTAGCTGCGATTACAGGCATGCACCACCACACCTGGCTAATTTTGTATTTTCAGTTGATGTTATGCACACCAAAGTTTGAGAACCAGTGGCCTACAACTGATAAGGTAAAAATGCCAGATCCAGCTGGGCACAGTGGCTCATGCCTGTGATCCCATTACTTTGGGAGGCCGAGGCGGACAGATCACCTGAGGCCAGGAGTTTGAGACCAGCCTGAGCAACCATCTCTACTAAAAATACAAAAATTAGCCAGGCATGGTGGTGCATGCCTGTAATCCCAGCTACTCGGGAGGCTGAGGCAGGAGAATCACTTGAACCCTAGGTAGGCGGAGGTTTGGAGTAAGGCAAGACTGAACCACTGCACTCCAGCAAGGGCGAAAGAGTGAGACTCCATCTTAAAAAAATAAATAAATAAAATAAAATAAAAAGAGACCAGCCTCAGGTGCTTCAGTCAAAACATTAAATTCTGGCCAGGCGTGGTGGCTCACACCTGTAATCCCAGCCCTTTGGGAGGCTGAGGCAGGTGGATCACCTGAGGTCAGTAGTTCAAGACCAGTCTGGCCAACACAGCAAAACCCTGTCTCTACTAAAAATACAAAAATTAGCCAGGTGTGGTGGCGGGCGCCTGTAATCCCAGCTACTCGGAAGGCTGAGGCAGGAGAATCACTTGAACCCAGGAGGCAGAGTTGCAGTGAGCCGAGATGGCACCATTGCACTCCAACCTGGACGACAATAGTGAAACTTTGTCTCAACAACAACAAAAACAAATAAAAAAAAAAACATTAAATTCTGAATCGCAGGTGACTGCACCGATGTTATTGAATTTGGCCCCATCAAGTCTTATATTCCATCACCTTTCATCCAACACACTGAGAATTCACTCCCACATGTTTCACTCCAGGCTTTGCTAATACAGATTAGCAAAACCTTCTACCTCTTTGGTGTATAAACCATACAAAAAAAAAAAACAAAAAAAACCGGTCGGGTGCAGTGGCTCATGCCTGTAATCCCAGCACTTTGGGAGGCCAAGGGTGGGGTGGGATCAGTAGGTCAGGAGTTCAAGACTAGCCTGACCAACATGGTGAAACCCCGTCTCTGCTAAAAATACAAAAATTAGCCAGGCATGGTGGTGTATGCCTGGGCTACTCAGGAGGCTGAGGGAAGAGAATTGCTTGAACCCAGGAGGCAGAGGTTGCATTGAGCCGAAATCGTGCCACTGCACTCCAGCCTGGGCAACAGAGCGAGACTTCATCTCAAAATAAAAGGCCAGGCGCAGTGGCTCACGCCTGTAATCCCAGCACTTTGGGAGGCCGAGGTGGGTGGATCATGAGGTCAAGAGATTGAGACCATACTGCCCAACATGGTGAAACCCCATCTCTACTAAAAATACAAAAAATTAGCTGGACATGGTGGCAGGCGCCTGTAGTCCCAGCTACTCAGGAGGCTGAGGCAGGAGAATCACTTGAACCTGGGAGGCAGAGGTTTCAGTGAGCTGCGATTGTGCCACTGCACTCCAGCCTGGCAACAGAGCAAGACTTTTTTTTTTTTTTCCTCAAAAAAAAAAAAAAAAAGAAAGAATTAGCTGGGCATGGTGGTGCATGCCTGTAGTCCTAGCTACTCAGGAGGGTGAGGTGAGACAGTTACCTGAGCCTGGAAGTCAAGACTGCAGTGAGCCATGATTGCACCACTGTACTCCAGCCTAGGTGACACAGCAAAAGCCTGCCTCAAAAGTAATGCCAGATCTTCCCTGGTATAAGGTTGTCAGGAAAGGATTCCTAAGACTTCAGAAAATGGGTTTGGTGGAATGGCTTCATTATACTCAACCTGCTGTTACCGGAAAGGGGTCCCAATCCAGACCCCAAGAGAAGGTCCTTGGATTTTGCACAAGAAAGAATTCAAGGCAAATCCATAAAGTGAAAGCAAATTTATTAAGAAAGTAAAGGAGGGCTGGGCGCGGTGGCTCACGCCTGTAATCCCAACACTTTCCGAGACCCAGGCGGGCGGATCACGAGGTCAGGAGATCGAGACCACGGTGAAACCCTGTCTCTACTAAAAATACAAAAACTTAGCTGGGCACGGTGGCAGGCGCCTGTAGTCCCAGCTACTCGAGACTGAGCAGGAGAATGGCATGAACTCGGGAGGCGGAGCTTGCAGTGAGCCGAGATCGTGCCACAGCACTCTAGCCTGGGCGACAGAGTGAGACTCCGTCTCAAAAAAAAAAAAAAAAAAAAAAGAAAGGAATAAATGAATGGCTACGCCATAGGCAGAGCAGCAGAGCAGCGGCATGGGGTGCTCAGCTGTTTATACTTATTGTTACTTCTTGATTATATGCTAAACAAGGAGTACATTATACATGAGTTTTCTGGGAAAGGGGTGGGCAATTCCCAAAACTGAGGACTTTTCCCCTTTTAGATCATACAAGGTAACTTCCTGATGTTGCCATGACGTTTGTAAACTGTCAAGGTGCTGGTGAGGGTGTCTTTTAGAATGTTAATGCATTATAATTAGCGTATAATTACAGTGAGGACGACCAGAGGTCATGTTCATCACCTTCTTGGTTTTGGTGGGTTTTAGCCAGCTTCTTTACTGAAACCTGTTTCTGATGGCGAAGCTCCTGGCCTTTCCCACTCAGCATCTCCATGATTCCTGCTGAAATTAGACAGCCCCGTTCCAACATCCCTCTTGTCATCTCCAACTGCTATCCTGGCTATCACCGATCTCTTGTAGGATGGTGGTGCTTCTTGTAAGAAGCTTCACACCAGTGGCTTCTTAATGCCTCAGGGAAGGGTTTTTCATTTTTTTTTTTTTTTAGCCCTCCAGGAAGTACAGGTGTCAGAGGCATTTGAACCAGAATGACCCCATCTTGAATGGGTCTGGGTAAAATGAGGCTGAAACCTACTGGGCTGCATTCCCAGGAAGTTCAGGCATTCTAAATCACAGGATGGGATAGGAGGTCGGCACAAGATGCAGGTCACAAAGACCTTGCTGATAAAACAGGTTGCAGTAAAGAAGGATTACCGGCAGAAGCAACCATACCCAGCCCTTCTTTTTTCTTATACACATCTTGCAAATGTGTTTTTTGTTTGTTTCTTTGTTGCTGTTTTTACTTTGAGACAGAATCTTGCTCTGTTGCCTAGGCTGGAGTGCAGTGGTGCGATCTCGGATCACTGTAACCTCTGCCTCCCGTGTTCAAGTGATTCTCTTGCCTCAGCCTCCCGAGTAGCGGGTACTACAGGTGTGCACCACCACACCCGAACTTCCCAGGAATGCAGCCCAGTAGGTCTCAGCCTCATTTTACCCAGAGTAAACAAGGTGAGTGCAATGATCACAACAAGCACAGCGCCTCAGTGGTAAGTGTTTTGAACCACATGGATCTATGATCGAGGCAGTTGATCATGTTCTTGAACCAAACTGTGGTCCACTCACCCACAGTAGCAGAGCCAAACTGTGGCACTGGGATAACAGTGAGAGAAAGTGAGGCATTTGTTGCAGGGCACCAAGCAAGGAGAATCCAGCAGCTCATGCTGAAGACCCAAACTCCTGGATGGCTTACAGGTAAGGGTTTTTGTTTGTTTGTATTTGAGATGGAGTCTTGCTCTTGTTGCCCAGGCTGGAGTGCAGTGGCATGATCTCAGCTCCCTGCCACCTCCGCCTCCCGGGTTCAAGTGATTCTCCTGCCTCAGCCTCCTGAGTAGCTGGGATTATAGGCATGTGCCACCACACCAGGCTAATTTTGTATGTTTAGTAGAGACTGGGTTTCTCCATGTTGGTCAGGCTGGTCTCAAACTCCTGACCTCAGGTGATCCGCCCGCCATGGCCTCCCAAACTGCTGGAATTACAGGCCTAAACCATCGTGCATGGCCTAGGTAAGGGTTTTCTTTTTTCTTCTTCTTTTTTTTTTTTTTTTGAGACACAGACTCGCTCTGCTGCCCAGGCTGGAGTGCAGTGGCGTGATCTTGACTCACTGCATCCTCTGCGTCCCAGGTTCATGCCATTCTCCTGCCTCAGCCTCCCAAGTAGCTGGGACTGCAGGCGCCTGCCACCACGCCCAGCTAATTTTTTGTACTTTTAGTAGAGACTGGGTTTCACCATGTTAGTCAGGATGGTCTTCATCTCCTGATCTCGTGATCCGCCAGCCTCGGCCTCCCAAAGTGCTGGGATTACAGGTGTGACCACCGCGCCTGGCCAGGTAAGGGTTTTCAAAGGCAGAGAGGCACAGATTACAGGCAAAGCCATAAACCAATATATGATGGCTATACATGGGGGTCTCACAGTGAACACCAATCTCTACAAAAAAAATTTTTTTTTAATTAGTAGGGTATGGTGGCTTGTGCCTGTGGTCCCAGCTACTTGGGAGCCTGAGGTAGGAGGATCACTTGAGCCTAGAAGGTCAAGCTTGCAGTGAGCTGAGATTGTGCCACTGTACTCCAGCCTGGGCTACAGAGCAAGACTCTGTCTCAAAAAAAAAAAAAAAAGAAATGTTAGCCCTGGCATGTGGGAATGACCTCCTCCAGGCCCCTCAGGAAGAAATGTAGAACAAGGAACTGTGATCAGAGTTCAGTCCTCAGTTTCCCCTTATGTGAGGCTTACAAGCTGGTGGGATCTGCTTGGTGGGTTTCTGTTTGGTCAGGGTTTCTGAAAAAACAACTCAGGGACATATGGTAAGATGTTATCTTTAGTTTCTATAGGAAACAAAACATCTCCTGACCCTAATTTCCTTAGCAATTATTTTAAGTTACTTTTACCAAAGAAAATGGTCTGGGCGCAGTGGCTCATGCCTACAATCCCAGCACGTTGGGAGGCCAAGGCAGGCGGATCACCTGAGGTTGAGAGTTCAAGACCAACCTGACAAACATGGAGAAACTCCATCTCTACTAAAAATACAAAATTAGTCGGACGTGGTGGTGCATGCCTGTAATCCCAGCTACTCGGGAGGCTGAGGCAGGAGAATCACTTGAACCAGGGAGGCAGAGGTTGTGAGCTTCGATAGCACCATTGCACTCCAGCCTGGGGAACAAGAGCAAAACTCCATCAAAAAAAAAAAAAAAAAAAAAAAAAAACACACAAAGAAAATGACTGAGGCAATGTTCAATCAATTTAGAGGTTTATTTTGCCAAGGTTGAGGATGTACATGGGAAAAAAAGACACAAGCCACAGTAAAATCTGTGGCCCATACTTTTTCCAGAGAAGACTTTGAGGGCTTCAATATTTACAGGGGAAAAAGTGGCGGTCAGGCCTCTGAGCCCAAAATAAGCCATCATATCCCCTGTGACCTGCACGTACACATCCAGATGGCCAGTTCCTGCCTTAACTGATGTCATTCCACCACAAAAGAAGTGAAAATGGCCTGTTCCTGCCTTAACTGATGACATTGGCCTTGTGAAATTCCTTCTCCTGGCTCTTCCTGGCTCAAAATCTCCCCTACTGAGCACCTTGTGACCCCTACTCCTGCCTGCCAGAGAATAACCCCCCTTTGACTGTAATTTTCCTTTACCTACCCAAATCTTATAAAATGGCCCCACTCCTATCTGTCTTTGCTGACTCTGTTTTCGGACTCAGCCCACCTGCACCCAGGTGATTAGAAGCTTTATTGCTCACACAAAGCCTGTTTGGTGGTCTCTTTACATGGACGCACATGAAATTTGGTGCTGTGACTCGGATGGGGAGGGGGGACCTCCCTTGGGAGATCAATCCCCTGTCCTCCTGTTCTTTGCTCCATGAGAAAGATCCACCTACAATCTCAGGTCCTCAGACCGACCAGCCCAAGGAACATCTCACCAATTTTAAATCGGGTAAGCGGCCTCTTCTTACTCTCTTCTCCAACCTCTCTCACTATCCCTCAACCACTTTCTCCTTTCCACTCTTCAATCTCTCCCTTCTCTTAATTTCAATTCCTTTCATTTCCTGGTAGAGACAAAGGAGACATGTTTTCTCCGTGGACCCAAAACTCCGGCGCCGATCACGGACTAGGGAAGGCAGCCTTCCCTTGGTGTTTAATCATTGTAGGGACGCCTCTCTGATTATTCACCCATGTTTCAGAGGTGTCAGACCACGCAGGGACACCTGCCTTGGTCCTTCACCCTTAGCGGCAAGTCCCACTTTTCTGGGGAAGGGGTAAGTACCCCAACCCCTTCTCTCCGTGTCTCTACCCCTTCTCCACCTTTCTGGGGTGCAAGAAACCCCCAACCCCTTCTCCTTCACCCTTAGCGGCAAGTACCACTTTTCTGGGGGAGGGGCAAGTACCCCAACCCCTTATATCTCTGCGCCCCGATCCCTAATTTCCATGCCCCAACCTCTTATATCTCTGCACCCCAATCCCTTATTTCTGCGCCCCGACCTCATATCTCTGTGCCCTGACCCCTTTCCCGCTTTCTGGAGGGTAAGAACCCCCAAGCCCCTTCCCTTCATGTCTCTACTCTCTCTTTTCTCTAGGCTTCACTATGGGCAACCTTCCACCCTCAATTCCTCCTTCTTCTCCCTTAGCCTGTGTTCTTAAGAACTTAAAACCTCTTCAACTCTCACCTGACCTAAAATCTAAGCATCTTATTTTCTTCTGCAATGCTGCTTGACCCCAATACAAACTCAACAGTAGTTCCAAATAGCCAGAAAATGGCTCTTTCAATTTTTCCATCCTGCAAGATCTAAATACTTCTTGTCGTAAAATAGGCAAATGGTCTGAGGTGCCTGACGTGCAGGCATTCTTTTATACATCAGTCTCTCCATAGTCTCTGCTCCCAATGCAACTCATCCCAAATCTTCCTTCTTTCCCTCCTGCCTGTCCCTTCAGTCCCAACCCCAAGCGTTGCTGAGTCTTTCTAATCCTCCTTTTCTACAGACCCATCTAACCTCTCCCCTCCTCCCCAGGCTGCTCCTCCCCAGGCTGAGCTAGGTCCCAATTCTTCCTCAGCCTTGTGGGGAAAAGCAAGAGAGATCAGATTGTTACTGTGTCTGTATAGAAAGAAGTAGACATAGGAGACTCCATTTTGTTCTGTACTAAGAAAAATTCTTCTGCCTTGAGATGCTGTTAATCTATGACCTTACCCCCAACCCCATGCTCTCTGAAACATGTGCTGTGTCAAACTCAGGGTTAAATGGATTAAGGGTTGTGCAAGATGTGCTTTGTTAAACAAATGCTTGAAGGCAGCATGCTCCTTAAGAGTCATCACCACTCCCTAATCTCAAGTACCCAGGGACACAAACACTGCGGAAGGCCGCAGGGACCTCTGCCTAGGAAAGCCAGGTATTGTCCAAGGTTTCTCCCCATGTGATAGTCTGAAATATGGCCTCGTGGGAAGGGAAAGACCTGACCGTCCCCCTGCCCGACACCCGTAAAGGGTCTGTGCTGAGGAGGATTAGTATAAGAGGAAGGCATGCCTCTTGCAGTTGAGACAAGAGGAAGGCGTCTGTCTCCTGCCCGTCCCTGGACAATGGAATGTCTCGGTATAAAACCCGATTGTACGTTCCATCTACTGAGATAGGGAAAAACGCCTTAGGGCTGGAGGTGGGACATGCGGGCAGCAATACTGCTTTGTAAAGCATTGAGATGTTTATGTGTATGCATATCTAAGAGCACAGCACTTAATCCTTTACCTCGTCTATGATGCAAAGACCTTTGTTCACGTGTTTGTCTGCTGACCCTCTCCCCACTATTGTCTTGTGACCCTGACACATCCCCCTCTCGGAGAAACACCCACGAATGATCAATAAATACTAAGGGAACTCAGAGGCTGGCGGGATCCTCCATATGCTGAACGCTGGTTCCCCGGGTCCCCTTATTTCTTTCTCTATACTTTGTCTCTGTGTCTTTTTCTTTTCCAAGTCTCTCGTTCCACCTTACGAGAAACACCCACAGGTGTGGAGGGGCAACCCACCCCTTCATCTGGTGCCCAACGTGGAGGCTTTTCTCTAGGGTGAAGGTACTCTCAAGCGTGGTCATTGAGGACAAGTCGACGAGAGATCCCGAGTACGTCTACAGTCAGCCTTACGGTAAGCTTGTGGGCTCAGAAGAAGCTAGGGTGATAATGGGGCAAACTAAAGTAAAACTAAAAGTAAATATGCCTCTTTTCTCAGCTTTATTAAAATTCTTTTAAAAAGAGGGGGAGTTAAAGTATCTACAAAAAATCTAATCAAGCTATTTCAAACAATAGAACAATTTTGCCCATGGTTTCCAGAACAAGGAACTTTAGATCTAAAAGATTGGAAAAGAATTGTTAAGGAACTAAAACAAGCAAGTAGGAAGGGTAATATCATTCCACTTACAGTATGGAATGATTGGGCCATTATTAAAGCAGCTTTAGAACCATTTCAAACAGAAGAAGATAGCGTTTCAGTTTCTGATGCCCCTGGAAGCTGTTTAATAGATTGTAATGAAAAGACAAGGAAAAAAATCCCAGAAAGAAACGGAAGGTTTACATTGCGAATATGTAGCAGAGCCGGTAATGGCTCAGTCAATGCAAAATGTTGACTATAATCAATTACAGGAGGTGATATATCCTGAAACGTTAAAATTAGAAGGAAAAGGTCCCGAATTAGTGGGGCCATCAGAGTCTAAACCACGAGGGCCAAGTCCTCTTCCAGCAGGTCAGGTGCCCGTAACATTACAACCTCAAACGCAGGTTAGAGAAAATAAGAGCCAACCACCAGTAGCTTATCAATACTGGCCGCTGGCTGAACTTCAGTATCAGCCACCCCCAGAAAGTCAGTATGGATATCCAGGAATGCCCCCAGCACCACAGGGCAGGGCGCCATACCCTCAGCCGCCCACTAGGAGACTTAATCCTACGGCACCGCCTAGTAGACAGGGTAGTGAATTACATGAAATTATTGAGAAGAAAGGAAGGAGATACTGAGGCGTGGCAATTCCCAGTAACGTTAGAACCGATGCCACCTGGAGAAGAAGCCCAAGAGGGAGAGCCTCTCACAGTTGAGGCCAGATACAAGTCTTTTTTGATAAAAATGCTAAAAGATATGAAAGAGGGAGTAAAACAGTATGGACCCAACTCCCCTTATATGAGTACATTATTAGATTCCATTGCTCATGGACATAGACTCATTCCTTATGATTGGGAGATTCTGGCAAGATCATCTCTCTCACCCTCTCAATTTTTACAATTTAAGACTTGGTGGATTGATGGGGTACAAGAACAGGTCCGAAGAAATAGGGCTGCCAATCCTCCAGTTAACATAGATGCAGATCAACTATTAGGAAGAGGTCAAAATTGGAGTACTATTAGTCAACAAGCATTCATGCAAAATGAGGCCATTGAGCAAGTTAGAGCTATCTGCCTTAGAGCCTGGGAAAAAATCCAAGACCCAGGAAGCGCCTGCCCCTCATTTAATACAGTAAGACAAGGTTCAAAAGAGCCCTACCCTGATTTTGTGGCAAGGCTCCAAGATGTTGCTCAAAAGTCAATTGCCGACGAAAAAGCCCATAAGGTCATAGTGGAGTTGATGGCATATGAAAACGCCAATCCTGAGTGTCAATCAGCCATTAAGCCATTAAAAGGAAAGGTTCCCACAGGGTCAGATGTAATCTCAGAGTATGTAAAAGCCTGTGATGGAATCGGAGGAGATATGCATAAAGCTATGCTTATGGCTCAAGCAATAACAGGAGTTGTTTTAGGAGGACAAGTTAAAACATTTGGAGGAAAATGTTATAATTGTGGTCAAATTGGTCATTTAAAAAAGAATTGGCCAGTCTTAAATAAACAGAATATAACTATTCAAGCAACTACAACAGGTAGAGAGCCACCTGACTTATGTCCAAAATGTAAAAAAGGAAAACATGGGGCTAGTCAGTGTCATTCTAAATTTGATAAAAACAGGCAACCATTGTCGGGAAATGAACAAACGGGCCAGCCTCAGGCCCCACAACAAACTGGGGCATTCCCAATTCAGCCATTTGTTCCTCAGGGTTTTCAGGGACAAAAACCCCCACTGTCCCAAGTGTTTCAGGGAATAAGCCAGTTACCACAATACAACAATTGTCCCCCGCCACAAGCGGCAGTGCAGCAGTAGATTTATGTACTATACAAGCAGTCTCTCTGCTTCCAGGGAAGCCCCCACAAAAAATCCCCACAGGGGTATATGGCCCACTGCCTGAGGGGACTGTAGGACTAATCTTGGGAAGATCAAGTCTAAATCTAAAAGGAGTTCAAATTCATACTGGTGTGGTTGATTCAGACTATAAAGGCGAAATTCAATTGGTTATTAGCTCTTCAATTCCTTGGAGTGCCAGTCCAGGAGACAGGATTGCTCGATTATTACTCCTGCCATATATTAAGGTTGGAAATAGTGAAATAAAAAGAACAGGAGGGTTTGGAAGCACTGATCTGACAGGAAAGGCTGCATATTGGGCAAGTCAGGTCTCAAAGAACAGACCTGTGTGTAAGGCCATTATTCAAGGAAAACAGTTTGAAGGGTTGGTAGACACTGGAGCAGATGTCTCTATCATTGCTTTAAATCAGTGGCCAAAAAATTGGCCTAAACAAAAGGCTGTTACAGGATTTGTCGGCATAGGCACAGCCTCAGAAGTGTATCAAAGTACTGAGATTTTACATTGCTTAGGGCCAGATAATCAAGAAAGTACTGTTCAGCCCATGATTACTTCAATTCCTCTTAATCTGTGGGGTCGAGATTTATTACAACAATGGGGTGTGGAAATCACCATGCCCTCTCCATTATATAGCCCCAGGAGTCAAAAAATCATGACCAAGATGGGATATATACCAGGAAAGGGACTAGGGAAAAATGAAGATGGCATTAAAGTTCCAGTTGAGGCTAAAATAAATCAAGAAAGAGAAGGAATAGGGTATCCTTGTTAGGGGCGGCCACTGTAGAGCCTCCTAAACACATACCATTAACTTGGAAAACAGAAAAACCGGTGTGGGTAAATCAGTGGCCGCTACCAAAACAAAAACTGGAGGCTTTACATTTATTAGCAAATGAACAGTTAGAAAAGG
This sequence comes from Homo sapiens, assembly GCF_000001405.40. Lineage (NCBI taxonomy): Eukaryota > Metazoa > Chordata > Mammalia > Primates > Hominidae > Homo > Homo sapiens. The sequence goes on along the minus strand of NC_000011.10, from coordinate 118,726,123 downwards.
GACATATTGAGCCTTCATTCTCGTCTTGGAATTCTCCTGTGTTTGTAATTCAGAAGAAATCCGGCAAATGGCATATGTTAACTGACTTGAGGGCCGTAAACGCTGTAATTCAACCCATGGGGCCTCTCCAACCTGGGTCACCCTCTCTGGCCATGATCCCAAAAGATTGGCCTTTAATTATAATTGATCAAAAGGATTGCTTTTTTACCATCCCTCTGGTGGAGCAGGATTGCGAAAAATTTGCCTTTACTATACCAGCCATAAATAATAAAGAACCAGCCACCAGGTTTCAGTGGAAAGTGTTACTTCAGGGAATGCTTAATAGTCCAACTATTTGTCAGACTTTTGTAGGTCAAGCTCTTCAACCAGTTAGAGACAAGTTTTCAGACGGCTATATTATTCATTATTTTGATGATATTTTATGTGCTGCAGAAACGAGAGATAAATTAATTGACTGTTATACATTTCTGCAAGCCGAGGTTGCCAATGCAGGACTGGCAATAGCATCTGATAAGATCCAAACCTCTACTCCTTTTCATTATTTAGGGATGCAGATAGAAAAATTAAGCCACAAAAAATAGAAATAAGAAAGACACATTAAAAACACTAAATGATTTTCAAAAATTGCTGGGAGATATTAATTGGATTCGGCCAACTCTAGGCATTCCTACTTATGCCATGTCAAATTTGTTCTCTATCTTAAGAGGAGACTCAGACTTAAATAGTAAAAGAATGTTAACCCCAGAGGCAACAAAAGAAATTAAATTAGTGGAAGAAAAAATTCAGTCAGCGCAAATAAATAGAATAGATCCCTTAGCCCCATTCCAACTTTTGATTTTTGCCACTGCACATTCTCCAACAGGCATCATTGTTCAAAATACTGATCTTGTGGAGTGGTCATTCCTTCCTCACGGTACAGTTAAGACTTTTACATTGTACTTGGATCAAATAGCTACATTAATTGGTCAGACAAGATTATGAATAATAAAATTATGTGGAAATGACCCAGACAAAATAGTTGTCCCTTTAACAAAGGAACAAGTTAGACAAGCCTTTATCAATTCTGGTGCATGGCAGATTGGTCTTGCTAATTTTGTGGGAATTATTGACAATCGTTACCCAAAAACAAAAATCTTCCAGTTCTTAAAATTGACTACTTGGATTCTACCTAAAATTAGCAGACGTGAACCTTTAGAAAATGCTCTAACAGTATTTACTGATGGTTCCAGCAATGGAAAAGTGGCTTACACAGGGCCGAAAGAACGAGTAATCAAAACTCCATATCAATCGGCTCAAAGAGCAGAGTTGGTTGCAGTCATTACAGTGTTACAAGATTTTGACCAACCTATCTATATTATATCAGATTCTGCATATGTAGTACAGGCTACAAGGGATGTTGAGACAGCTCTAATTAAATATAGCATGGATGATCAGTTAAACCAGCTATTCAATTTATTACAACAAACTGTAAGAAAAAGAAATTTCCCATTTTATATTACTCATATTCAAGCACACACTAATTTACCAGGGCCTTTGACTAAAGCAAATGAACAAGCTGACTTACTGGTATCATCTGCATTCATAAAAGCACAAGAACTTCATGCTTTGACTCATGCAAATGCAGCAGGATTAAAAAACAAATTTGATGTCACATGGAAACAGGCAAAAGATATTGTACAACATTGCACCCAGTGTCAGGTCTTACACCTGCCCACTCAAGAGGCAGGAGTTAATCCCAGAGGTCTGTGTCCTAATGCGTTATGGCAAATGGATGTCACGCATGTTCCTTCATTTGGAAGATTATCATATGTTCATGTAACAGTTGATACTTTTCACATTTCATATGGGCAGCTTGCCAAACAGGAGAAAGTACTTCCCATGTTAAAAAACATTTATTGTCTTGTTTTGCTGTCATGGGAGTTCCAGAAAAAATCAAAACTGACAATGGACCAGGATATTGTAGTAAAGCTTTCCAAAAATTCTTAAGTCAGTGGAAAATTTCACATACAACAGGAATTCCTTATAATTCCCAAGGACAGGCCATAGTTGAAAGAACTAATAGAACACTCAAAACTCAATTAGTTAAACAAAAAGAAGGGGGAGACAGTAAGGAGTGTACCACTCCTCAGATGCAACTTAATCTAGCACTCTATACTTTAAATTTTTTTAAACATTTATAGAAATCAGACTACTACTTCTGCAGAACAACATCTTACTGGTAAAAAGAACAGCCCACATGAAGGAAAACTAATTTGGTGGAAAGATAATAAAAATAAGACATGGGAAATAGGGAAGGTGATAACGTGGGGGAGAGGTTTGCTTGTGTTTCACCAGGAGAAAATCAGCTTCCTGTTTGGATACCCACTAGACATTTGAAGTTCTACAATGAACCCATCGGAGATGCAAAGAAAAGGGCCTCCACAGAGATGGTAACACCAGTCACATGGATGGATAATCCTATAGAAGTATATGTTAATGATAGTGTACGGGTACCTGGCCCCACAGACGATCGCTGCCCTATCAAACCTGAGGAAGAAGGGATAATGATAAATATTTCCACTGGGTATCGTTATCCTATTTGCCTAGGGAGAGCACCAGGATGTTTAATACATGCAGTCCAAAATTGGTTGGTAGAAGTACCTACTGTCAGTCCTAACGGTAGATTCACTTATCACATGGTAAGCGGGATGTCACTCAGGCCACGAGTAAATTATTTACAGGACTTTTCTTATCAAAGATCATTAAAATTTAGACCTAAAGGAAAACCTTGCCCCAAGGAAATTCCCAAAGAATCAAAAAATACAGAAGTTTTAGTTTGGGAAGAATGTGTGGCCAATAGTGCGGTGATATTACAAAACAATGAATTCGGAACTATTATAGATTGGGCACCTCGAGGTCAATTCGATCACAATTGCTCAGGACAAACTCAGTTGTGTCCAAGTGCACAAGTGAGTCCAGCTGTTGATAGCGACTTAACAGAAAGTCTAGACAAACATAAGCATAAAAAATTACAGTCTTTGTACCCTTGGGAATGGGGAGAAAAAGGAATCTCTACCCCAAGACCAAAAATAATAAGTCCTGTTTCTGGTCCTGAACATCCAGAATTATGGAGGCTTATTGTGGCCTCACACCACATTAGAATTTGGTCTGGAAATCAAACTTCAGAAACAAGAGATCGTAAGCCATTTTATACTATCGACCTAAATTCCAGTCTAACGGTTCCTTTACAGAGTTGCGTAAAGCCCCCTTATATGCTAGTTGTAGGAAATATAGTTATTAAACCAGACTCCCAAACTATAACCTGTGAAAATTGTAGATTGTTTACTTGCATTGATTCAACTTTTAATTGGCAGCAGCGTATTCTGCTGGTGAGAGCAAGAGAAGGCGTGTGGATCCCTGTGTCCATGGACAGACCGTGGGAGGCCTCGCCATCCATCCATATTTTGACTGAAGTATTAAAAGGCATTTTAAATAGATCCAAAAGATTCATTTTTACTTTAATTGCAGTGATTATGGGATTAATTGCAGTCACAGCTACGGCTGCTGTGGCAGGAGTTGCATTGCACTCTTCTGTTCAGTCGGTAAACTTTGTTAATGATTGGCAAAAGAATTCTGCAAGATTGTGGAATTCACAATCTAGTATTGATCAAAAATTGGCAAATCAAATTAATCATCTTAGACAAACTCATTTGGATAGGAGACAGACTCATGAGCTTAGAACGTCGTTTCCAGTTACAGTGTGACTGCAATACGTCAGACTTTTGTATTACACCCCAAATTTATAATGAGTCTGAGCATCACTGGGACATGGTTAGACACCATCTACAGGGAAGAGAAGATAATCTCACTTTAGACATTTCCAAATTAAAAGAAAAAATTTTTGAAGCATCAAAAGCCCATTTAAATTTGGTGCCAGGAACTGAGGCAATTGCAGGAGTTGCTGATGGCCTCGCAAATCTTAACCCTGTCACTTGGGTTAAGACCATCGGAAGTACTACAATTATAAATCTCATATTAATCCTTGTGTGCCTGTTTTGTCTGTTGTTAGTCTGCAGGTGTACCCAACAGCTCCGAAGAGACAGCGACCATCGAGAATGGGCCATGATGACGATGGCGGTTTTGTCGAAAAGAAAAGGGGGAAATGTGGGGAAAAGCAAGAGAGATCAGATTGTTACTGTGTCTGTATAGAAAGAAGTAGACATAGGAGACTCCATTTTGTTCTGTACTAAGAAAAATTCTTCTGCCTTGAGATGCTGTTAATCTATGACCTTACCCCCAACCCCGTGCTCTCTGAAACATGTGCTGTGTCAAACTCAGGGTTAAATGGATTAAGGGTTGTGCAAGATGTGCTTTGTTAAACAAATGCTTGAAGGCAGCATGCTCTTTAAGAGTCATCACCACTCCCTAATCTCAAGTACCCAGGGACACAAACACTGCGGAAGGCCGCAGGGACCTCTGCCTAGGAAAGCCAGGTATTGTCCAAGGTTTCTCCCCATGTGATAGTCTGAAATATGGCCTCGTGGGAAGGGAAAGACCTGACCGTCCCCCAGCCCGACACCCATAAAGGGTCTGTGTGAGGAGGATTAGTATAAGAGGAAGGCATGCCTCTTGCAGTTGAGACAAGAGGAAGGCGTCTGTCTCCTGCCCGTCCCTGGACAATGGAATGTCTCGGTATAAAACCCGATTGTACGTTCCATCTACTGAGATAGGGAAAAACGCCTTAGGGCTGGAGGTGGGACATGCGGGCAGCAATACTGCTTTGTAAAGCATTGAGATGTTTATGTGTATGCATATCTAAGAGCACAGCACTTAATCCTTTACCTCGTCTATGATGCAAAGACCTTTGTTCACGTGTTTGTCTGCTGACCCTCTCCCCACTATTGTCTTGTGACCCTGACACATCCCCCTCTCGGAGAAACACCCACGAATGATCAATAAATACTAAGGGAACTCAGAGGCTGGCGGGATCCTCCATATGCTGAACGCTGGTTCCCCGGGTCCCCTTATTTCTTTCTCTATACTTTGTCTCTGTGTCTTTTTCTTTTCCAAGTCTCTCGTTCCACCTTACGAGAAACACCCACAGGTGTGGAGGGGCAACCCACCCCTTCAAGCCTCTGCTCCTCCACCCTATAATTCTTTTATCACCTCCCCTCCACACACCCGTCCGGCTTACAGTTTCATTCCGTGACTAGCCCTCCCCCACCTGCCCAGCAATTTACTCTTAAAAAGGTGGCTGGAGCTAAAGGCATAGTCAAGGTTAATGCTCCTTTTTCTTTATCCCAAATCAGATAGCGTTTAGGCTCTTTTTCATCAAATATAAAAAACCCAGCCCAGTTCATGGCTCGTTCGGCAGCAACCCTGAGATGCTTTACAGCCCTAGACCTAAAAGGTCAAAAGGCTGTATTATTCTCAATATACATTTTATTACTCAATCTGCTCCCGACATTAAATAAAACTCCAAAAATTAAATTCCAGCCCTCAAACCCCACAACAGGATTTAATTAACCTCACCTTCAAGGTGTACAATAATAGAAAAAAGTCGCAATTCCTTGCCTTTACTGTGAGACAAACCCCAGCCACATCTCCAGCCCACAAGAACTTCCAAACGCCTAAACCGCAGTGGCCAGGCGTTCCTCCAGAACCTCCTCCCCCAGGAACTTGCTACAAGTGCCAGAAATCTGACCACCAGGCCGAGGAATGCCTGCAGCCCAGGATTCCTCCTAAGCCGTGTCCCATCTGCGCGGGACCCCACTGGAAATCGGACTGTTCAACTCACCTGGCAGCCACTCCCAGAACCCCTGGAATTCTGGCCCAAGGCTCTCTGACTGACTCCTTCTCGGCTTAGCAGCTGAAGACTGATGCTGCCTGATCGCCTTGGAAGCCCCGTAGACCATCGCGGATGCCGAGCTTTAAGTAATCTCACAGTGGAGGGTAAGTCCTTCCCCTTCTTAGTCAATACGGAGGCTACCCACTCCACATTACCTACTTTTCAAAGGCCTGTTTCCCTTGCCTCCATAACTGCTGTGCGTATTGACAGCCAGACTTCTAAACCTCTTAAAACTCCCCAACCCTGCTGCCAATTTAGACAATACTCTTTTGAGCACTCCTTTTAGTTATCCCCACCTGCCCAGTTCCCTTATTAGGCTGAGACACTTTAACTAAATGATCTGCTTCCCTGACTATTCCTGGATTACAGCTGCATCTTATTGCTGCCCTTCTTCCCAATCCAAAGCCTCCTTTGCGTCCTCCTCTTGTATTCCCCCACCTTAACCCACAAGTATAAGATACCTCTACTCCCTCCTTGGTGACCAATCATGCACCCCTTACCATCTCATTAAAACCTAATCACCCTCACACGGCTCAATGCCAATATCCCATCCCACAGCATGCTTTGAAAGGATTAAAGCCTGTTATCACTCGCCTGCTACAGCATGGCCTTCTAAAGCCTATAAACTCTCCTTACAATTCCCCCATTTTACCTGTCCTAAAACCAGACAAGCCTTACAAGTTAGTTCAGGATCTATGCCTTATCAACCAAATTGTTTTGCCTATCCACCCCATGGTGCTAAACCCATATACTCTCCTATCCTCAATACCTCTCTCCACAATCCATTACTCTGTACTGGATCTCAAACGTGCTTTCTTTACTATTCCTTTGCACCCGTCATCCCAGCCTCTCTTCGCTTCACTTGGACTGACTCTGACACCCATCAGGCTCAGCAAATTACCTGGGCTGTACTGCCACAAGGCTTCACAGACAGCCCCCATTACTTCAGTCAAGCCCAAATTTCATCCTCATCTGTTACCTATCTCGGCATAATTCTCATAAAAACACACGTGCTCTCCCTGTTAATCATGTCTGATTAATCTCCCAAACCTCAATCCCTTACAAAACAACAACTCCTTTCCTTCCTAGGCATGGTTAGTGCGGTCAGAATTCTTACACAAGAGCCAGGACCGCACCCTGTAGCCTTTCTGTGCAAACAACTTGACCTTACTGTTTTAGCCTAGCCCTCATGTCTCCGTGCAGCGGCTGCTGCCGCCCTAATACTTTTAGAGGCCCTCAAAATCACAAACTATGCTCAACTTACTCTCTACATTTCTCATAACTTCCAAAATCTATTTTCTTCCTCATACCTGACGCATATACTTTCTGCTCCCTGGCTCCTTCAGCTGTACTCACTCGTTGTTAAGTCCCACAATTACCATTGTTCCTGGCCCGGACTTCAATCCGGCCTCCCACATTATTCCTGATACCACACCTGACCCCCATGACTGTATCTCTCTGATCCACCTGACATTCACCCAATTTCCCCATATTTCCTTCTTTCCTGTTCCTCACCCTGATCACGCTTGATTTATTGATGGTGGTTTCCACCAGGCCTAATCGCCACACACCAGCAAAGGCAGGTTATGCTATAGTACAAGCCACTAGCCGGCCTCTTAGAACCTCCCATTTCCTTTCCATCGTGGAAATCTATCCTCAAGGAAATAACTTCTCAGTGTTCCATCTGCTATTCTACTATCCCTCAGGGATTATTCAGGCCCCCTCCCTTCCCTACACATCAAGCTCGAGGATTTGCCCCCACCCAGGACTGGCAAATTAGCTTTACTCAACATGCCCCGAGTCAGATAACTAAAATACCTCTTAGTCTAGGTAGACACTTTCACTGAATAGGTACAGACCTTTCCTACAGGGTCTGAGAAGGCCACCGCAGTCATTTCTTCCCTTCTGTCAGACATAATTCCTCAGTTTAGTCTTCCCACCTCTATACAGTCTGTTAACAGACCAGCCTTTATTAGTCAAATCAGCCAAGCAGGTTTTCAGGCTCTTAGTATTCAGTGAAACCTTTATATCCCTTACTGTCCTGTGTCTTCAGGAAAAGTAGAACGGACTAAAGGTCTTTTAAAAACACACCTCACCAAGCTCAGCCACCAACTTAAAAAGGACTGGACAATACTTTTACCACTTTCCCTTCTCAGAAGTCAGACATGTCCTCAGAATGCTACAAGGTACAGCCCATTTGAGCTCCTGTATAGATGCTCCTTTTTATTAGGCCCCAGTCTCATTCCAGACATCAGACCAACTTCCACCGTGCCCCCAAAAAAACTTGTCATCCCTACTATCTTCTGTCTAGTCATACTCCTATTCACCGTTCTCAACTACTCATACATGCTCTGCTCTTGTTTACACTGCCGGTTTACACTGTTTCTCTAAGCCATCACAGCTGATATCTCCTGGTGCTATCCCCAAACTGCCACTCTTACCTCTTGAAGTAAATAAATAATCTTTGCTGGCAGGACTATGCTGAATCTCCTTAGGCACTCTCTAATCAGATGTCCTGAGTCGTCCCAATTCTTAGACCTTTTATACCTGTTTTTCTCCTTCTCTTATTCCATTTAGTTTTTCAATTCATACAAAACTGTATCCAGGCCATCACCAATAATTCTAAATGACAAATGTTTCTTCTAACAACCCCACAATATCACCCCTTACCACAAAATCTTCCTTCAGCTTAATCTCTCCCACTCTAGGTTCCCACGCCACCCCTAATCCCGCTCGAAGCAGCCCTGAGAAACATCCCCCATTATCTCTCCATACCATCCCCCAAAATTTTCGCCATCCCAACACTTTACCACTATTTCATTTTATTTTTCTTATTAATATAAGAAGACAGGAATGTCAGCCCTCTGGGCCCAAGCTAAGCCATCATATCCCCTGTGACCTGCACGTACACATCCAGATGGCTGGTTGCTGCCTTAACTGATGACAATCCACCACAAAAGAAGTGAAAATGGCCCGTTCCTGCCTTAACTGATGACATTGTCTTGTGAAATTCCTTCTCCTGGCTCATCCTGGCTCAAAAGCTCCCCCACTGAGCACCTTGTGACCCCCACTCCTGCCTGCCAGAGAACAACCCCCTTTGACTGTAATTTTCCTTTATCTACCCAAATCTTATAAAATGGCCCCACCCCTATCTCTCTTCACTGACTCTCTTTTTGGACTCAGCCTGCCTGCACCCAAGTGATTAAAAGCTTTATTGCTCACACAAAGCCTGTTTGGTGGTCTCTTTACACGGACGTGCATGAAAGTGGCCGGGCACAGTGGCTCAGGCCTGTAATCCCAGCACTTTGGGAGGCCGAGGCAGCTGGATCACAAAGTCAGGAGTTTGAGACTAGCCTGACCAACATGGTGAAACCCTGTCTCTACTAAAAATACAAAAATTAGCCGAGTGTGGTGGCATGCACCTGTAATCCCAGCTACTCAGGAAGCTGAGGCAGGAGAATCGCTTGAACCTGGGAGGCGGAGGTTGCAGTGAGCCAAGATCACGCTATTGCACTCCAGCCTGGGTGACAGAGAGAGACGCCATCTCAAAAAATAAAAATAAAAAGTAAAGGGGAAAAAGCAGGCAGGAGGGGAAAGGGAACATTAAAAAAAAAAAAAAGAGGGAGGATATGGTCACTTTGTTTTGCGGCTTTGTTTAAGCTCACTGAATCCACATGTTGCACAGGAAAAAAAGGGAGTAGAAGGCCGGGCACGGTGGCTCACGCCTGTAATCCCAGCACTTTGGGAGGCCGAGGTGGGAGGATCACCTGAGGTCAGGAGTTTGAGACCAGCCTGGCCAACAAGGCGAAACCCCATCTCTAATAAAAATACAAAAATTAGCCAGGCGTGGTGATGCACGCCTGTAATCCCAGCTACTGGGGAGGCTGAGGCAGGAGAATCGCTTGAACCCGGGAGGCAGAAGTTGCAGTGAGCCAAGATCACACCACTGCACTCCAGCCTGGGTGACAGAACAAGACTCCGTCTCAAAAAAAGAAAAAAAAAAAAGGGGGTGGGGGCGGGGGGTAAAAGGAACAGTCAATTCTGTATTCATCTCACATGGTAAATTGGCACTTTACATAAGACAAAATAAACAGAGTACAGGAAACAGTCAAATATGCATTTATCTTGGAGTGGGTGGGGACGATGATTTCTAGTCTCCTCTTGTCCCTTACCTACCCTCATCCCCCGCCTGCAAAGATAAGCTGTTAATTTACATTGTCAGGGTGAAGGAGGCCACCTGTGGCCTTCCATCTGCAGCTATCAGTTTAGAAACAAAAGGAAAGGCACTTGTTCCCGCCCCCTCCCGTGACTCAGCTTCCACACTTAACTTTTCCTTTTTGGCATAGTGAATTTGGGCTCCCAAGATTTTATTCTTCCTTTCACACTTTCTGGCTTATCAAGTTGCTCATTTACTTCTCAAGGTCAGCTAGGTGCCTGGAATTTCCCTTGAAGGAAGGAACTCAAGGTTTTTGTTTTATTTCCATGCTGGGGTGGTCGGGGGAGCAGCCACAGGCCTCTAAGGAGGAATCCTGCTCTGTCTCAATCACAGGGTCTCTGCTAAGAGAATGCAGCCTTCTAACATGCTGCTAGACACAGGCAGGATGAAACACTCCAGTCTGGTGGAACAAAACCTAAATCAAGCTTGTCCAACCCACAGCCCACAGAGTGCATGTGTCCCGAGACAGCCTTGAATGCGGCCCAATGCAAATTCTCAAACTTTCTTAAAACATCATGAGATTTTTTTGTGATTTTTTTTTTTTTTTTAGCTCATCAGCTATCGTTAGTGTATTTTATGTGCAGCCCAAGGCAATTCTTCTTCCAGAGCAGCCCAGGGAAGCCAAAAGATGGGGCAACCCTGAAAATCAAGTCACTGCAGTGTGGTTTCACAACCTTTTACACAGGCCTCAGAGCTAAGCTAGTGCAGGGATCCAGGGCCTGTGGCCTGAGACAGGCCAGGCCCCTTTGGGAAGGACCCTGCAATGTGCCACAGGTAACCTGTGACTCTTCCCCACGCCCTCACCCTCCCACCCCATATGCACAGAGGGATCTGCAGCCATTCCCCAGGGTAACGGGGGCAGTCACTGTGTGCAGGGGCAGATGTGGGTTTGGGGGCTGTAAATAAAAAATAAAATTCTAAGGCCCCCCTAATCATCTGAATGGACCCCTCCTCTTGGCCAAAGACATTCCAAAGTTAACCTGAAAAACTAGTTCAGGCCATGATAGAAAAGGAGGTTGGACATGCCTCATTATCCCTCCAGCATCAACATCAACACAAACCTTACCTCTGATAAGAAACATTTACAATCTATTCTCTCTGAAGCCTGCTACATGGAGGCTTCATTTACATGATAAAACCTTGATCTCCACATCCACTTATCATAACCCAGACATTCCTTTTTTACTGATAACTGTTTTTTTTTTTTTTTTTTTTTTTTTTTTTGGAGACAGAGTTTTGCTGTTGTTGCCCAGGCTGGAGTGCAATGGTGTGATCTCGGCTCACCACAACCTCTGCCTCCTGGGTTCAAGCGATTCTTCTGCCTCAGCCTCCTGAGTAGCTGGGATTACAGGCATGTGTCACCATGCCCGGCTAATTTTGTATTTTTAGTAGAGACAGGGTTTCTCCATGTTGGTCAGGCTGGTCTTGGACTCCTGACCTCAGGTGATCCGCCCACTTCAGCTGTATTCTGACCACCCTGGGCACATGTCATCAGGGCCTCCTGAGACTGTGCCATGGGCCCTGCTTAACCTTTGCAAAATAAACTTTTTTTTTTTTTTCAGACGAAGTCTTGCTCTGTCACCAGGCTGGAGTGCAGTGGTGTGATCTCAGCTCACTGCAACCTCTGCCTCCTGGGTTCAAGCAATTCTCCTGCCTCAGCCTCCTGAGAAGCTGGGACTACAGGCACGCACCACCACGCCCAGTTTATTTTTTGTATTTTTAGTAGAGACGAGGTTTCACCATGTTGGCCAGGATGGTCTCAATCTCTTGACCTTGTAATCTGCCCACCTCGGCCTCCCAAAGTGCTGGGATTACAGGCGTGAGCCACCACGCCCAGCAGCAAAATAAACTTTCAAAATCGATTGAGACCTGTCTCAGATACTTTTGGGTTCACAAGGCCCTGAGACTAATACAATTTGAGGTACCATTTTTTAATAAAATAACCCAAAATGACAAATAAACAGTTGTAAATAAAGCAAATACTATTTATTTATTTTCTCTTTTTTAGAGAGATGAGGTCTTGCTCTGTCGCCCAGGCTAGAGTGCAATGGTGCAGTCATAGCTCACTGCAGCCTCAACCTGCTGGGCTCAAGTGGTCCTCCCGCCTCAGCCTCCTGAGTAGCTGGGATTACCAGTGTGCAACACCATGGTTGGCCAATTAAAAAATTTTTTTTTATAGAGACAGTGTCTCACTATGTTGTCCAGGCTTTTCTCAAACTCCTGGGCTCAAGTGATCCTCCTGCTTCGGCTTCCTAAGATGTCAGAGGCGTTTGAACTTTAGATTCCATTTGAGGTTTTTTTGTTGTTTTTTTGTTCTTGAGATGGAGTCTCACTCTGTTGCCCAGGCTGGAGTCCAGTGGTGTGATCTTGGCTCACTGCAACCTCTGCCTCCTGGGTTCCAGCAATTCTCCTGCCTCAGCTTCCTGAGTAGCTGGGAATACAGGTGTGCACCACCATGTCTGGCTAATTTTTGTATTTCTTAGTAGAGACGGGGTTTCACCATATTGGCCAGGCTGGTCTCAAACTCCTTACCTTGTGATCCGCCTGCCTCAGCCTCCCAAAGTGCTGGGATTACAGGTGTGAGCCAGCACGCCTGGCCTAGACTCCATTTTGAATAGGGGCTGGGTAAAATGAAACCTACTGGGCTTCATTCTCAGGAGGTTCAGTCATTCCTTTTTTTTTGAGACAGAGTCTTGCTCTTGTTGCCCAGGCTGGAGTGCAGTGGCACGATCTCGGCTCACTGCACCTCCACCTCCCGGGTTCAAGTGAGTCTCCTGCCTCAGCCTCCTGAGTAGCTGGGATTACAGATGCCTGCCACTATGCCTGGCTAATTTTTGTATTTTTAGTAGAGACAGAATTTCACCATGTTGGCCAGGCTGGTCTTGAACTCCTGACCTCGTGATCCGCCTACCTCGGCCTCCCAAAGTGCTGGGATTACAGGCGTGAGCCACCGCGTCCAGCCCCAGGCATTCTTAGTTACAGGATAAAACAGGAGGTCAGACAAGATACAGGTCACAAAGACCTTGCTAATAAAACAGTTTCAGTAAAGAAGCCAACCAAAACCCACCAAAACCAAACGGCGATGGAAGTGACCTTTGGTCATCCTCATGCTCATTATATGCTAATTATATGTATGTATGTATTAGCATATATACACTCCCACCAACACCATGGCAGTTTACAAATGCCGTAGCAACGTGAGGAAGTTACCCTATATGGTTTAAAAAGAGGGAGGAACCCTCAGTTCCGGGAATTGCCCACCCCTTTCCCCGAAAACTCATGAATAATCTATTCCTTGTCTAGCATATAATCAAGAAGTAATAAGTTCATGCTGCTTGCTGCTCTGCCTATGGAATAGCCATTTTTTATTCCTTTACTTTCTTAATAAACTTGCTCTCACTTTACTCTATGGATTTGCCTCAAATTCTTTCTTGCTCGTGATCCAAGGACCCTCTCTTTGGATCTGGTTTGGGACCCCTTTCTGGTAACAGGATCACTTGAGCCTGGGAGTTGGAGGCTGCAGTGAGCCGAGATCACACCACTACATTCCAGCCAGGGCAACAGAGAGACCCCGTCTCAAAAAAAAAAAAAAAAAAAAAAAAAAATGCTGGGCGCAGTGGCTCACTTTGGGTGGCTGAGGCAGGAAGATTGCTCAGGAGTTGGAGACCAGCCTGGGCAACATTGTGAAACCCTGTCTCTATAAAAATTAGCTGGGTGTGGTGGTGCACACCTGCTGGGGAGGCTGAGGTGGGAGGATCCCTTGAGCCCCCTAGGGAGGTCTAGGCTGCAGTGAGGTGTAATCGCGCCATTGCACTCCAGCCTGGGTGACAGAGTGAGACCTTGTTTCAAAAAAATTTTTTTTATTAAAAAAAATTGTTGTTTTAAAGTTATAGTCTAGAAAAGTTTCAGCTTCTAACACATTATTGGAAAAGTGCAATTTTAGAGTTGTTGTCAATGTTGGGGAAATCTTGATCAGGTTTCTTTCATATATGAGCTGTAAGATTTGTTTTTTGTTGTTGTTGCTGTTTTAATTTTTAAATTTATTTATTTATTTAATTGGAGATGGAGTTTTGCTCTTGTTGCCCAGGCTGGAGTGTAACAGCACAATCTCGACTCACAGCAACCTCTGCCTCCCGGGTTCAAGCAATTCTCCTGCCTCAGCCTCCCGAGTAGCTGGGATTACAGGCGTGTGCCACCATGCCTGGCTAATTTTGTATTGTTAGTAGAGACAGGGTTTCTCCATGCTGGTTAGGCTGGTCTCAAACTCCCGACCTCAGGTGATCCACCTGCCTTGGCTTCCCAAAGTGCTGGGATTACAGGCATGAGCCACCACCCCCAGCTTTAAATTTTTTCTTAATATAGAGACAGGGTCTTGCCATGTTGCTCAGGCTGGTCTTGAACCCTGGGCTCAAGTGATCCTCCCGTCTCAGCCTCCCAAAGTGCTGCGATTACAGGTGTGAACCCCATAATATTTGGAAGCATCTTCTATAGTTTAACTTATGGCTCCATACGTTTCAAAGCTTGGTTCCCTTCCATTACCTGTATTTTCAGTGCCAGGGACTGTAAGCCAGGTTCATATTTGAAGACTACTTATAACCTGCATTCATGTTGCAGTACTGGATGATAGGCACAGTAGGTGTGCCTACTGTGTAGAGTATTTTTGGAAGCCATTTCTATACCAGAATTGTTACCAATTACTTAACTACACACAGCAGTGACTGTGAACTTCATACAAATATCTACATAAACATATCTCCGCCGGGCGCAGTGGCTCAAACCTGTAATCCTAGCACTTTGGGAGGCCGAGGCGGGCGAATTGCCTGAGGTCAGGAGTTTGAGACCAGCCTAGGCAACACAGAGAAACCCCGTCTCTACTAAAATACAAAAAATGTACCACATGAGAGACTGAGGCAGGAGAGTTGCTTGAACCTGGGAGGCAGAGGTTGCAGTGAGCCGAGATCGCACCACTGCACTCCAGCCTGGGCGACTCCATCTCCAAACAAACAAACAAACAAACAAAACTCAATAAACCCAAACAGATGTATCTCCACCTCAATTTTCCTTTAGATGGTCCCCCAAAATAACTACAACCATTCTAGTGCCTTAAGGAAAGATGAGAGAGAAGGTAATAGAGAGTGGAAAGAGGCAGGGATTGCCATTAATATGCCTCAATCTTGTGCAATTTATTTTGTGTAACATTATATTTCAATAAAGTCCAACTAGCCCAGCATGGTAGTTCATGCCTATGATCCCAGCAACTTGGGAGGCTGAGGCAGAAGGATCACTTGAGGCCAGGAGTTGGAGACCAGCCTGAGCAACATAGTGAGACTGTTGCTAAAAAAAATTTTTTTTAATTAGCAGGATATGGTGGTATGGACCTGTTGCCCCAGCTACTCAGGAGGCCGAGATGAAACAATCACCTGACCCCAGGAAGTCGGGGCTGCAGTGAACTAGGATCATGCCACTGCACTCTAGCCTGGGCAACAAGGTGAGACACCATCTCTAAAAATAATAATAAAAAAATAAAGTCTGGTCAGGTGCTGTGGCTCACGCCTATAATCCCAGCACTTTGGGAGGCCGAGACAGGTGGATCACGTGAGGCCAGGAGTTTGAGACCAACCTAGCCAACACGGGGAAACCCTGCCTCTACCAAAAAATACAAAAAAATTAGCCTGGTGTGGTGGTGTGCATCTGTAGTCCCAGCTACTCGGGAGGCTGAGGCGGAAGAATTGCTTGAACTGGGAGGTGGAGGTTGCAGTGAGCCGAGATCACACCACTGCACTCTAGCCTGGACGACAGAGTGAGATCCTGTCTCAAAAATAAAGTCGGGGGGCTGGGTTCAGTGGTTCATACCTGTAATCCCAGCATTTTGGGAGGCTGAGGTGGGCAGATCACTTGAGGTCAGGAGTTTGAGAGAGACTGGCCAACAACAGTGAAACCCCATCTCTACTAAAAAAGTACAAAAGGCCGGGTGCCATGGCTCACGCCTGTAATCCCAGCACTTTGGGAGGCTGAGGCAGGTGGATCACGAGGTCAGGAGTTCAAGACCAGCCTGACCAACATGGAGAAACCCCGTCTCTACTAAAAATACAAAATTAGCCGGGTATGGTGGCACATGCCTGTAATCCCAGCTACTCGGGAGGCTGAGGCAGGAGGATCGCTTGAACCAAGGAGGCGGAGGTTGCAATGAGCCAAGATAGTGCCATTACACTACCAGCTTGGGCAACAAGAGTGAAACTCCGTCTCAAAAAAAAAAAAGTACAAAAATTAGCCAGGCTTGGTGGTGTGCCCCTGCAGTCCCAGCTACTCGGGAGGCTGAGAGGTGAGAATCTCTTGAACCCAGGAGGCAGTGCTGCCATTGCACTCCAGCCTGAGCGACATAGCAAGACTCTGTCTCCAAAAAATCAATAAATAATAAAAAATAAAGTCCAGGTGGGGCACGGTGGTTCATGCCTGTTATCCCATCACTTTGGGAGGCCGAGGTGGGCGGATCACCTGAGGTCAGGAGTTCAAGACCAGCCTGACCAACATGGAGAAACCTCATCTCTACTAAAAATACAAAATTAGCCGGGCATGGTGGCACATGCCTCTAATTTCAGCTACTCGGGAGGCTGAGGCAGGAGAATCCCTCGAACCTGGGAGGCAGAGGTTGTGGCAAGCCAAGATCGTGCCACTGCACTCCAGCCTGGGCAACAAGAGCAAAACTCCATCTCGAAAAATGAAAAATATTAAAAAAAAAATAAAGCCCAACTAAAAAATTTTTTATGTTTGCAAATTTTATAAATGCATATGATCATGTTAACACCAGGGCTTTAGTAAGTGAGCAGTCTTGAAGCATAAGCATCATTAGCTTTATGGTAAATATGCCTCTGATCCTGGGGAAATAGGAATATCCACACCTTCCAGGGGTTATTCAATCTTGCTCTGAGCTTGACTGATCCTCAGAGACCTAAACTACCCACAAGGTTCCAGTCAGAGTAGGGACATGTGGAGGTCAGGCAATTGGATGGAGTCTTGGCTATAGGATGTCTACCATTGGGACTGGAGACACATCTTGTACATTAAACCAGTGGCCAATATATGGTTCCATCTTCCCCACAGGTGAGATGTGTGGGTCCAGGAAGCAAGGCCTGGAGAGGAGAATTATGCTTTTCACTATTATTCCTAATAACCCACTAAAAAAGTTTGCTTCCCATTGTAAGAGTTAAAGAAAGAGGGAAGAAACACGAACTGTGGCTCAATTTAACGACAGATGTATTTTAGAGAAAATAAGCCGGAGAGGGGCTTCTGGCCAATTTTGTTCAGGAGCACTTTCTCTTACGGACTAAGAGTATATATTGGTTTTAGGATGAGGGGGCTTATTACAAGCTCAGAATGTTTCTGTGTGGGGGAGAAGTTTATGGCAGGGTTGGGATGTCTCTGGTCGGAGGGGAGGTTATCTTGGGTCTGACATCTTTCTGGCCGGAGGGGAGGTTATCTCAGGGCTGGCATGTCTCATGGAGGGGTTTGGAATGTTCCTGGTCAGAGATGTTATTTATGGTTTATGGTCATGCTGACCTTAGCCATCAGGCTGATATCCTTTGGGTTTAGGCAGTTTTTGATCAAGGGGAACTTCAGAATGACCGTGCTTGTCCAAGATGGCGATGCTTTGGCTCTGTCACCCATCATCCCACAACATTGACGCTGGAGGTCCTGGGGCCTAGAAAAGAAATGCTGTTAGAGGAAACAGTCATGCTTCTGATGAATCGGAAGTTGAAGCTACTCCCTGCTCATTTGGGGCTCTGCATGCCATAGACCAAGAAGCAAAGAGAGGGGTTATGGTAGTAGGTAGAGGATGGACCCTGATCACAGGATGAAACTGGATTGCTGCTGTTGAAAAGGGGCGAGGAAGACAGTGTCTGAAATCAGAGACATCACTGGAGCACTCCTAGTCCAACAGTCCTAGTCAATGGAAAACTGTGGCCACCCCCAAATACAATGCAACTGTCTTAGTCTGTTTTCCATTGCTATAACAAAACACCTGTCTTAGTCCAACTGGGTAAATTACAAAGGAAAGGGGCTTACTTAGCCCACGCTTCTGGAGGCTGAGAAGTCCAAAATGGATGGCCACATTTGGTGAGGGCCTTGTGCTGCTTCTAGCATGGGAGAAAATAGGAAGCAGAAGAGGGCACGCGGCCAGAGGCAGCCTTGCTTTGTAACAACTGGCAACTGCAGTAATCAATCGAGTCCCACAAGAAGAACTCACGCACTCCTGCGCTAATCCCTTCGTGAAGCTGGATCCCTCATGACTCAAACACCCCTTAAATGTCCCGCCACCTCTCAACATCATTACAGTGGGGACCAAGCCTCAAGATGAGTTTCGGTGGGGACAAACAATGTTCAAACGATCGCAGCGGCCGAGGACTCAGACCCTGCAGGAATGAAGATTTGGGTCACCTCGCCAAGTAGAGAACCCTGTCCAAAAAGGTGCCAGCAGAGGTAAGGTGAGCACAGAATGGAAGTTATGATTACCTGCTTAGGTTTTGGGGACAGCTAAGGAGGTGGGGACTGTAGCAGCTACATTTCATGAATTTGGGGCTTTTTTTCTTCCCCATCTCAATCCATTCTCCATCTTAATCCATCTGGGTTACTGTAACAGAATACTATAGACTGGGTGTAGCATAAATCACAGAAATTTATTTCCCACCGTTCTGGAGGCTGAGAAGCCTCAGATCGAGGGGATCGAGGAGCCAGCGGATTTGGCGTCTGGTGAAGGCTTGCTTCATGGCTCATAACCAGCATCTTCTTCATGTGGCCTCACATGTCAGAAGGCACAAAGGATTCCTCTAGGGCCTCTTTTATAAGAACCTGATCCCACTCATGAGGACCGCATCCTCGTACCCTAATCACCTCCCAAAGGCCCCATCTCACACCATCCCCTTGAGGGTCAGCATTTCAACACAGGAATTGCGAGGAGACGTAAACATTCACTCTGTTGGGTTGGGCACCATGGCTTACGCCTGTAATCCCAACACTTTGAGATCAGCAGTTCAAGACTAGTCTGGCCAACATGGCAAAACATTGTCTCTGCTAAAAATACAAACATTAGCCGGGTGTGCACTTGCAACCTCAGATACTTGGGAGGCTGAGGCAGGAGTCACTTGAGACTGGGAGGCAGCAGTTGCAGTGAGCAGAGATCATGCCAGTGCACTCCAGCCTAGGGGACAAAGCAAGAAACATCTTAAAAAAAAAATTCACTCCGTTGCACCCCGTTTTACTCATTACCTTAACTGAGGAACACCGGCGATTTCAGCTGAGAGTATGACCAGCTGACATCAGTCCACAATGATATGGTAGCTATTACGACTTATAGATCCCCTGTGTTAGGCGAACAAGCTCTTCACCTGGACAAAAGTCTAGAGCGGGTGCTGAGAGGCCAAAGGGCTGGGCTGGGCTATTTACCTTTTGTTTGCCCCTCCGTATGCACCCCCTCACCATCTCCACCCTGCCCTCTGAGGCTGACCAGTGTGGTCCACATCCACCAACTCCCGTGGCAGGTGGCCAGAGGGAGACAGGAGAGGGAGGTCAGGGTGTTTATTTCCCTGGCTGGCTGTATCCCTCAAGGGACAATGACATCTTCTCTTCCTGGGGCCTCGCAGCACCGCTCTCTCCCTGTGGGTGCCAGGGACTGTTCTCCCCTTCATCCCTTCAAGCTTCGTGAGGGCACCGCCTGGCTGCTGCTAAACTCTGGATTACTGCGCCATCCTTTGTGGTTCCCCGACACCCACATCTTTGCAAATAAACTCTCCTCCAGTGATCCTATTTTGAATATGCCATCTGTTTCCTGGTGGGAGACCAACTAATACAGTGGGTTTTATGCCAAAATGACTCTGCTAACAGTTTCATATTTGAACTGCAACTTGTGGTGTCCTGGCTTTTCCCTCTTAAAATCGGAGCTGTTTTGAGGAGAGCCTGGGAGTGCCTGCCCGTCACCCTGGCAAAAGGGCGAAGGAACACAATGTAATCATCTAACATGGTGCCTGGGGCAAACAGACTCAACTGCTGGAAGATTCTTTCCAGTTCCCCATTTCCCTGTTATCCCATTAAGGGCCCCAGGCTCCGTACTGCAAACGAGGCTGCTGGAGGGAGTCAGCATCCTTTGTGTGCCTATAATGCAAGTTCGTGATTTGAAGCAGGGAGGGGTTAGAGTCATCTTAGCAAAAAAAAAAAAAAAAAAAAAAAAAAAAGAGAGAGAGAGAGAGAAGCTATATTATTGAAGGCCTGCTCAATTCTTAAATGTTAATACACTTGCAAATGCAAAAGGAAAGAAGAAAAGACATCTAATTTTATAAGTTTGGAAACAAACAAAACCAGACTCCAAGCAGGACAAACCCAGTCCACTGGCAAGCAGGCGTAGACTGAACGCGAAGTTAATGAAGCTGAAGTCCCAGGCACCGCACTTGCATGAGGCCCTTCAAACACCCTCATCCTAATTTTGTATTCATAATTTGATTCTTTTTCTTAAAGAGGCCTCCCCAAATTATTTAAGCTTCAGGTCCCACAAAACCAAGCTCCGCCCTCTGGCAAGTGATTATTTTGCCTCCTCTCCAGTACACAATGAGATTCTGTTTGGGACACTTCAGTGACCTTTTTGTCTGCCCGCTTACCCCATCAGAATTTACATACATTCTGGGTTCATACAAACAAAATAACGGCTCAGAGGAGACGTGAGCTGTGCTCCGTGACAGTGGCAAGGCTGCAGCCTTGGCCACAATGAGAGCTCTCGCTCTCTGGGCTTCACCCATAATAAGGACACGTGAATGGGTGGGATGACAGACAGGAAACACTTCCCCAGCTTCCACCGGGGCAGGGCATGCAACCACAGCAACCACAGGGCATGGGGCGATTATTTGACTTCCAAGTCCAAATTAGAACATCACAACCAGCTGGGCGTGGTGGCTCAACGCCTGTAATTCCAGCACTTTGGGAGGCCAAGGCGGGTGGATCACCTGAGGTCAGGAGTTCGAGACCAGCCTGGCAAACATGGTGAAACCTCGTCTCTACTAAAGATACAAAAATTAGCCAGGCATGGTGGCGGGCACCTGTCCCAGCTACTCAGGAGGCTGAGGCAGGAGAATCGCTTGAACCTGGGAGGCAGAGGTTGTGGTGAGCCAAGATTGTGCCACTGCACTCCCAGCCTGGGTGACAGAGACTCTGTCTCAAAAACAAAAACAAAAAAATCACAACCACCATTAACCACTACCTCGAAACTCTGTGGCTTCACATCGTGGAGTGGGAGTTGTCCTCAGCTCCTCATGCCAGGGGTAAAGATTCTTCATTATTCAAAAAAGGTGCCATCTGATTTGCTTCAGAAGTCTAACATTTTGTGAACCCTTTGACACTGCCGTTCCAGGTTCAGGAGTCTGTTGTAAGGAAATAATACTACAGTGCATAAAGACATGAGTACTCAGGCGTTCATTCTCCCCAGCGCTGTCTGTAAGAAAAAAAGGAATAAACTAAAATGTTTATGTTTATTCAGTGCTTAGTGATAAATAATTAAATAAATGTTGACACATCCACATAGTAGAATGCTGTGAGGCCATTAACATTAGAAGGTGGTAGAAAACATAATAACAGCCGTGCACGGTGGCTCGTGCCTGTAAATCCCAGCACTTTGGGAGGCCTAGGCGGGCAGTATCACCTGCAGGTCAGGAGTTCAAGACCAGCCTGGCCAACGTGGCGAAACCCCATCTCTATTAAAAATACAAAAATTAGCCAGGTGTGGTGGTACATGCCTGTAGTCCCAGCTACTCAGGAGGCTGAGGCAGGAGAATCACTTGAACCTGGGAGGCAGAGGTTGCAGTGAGCCAGGATGGGGCCACGGCACTCCAGCCTGGGCCAGCAAAGTGAGACTCCATCTGAAAAAAAAAAAAAAAAAAAAAAACCAAGAAAAGAAAAGATACTGACATGGAAAGGTAAACATGGTATGAATAGACCCAGGGATGGGCCCTGTGGTCCCACTCCCTGGTGTTCACACCCTGTGTAACCTCCTCCCCTGGAGCGCCGGTAGGACCTGCAACTTACTTCCAGCTAATAGACTGTGAAAAAGGTGAGGGGGTTTTGCAGACATAATTAGGGTCCTAAGTCAGTTGATTTTGAAGTCAAGGGGGCATTTTCATGGGTGGGCCTGACTAAATCAGGTGGAAGTCTTTGAAAGAGTGTCTGGGCCCTCTCAGAGGGTCAGAGACTCTCCGTCTATTACTGGCTTTGAAGAAGTAAGCTTCTCTGTGGTGACAGGGCCACTCAACAAGGAACTACTGTAGTCTCTAGTTGCTAAGGGCCATCCCTGGCTGACAGCCAACAAGAAAACATGAACCCCAGTTCTAGTCTTACAACCATAAGGAGAAGAATTCTGCCAACAGTCTGAGGGAGCTTGGGGGCCAATATTAAGCCTTAGATGAGACCAGCTGAGCCTCAGATGAGACCATAGCCCCAGCCAGCACCCGGACAGCAGCCTGGTAAAGCTCTGAAGCGGAGAACCTAGGTGAGCTGGGCCCAAATTTCTGCCCTCAGAAAAAGATGTGTGTTGTTTTAAGTTCCTTATCATGTGAAAAACAAAGAGCAGGTTATGAAATAATGTGTAGCAAAATCCCATTTTTGACTTGGAAAATGGGATCTTGACACATACTTAGGAAAAAACCTGAAACAAATACCAAAACACAGATGTTATATAAGGACTACAAAGGTATTATAAAATAGGATTAGAAAGTCTAGATACTTCAGGAATTAAAAGCATAAGAAAAGAGTAAAATACTATGACTAGGTACCATGGTTTGAATGTTGTCCTCTCTGCAATTTACATTGAAACTTCATCCCCACTGTGTCAGTGTTTTTTTTTATTTATTTATTTTATTTATTTATTTTTTGAGATGGAGTATTGCTCTGTCGCCAGGCTGGAGTGCAGTGGCGAGATCTCGGCTCACCACAACCTCTGCCTCCTGGGCTCAAGTGCTTCTCCTGCCTCAGCCTCTCCAGTAGCTGGGACTACAGGCGCATGCCACCACACCGGGCTAATTTTTTGTATTTTTAGTAGAGACGTGTTTTCACCATGTTAGCCAGGATGGTCTGGATCTCCTGACCTCATGATCCGCCCGCCGCGGCCTCCCAAAGTGCTGGGATTACAAGCATGAGCCACTGCACCAGGCCTAATTTAATTAATTTTCAAGTAAACTAATTAAGTGAAGATACAAAGTTGCAGAGAAAGAACATCTAGATTAGGCTGAGGCTGGGCACCTAACAGTTAATACCCTTTCATTTGTAATTGACATAGAAATATATTTAAATTGGCTTAAACAACAAGAAGCAGTTACTGCTCGTGTTACTGAAAATGAATGTGGTTGAATTCAGGTGGGAAACGATGCAGCTTTCAACCAGGCTTCAGGATCTGCTCCCTTTAAATCTCAGCTCTGCTCTTCTCCATGCTAGCTTCATTCCCAGGCTCTTTCTCTAACTAAAATGTAAGCTTAGGCCAGGCATGGTGGCTCATGCGGGAGGATCGCTTGAAGTCAGGAGTTCAAAACCAGCCTGGGAAACATAGTGAGACCCTGTCGCTATAAAATAAAATGTAAATGTATTGCTATTTTTATTTTATTTTTTTAATATGGAACACTTCATGAATTTGCACATCATCTTTGTGCTGGGGCCGTGCTAATCTTCTCTGTATTGTTCCAGTTTTAGCATATGTGCTGTGAACCAAGCACTGTGAATGTAAATAAAATAAAATAAAATATCACTATCATGAGGATAGTGACTTTCTCTTTTTTGTTCACTATTTAATCCCCAACACTTAAAATCGTATTTTTATTACTGCACATCATAAGCACCAAAAAAATTTCCAGGAAAAAAAGGAGGGGGCCAGGAGTGGTGGCTTATCCCTATAATCTCAACACTTTGGGCAGGAGGAGCTCTTGAGCCCAGGAGTTCAAGACCGCCCTGGGCAACAAAGTGAGACACTGCCTCTACAAAAATAAAAATTAAAAAAGAAAGAAAAGAGGAAAAGAAGGCGGAGGTATAGCAGCACAACAATTCTGGAGCAGAATAAATAAGACTATGTTAAATACATTTTAGAGAAACCGAATAACACTGAAGACAAAGAGATGATTTAAAAAATAACCTGAGGGGCCAGACATGGTGGCTCATGCCTGTAATCCCAGCACTTTGGGAGGCTGAGGTGGGCGGATCACTTGAGGTCAGGAGTTCAAGACCAGCCTGGCCAACATGGTGAAACCCTGTCTCTACTAAAAATACAAAAATAATCCAGGCATGGTGGCGCATGCCTAGAGTCCCAGCTACTTGGGAGGCTGAGGCAGGAGAATGGCTTGACCCCGGGAGGTGAAGGTTGCAGTGAGCAGAGATTGTGCCAATGCACTCCAGCCTGGGCAACAGAGTGAGACTCCATCTCAAAAAATAAATAAACAAAAATAAAAAACCTGAAAGATTACCTGCAAAGCAAAAGAAGACAGAGATCAGTGGAATTCTAAATTTAAAGTGCTGCCGGGCGTGGTGGCTCACACCGGTAATCCCAGCACTTCTGGAGGCCGAGGCGGGCAGATCACAAGGTCAGGAGATCGAGACCATCCTGGCTAACATGGTGAAACCCCGTCTCTACTAAAAATACAAAAAATTAGCTGGGCGTGGTGGTGGGCGCCTGTAGTCCCAGCTACTCGGGAGGCTGAGGCAGGAGAATGGCGTGAACCCAGGAGGCAGAGCTTGCAGTGAGCTGAGATTGCGCCACTGCACTCCAGCCTGGGCGACAGAGCAAGACTCTGTCTCAAAAAAATAAATAAATAAATAAAAACAAATTCAAAGTGCTGACAAGGAATAACTCATCCTAGAATTCCACCCCCCTCCCCATGTCAAAATTCCATTCAGGAGTGTTTTGGTTACCTATTGCTCCATAACAAATAACTTTAAAATTTAGTGACTTAAAACAACCACCACCAGCCAGGCACAGTGGCTCATGTCTATAATCCCAGCACTTTGGGAGGCTGAGGCAGGAAGATTCCTTGAGCCCAGGAGTTCAAGACCAGCCTGGCCAATACAGTGTAACCCCATCTCTATAAAAAAATGTATAAAATTAGCTAGATGTGGTGGCACATGACTGTAGTCCCAGCTACTCAGGAGGCTGAGGCAGGAGGATCACTTGAGCCTGGGAGGTCAAGGCTACAGCGAGCTGTGGTCACACCATTGCACTCCAGTCTGGGCAACAAAGCAAGACCATGTCTCAAATAAATAAATAAATAAATAAATAAATAAATAAATAAAAACCCACCACCATTTATTTGCTCACAATTCTGTAGTTTGGCAGGGCTCAGTTGGGACGGCTCATCTGTGTTCTTATGTGATGTTTTGGCTGAGGTGGCTCAACTGGGACTGTGAGATCCCACAGCTTCACTCACCCATGCAGTGCCTCAGCTGAAGGGGTCAGAATGGCTGGTGGCTGGCTGGGCATCCTGCTCTCCCTTTGCTGTCTTTCATCTTCTAGGTCATTTCTCTCTCCAATAAAGCAGGTGAACTTGGTTTCATAGTGGCTGGATCCCAAGAGGGTGAAAATGGAAACTGCCAGGCCTCCTAAGGCCTAAGTCTGGACCTGGCATAATATCACTTCCACCTTCTACTAGTCAAAGTGAGTCACAAGGCTGGCCCAGATTTAAGGGGAGGGGCGAAAGGAAATAAATTTCACTTCTTTTTTTTTTTTTTTTTCTGAGAGGAGACTAGCTCTGTCAGCTAGACTGGAGTGCAGTGGTGCAATCTTAGCTCACTGCAACCTCCGCCTCCCGAGTTCAAGCAATTCTCCTGCCTCAGCCTTCTGAGTAGCCCAGCTAATTTTTGCATTTGCAGTAGAGATGGGGTTTCACCATGTTGACTAGGCTGCTCTCAAATTCCTGACCTCATGTGATCTGCCGACTTTGGCCTCCCAAAGTGGTGTGATTACAGGTGTGAGCCACTGCGCCCGGCCACATTCCACTTCTTGATGGGAGGAGTGACATTACAGGGATGAACAAAACTGTTGGTGGCCATCTTTGTTGATAATGCACCACAACGAGTAAAAGTGAAATGGAGATTTTTTCATCAATGGGAGGCTCCACATGAAAATTTTCTAAAACAAAACAAAATTTAAAAATTAAAACAAGGTCTTTTCAGAGGAAGACTTTTGAAAGAGTTTATCCTAAAGTACCATCAGCAAGAGAGCTGCTAATACATTTTTGTTAAGAGAAAGGAAATTGACCTCAAAAGGAGTGAGAGGGCAATGAAAGCAATGAAGAGCAAAGAAACTGGTAAACATGTGGGTAAGTCCACAGAAGCACTGATGGTGGGAACCACAGCAGCAATGACGATGATTGGTTGGAGGCATGAAAACAAAGTCAGCCTGTGATGCCGAGTGACAGTCTGTAAGACAGAAGGTGTGATCAGAGCTAAAGAGTGCCTTTCCTCCTGCAGGGGACAATTTCTGATTAGCTTTAGATTCTGTAATTCAGTGCGCATGTGAAAAATGTGGATGGAGGGAAGCATGAGAGACTAGGAATGAAATCCATCACTTCCAAGCCCAAACAAACAAACAAACAAATGTATGAACAATAAACAAATAAAGAAATAAAACTAGAAAAAGTAATAAAAGAGACTCAATACATTTTTTTTTCTTGAGACTGAGTCTCGCTCTGTCACCCAGGCTGGAGTGCAGTGGCACAATCTTGGCTCACTGCAACCTCCACCTCCTGGGTTCGAGCAGTAAGAGAATCAATAAATTTGAGGCCGGGTGCGGTGGCTCACACTGGTAATCCTAGCACTTTTGGAGGCTGAGGGGGGCAGACTACCTGAGATCAGGAGCTCGAGACCAGCCTGGCCAACATAGCAAAACCCTGTTTCTACTAAAAATACAAAAATTAGCCGGGTATGGTGGCAGGCACCTGTAATCCCAGCTACTGGGGAGGCTGAGGCAGGAGAACTGCTTGAACCCAGGAGGTAGAGGTTGCAGTGAGCCAAGATTGCGCCACTGCACTCCAGCCTGGGCGACAAAGCGAGACTCTGTCTCAAAAAAAAAAAAAGAAAAATTTGACAGGAGTAGGACAAAAGTGAAGAGAAACAAAAAGGGCTAGGTGCGGTGGCTCACGCCTGTAATCCCAACACTTTTGGAGGCCAAGGTGGACAGATCACCTGAGGTCAGGAGTTCGAGACCAGCCTGGCCAACATGGTGAAACCCCATCTCTACTAAAAATACAAAAATTAGGTGGGCGTGGTAGCAGGCACCTGTAATCCCAGCTACTCAGAAGGCTGAGGCAGGAGAATCACTTGAACCTGGGAGGCCGAGGTTGCAATGAGTCAAGATTGCGTCACTGGACTTCAGCCTGGTTGACAGAGCAAGACTCTGTTTCCAAAAAAAAAAAAAAAAAAAGTGAATGTTCTTAATGTCCCTGAAATGTACACTTAAAAGTGGTTAAGATAGAAAATTTTATGCCATGTATATTTTACCACAACAAAAAAACATGCCAAGCAACCCTAGCAGATCCACGCATGAACAGCAGAGGTATAAAAGCATGCAGGGGACTGATACACCATACATTCAGGAGCGCAGTCATGCCTGGGTGGGCGAGGAACCCAGGTAGGAAAGGGAACACCAAACACAGGATGCTTTCGGTGGATCTGTTATGCTTCCGTTCTAAAAACAGAATCTGACACGCTTACATTTCTTACCATTATACTGTAGACTTTTCTTTTCTTTTTCTTTTTGAGGTGGAGTTTCACTGTTGTTGCCCAGGCTGGAGCGCAATGGCATGACCTCTGCTCACCGCAACCTCCGCCTCCTGCGTTCAAGCAATTCTCCTGCCTCAGCCTCCCAAGTAGCTGTGATTACAGGCATGCGCCATTACGCCTGGCTAATTTTGTATTTTTAGTAGAGACAGGGTTTCTCCATGTTGGTCAGGCTGGTCTCGAACTTCCGACCTCAGGTGATCCACCTGCCTTGGCCTCCCAAAGTGCTGGGATTACAGACGTGAGCCATTGCACCCAGCTTGTTTTTCTTTCTTTTTTTTTTTTTTGAGACGGAGTTTCGCTCTTGTTGCCCAGGCTGAAGTGCAATGGCACCGTATCGGGTCACTGCAACCTCCACCTCCCGGGTTCAAGTGATTCTCCTGCCTCAGCCTCCTGAGTAGCTGGGATTACAGGCGCCTGCCACCACGCCCAGCTAATTGTTTGTATTTTTAGTAGAGACAGGGTTTCTCCATGTTAGGCAGGCTGGTCTCGAACTCCCAACCTCAGGTGATCCGCCCACCTCAGCCTCCTAAAGTGCTGGGATTACAGGCATGAGCCACTGTACCTGGCCAGCTGACCACCTCTTTATCCTGGGAACAAGCTCCTCCTGCAGCTGCCTCCGCGTATTTGGCATCATCCTTGCCAAGTCTGGAGCAGGGCCTTGTGTGTGGTGTTGTCTCCCCTGGAAGTCTCCAAGTCAGAAGATCCTTCCTGACCCACCCTCTCCAGGCCGACCCACCACATCGCCATTGCAAGAATCCCAGCAGCGGAGGGTGGAGAAACTGCCTGGGGAATCTGAGCTATTAAACAAGCCGTCATCCGCAGGGGCTGCAGCAGCAAAGGCTGCCTTTTCTGGGGAAACCTGGAAGTGTCTTTTTGAGTCAACAGTAGGTGCCCTGCTGTCCTCGCTGCATTTGCTGGAAGTTGTTTGCAGAGGTCTGGGCATCTGGAATTCACTGCCAAGGCCGTGAGGAAGGTGGTCGACGTTCCAGCTCAGCGTCACCTGCCAGAGCCTCCTCCTTCCCCAGCAGGTGACCCCTTCCCCCTTGAACCGGAGATGAAGGTGTTTGCTATGATCTCACCTCCATGTTACTGACTGTCTCCATTCCCCTGGCTGAGCTAAGCCTCTGTGGCCATGGGTGTCCTCTGAGCTCTCATGCAAATGGTGAAGCCAAGCCTGGACTGCATGCGGACCATGGTAAGGCCCCAGAGGACATGGTCCTATTTGCTGCTTTGAGGCTGATCTTTGCTTATCTGACCACCAGGGTTACCCTGAGGCTGCAAGCGTGGAAGTAATGCCCAGGTAGGCCCCTGCCACCCTCCCTCCAGCCACAGGCTTGTGTTATGTGAGGTTCAGAGTGAGAAGGCTCCTGAAGGAGCAGCTTTGTGGTGATTGGCTGACAACACTCTCAACACGCCTCCTCTGAGCCTTCTGGAATATTTGCCAGGAACATGACTGAGGCCTGCACAGTGAGGCAGAGGACACAGTCCTCTGGGCCCCTCAGCTGCTGAAATGAAGTCAACTGCAGTGTTTCTACCCATAAGTGAAACAGGCGTATGGCTGACTATCTGCGCGGCTAAAATACATCATTTCCGACCTTTTTTCTTTTTTTTGAGATGGAGTTTCACTCTTATTCCCCAGGCTAGAGTGCAATGGCGTGATCTCAGCTCACTACAACCTCCACCTCCCAGGTTCAAGCAATTCTCCTGCCTCAGCCTCCCAAATAGCTGGGATTACAGGCATGTGCCACCATGCCCTGCTAATTTTGTATTTTTAGTAGAGACGGGGTTTCACCATGTTGGTCAGGCTGGTCTCAGAACTCCTGAGGTCAGGTGATCCACCCACCTCAGCCTCCCAAAATGCTGGGATTACAGGCATAAGCCACCGTGCTGGCTAGTTTTGTATTTTTAGTAGAGACGGGGTTTCACCATGTTGGTCAGGTTGGTCTTGAAACTCCTGAGGTCAGGTGATCCACACGCCTTGGCCTCCCAAACTGCTGGGATTACAGGTATGAGCCACCGCGCCCGGCTTATCATTTCCAACTCTTACAATGGCTTTTGAAGAGAGCTGTTACTATCCCCACTTTGCCAAAGAAGAAACTGAGGCTCAGAGAAGTCATATAACTTGCCTGCATGCAAGCCAAATGTGGTCTCAGAGGTCAAAGTCAGGTGGTCCCAGGGGGTGGGGTGGTGGGGTGGGCAGGCCCGAGCTCTGAGCTAGGGCAGGTGCTCTTTTGGCCCCGAGTTCCTGCCATTGCAGGCAGCACTGATTGAGGAAAGTGAGTGGGAGGTGTTAGACCATAGTAGTTTCACAGCAGCAAATGACTGTCACAGTAAGGACAAGCCTGTTCTTTGCCTGCTTATTTATTTATTTAACTACCACTCACCACAACAGAAACTGGTTATCTGCAGGTGCACAGCTATTCTAAGAGAGTGAATGGGTGTGCAGCTTCCTATTAGAGCTCCAAGGATCAGTCAGAGCCCTCCGGCCTGGCCCGCCCTGCCCTGCCAGCTCTGCTGCCCCGGGAGGCCACCTCACGTGCCGGCTGCTTCACTGCTCTCCCCTCCCGTCCAAATGGGGCCAAACCAAGCATGGTGGTGAACTTTTTTTTTTTTTTTAAGACAGAGTCTCGCTCTGTTGCCTCAACCTCCCCAGTAGCTGGGACTACAGGCACCCGCCACCACAGCCGGCTAATTTTTGTATTTTTAGTAGAGACGGGGTTTCACCATGTTGGCCAAGATGGTTTCAAACTCCTGACCTCAGATGATCCACCCACCTAGGTAGGCCTCCTAAAGTGCTGGGAGTACAGATATAAGCCACCGAGCTCGGTTCTGATAGACTCTTTTTAAAAATTCTCAAAAATGTCCGGGCGCGGTGGCTCACACCTGTAATCCCAGCACTTTGGGAGGCCAAGGTGGGTGGATCACCTGTGGTCAGGAGTTCAAGACCAGCCTGGCCAACATGGTGAAACGCCATCTCTACTAAAAATACAGAAATTAGCCGGGTGTCATGGCGCATGCCTATAGTCCCAGCTACTCGGGAGGCTGAGGCAGGAGAATCGCTTGAACCCGGGAGGTGGAGGTTGCAGTGAGCCCAGATCACGCCACTGTACTCCAGCCTGGGAGACAGGGCGAGACTCTGTCTCAAACAACAACAACACAAAATTCTCAAATGATTTTATTATCAGCTGTAGCACAACCCAGGAAGGTGCATAAAACACATATGGCAGTTTAACAGATCACTGTGAAGCAGACACCTGGAAATCGAGTGGTGACAGGGCCTTGCATCCCAGAAGCTGGAAGTGCGCAGCTCCACACCATCCCGGCCTCGCTGCCCGCCACGGGGGATGTCGGGAAGCGTTTGCCCTAGAGCTCAGGTGAGAGGTCTGGGGATCCAGAGCTGGTGTCTACCAGACAAGGCAGGTGTGAGAAGCTGTGGATGCACACGCTCAGTGTCACCTGATGTTTGGGTCTGTATATATGGATATTAGTCCTTGGTTCCTTATGCATTATTCGACACCCTTCCTTCACCCTCTTCCTACAGTGAGGTCTGCCTCTCACATCCAGAGGGAGGTTGAAGTTAGGCCAGGCAGAGGCGTGCTACAATATCCCTAGGACATTAGAACCTGGACGGAAATGTAATGGGAATGAAGGAAAGCATGTGACCGGAAGGCCCCTTGAGAAGAGAGCAGATGCTCAGAGGAAGGATCTGCTTGAGATTCCCTTCAGCTGTGACAGAAATCTGAAAACCAGAGGCTTAAACAACTATGAGGGTTGTTTTTTCATATCACAGAAGTCTAAGGCTGTCGTGACTCGAAGTTGCCATCGAGAACCCAGTCTCTTTTCACCTTCCTGGGCTGCCATCTGAAGCAGGTGGCTGTCGGCTGAGGTTTACTGCCTCGTGGATACAAGGTGGCTGCTGCAGTGCCAAGCCTTTCATCTGCATCAAGGCAGGAAGAGGGAGGGCAAAGGACTCAACGCAGAGCCGGTTGAGTCTCTCCCCTTTTAGGAGCCTGCCTCAGATCCTTTTGCAGTGACGTCCACTTATGTCTCATTTGCCAGAACTGGGTCCCTGGCCACCCTGAACTGTAGGGGAGCCTGGAAAATCAACTTAAACAAAGCTGGTCACGCTGATACCCTGAGAACAGGCATTGAGAAGGAAACTAGTAGCTTTTCCTCAAAGAAATAATTTGCAGTGGGGACAATAAGACTTCCCTCCCCTAAGCTGCTTTCTAAGGATGGTGGGCCCAGGAGGGCTCAGAGCCCTTGCTGCATGGGGTGAAACTTGGGGTCAGAGCTGAGTTGCTGAGGACGAAGAAGAGGCTGAGCTGCGTCTCCTGTGGTGCCCTTCCCAGCCCTTCACACAGCTTGCAGCTTCTCCTTGAAATCAAAGCTGAACCCATATTTTAAAGTGTTCTGTTTTCCCACCAATGATGTATCTGCTTGTAAATGTGTTAAGAAAGACTGGGCAGACAAGCTAAGTGGTGAGATGTGGGTGGGGACTCAGGTACACGCAACCCCGAGGGCAGCCCAGAGCTGCGTCCTTATGGGCTAGGGCTTCACCATATTGGTCAGGCTGGTCTCAAACTTCTGACTTCAGGTGATCCGCCTGCCTCGGCCTCCCAAAGTGCTGGGATTACAGGCATGAGCCACTGTGCCCAGCCCTATCTTCCTTTTAGACTTGTAAGAGATCTCTACATATTACAGATACCAATATGTACATAGGATACCAATTTAAAGGGACACCAAATGATTGTGTCAACATTCCAGGCTGAGGTTGCATTCAGGGGTGCGGTCCTGCGCTCTGCAGGAGTACGAAGTCCCAGCCCACAAAGCCCCTTTGGTGGAGGTCAGACTCCTCCTAACCGTACCCACACAGGAATCACTCTTAGATTTACAGTCAGAATTAGAGACATTGAGACATTTTAAAAACAGGAGCGTGTGAGCTGAAATATAAATTTCCACCTTCCTTTGACAAATCAGGATCCCCCAGCCCCATAGCAGCCACCCTCTGAGCAGTGGCCTCCCTTACACAGGAATACGCTTCCGGTTCAGCCCAGTTCCCGTCACCCCAAGACTAGGTCCCCAACACTCACTTCCCCCTTGCACTGTTGGCTCCCTTATCCCCAACATATTTTGCACATTCCTATTACTGGAATTTGAGTTTGCAACACTGACCTAGAGCAAAGCCTTCAATTTATATACAGGCAACGAGGAATGGTAGAGGTTCTTGCCCAAGGGCACACAGCCTATGATGGTACAGCCAGGCCTTCAGTGGGGTCTCTTGGGAACTAGTGTCCCCGGAGATCAACTAACACTGCGAATCCCTGGGACTGCAGAGCCTGTGGGGGAGAAAGGGAATGTAACTTGAGTTGGGGTCACTTGGTTGCATCTGAATTTGCTGGTATTGGGCTGTGGCAGTGGAACTCCTGGCCTGGCAGGGAGATGCCTAGTTGTCTGGGCATGGTAGCTCCCTCACCCCATGCCCTGTTCCCACGGGGAGAGAGGAAGCCGCAGTGGTTGAGGTGAAAACCAGAGGTCGTGCAGCCCTGGCAGACAGAGGCAACCACGGACAGCTGCAGCAGGCTGGTGACTGGCCCACAGGCACCCTCCACACCCTTGCTGCAAAAATTGCTGTCGTGTGCAGAATTTCGGAAACGTGCAAAGCCTGAGAGTGGGTGCTCAGGAGCCCTCCCTGGTGTGTGCAGGCAGCCCTCGGTGACTCAGCCCAAACCCCAACCATGGGCATCAGGCAGCTGAGGGCTAAAAAAAAAAAAAAAAAAGTTTCTGATGTACAGATGGCTGTGGTTTGAGTAGAGGAGTAGGAGGAGAGAAATGGAGCCTTCCTTGTCTTGCTCCAAGCTCTGGTTGAGGCGTAGGCCCTGCTCTGGGAGGAGGAGGCGGCAATGAGGCACACAGGCTGGGGGTCAGGCTGCGAAACAGCAAGCCTGCCCCTTGGTGGTCTGCCCGCTGCCCTACCTGTGTCCTCCCCACCAGCTCCTCCTCTCCTCTTGTTTCAGGGAGTTCTCTCCTCCTCTGTCTCCCCTCACTGCAGGCTCATGTCCTGTTTACCCTCTGGGATCTCTCCTGTCCAAGGATGACTCAGAGATGGGCCTGGAACATCAGGAGAGCCGGAATGCAAGAAAATAGAGATGAGTTCGGGCCTGCCCTCATGACCAACCCACCAGCCTTGGGCAAATCCCGGCAACCACTGTGTGGTTCTCTGCAGAATGAGAGGCTTGGCCTGAATGAACTTGAGGCCCCTTGTGCAGTCATAATAGGCCCCATAATAGGCACTGGACCTGCAGGCCTGATACCAGATGCAGCTGCCAGAGCCTGGCCTGAGGTCCAAGAGCCCACTGGCCAGAGCCGGTCCTCCCTCCCTCTCCTCCTCCAAGCTGCCCCTTGAACTGTGCAGGCCTCTTCTCAGGATTGTTCTAGCAAACTTTCTGCTCCAGCTTCCTAGTCTGGGTGTGAGAGGCGGCCTAAGGGCCTGACCACAGCACCCGGGCTCAAGCCCTGACCCTAATATTCTCTCTGTGACCCAGGGCAGGTCAAGGCTCTTTCCTGAGCCTGAGTTTCCATCACCAGGGACAGAGATGAGTGACCCTGTCCTGTCTCCTGGACTCAGGCGATGTCCACCCTTCGTTCCACATGGATTTATGGAGCTGTGGCCACATCAGCCACTTTACCAGCTCCTGCAAGAACAATAATAATAGAAGAAAAACAGCTGGGCACGGTGGCTCATGCCTGTAATCCCAGCACTTTGGGAGGCCAAGGTGGGAGCTATCATCTGAGGTCAGGAGTTCGAGACCAGCCTGGCCAACATGGTGAAACCCCATCTCTATGAAAAATACAAAATTAGCCGGGCATGGTGGCGCACGCCTGTAATCCCAGCTACTCGGGAGGCTGAGGCAGGAGAGTCGCTTGAACTTGGGATGTGGAGGTTGCAGTGAGCCAAGATCGCGCCATTGCACTCCAGTCTGGGCAACAAGAGAGAAACTCTGTCTCCAATAATAATAATAATAATAGAAGCAAAACAGTAACAGAAGCACGGTTTGAAGTAGAGAGAAGTTAGGGCCCGCTGGTGTGGGTGAGCGGAGGGTGTGTTAGAGAGGATGGGGAGGGAAGGTGTCTCTGAGGAGGTGATGTGTGAGCAGAATTGTGGCAGGAACCATTGCTGAGCTGATCTGGGAGAGGACAGTCCAGGCACGGAAAGGGCCGTGCAGAGGCCCTGAGGCACTGTTCAGGGATTGGGAAGAAGGCCTGTGTGACTGGGGCAGAGTGGGAACAGGTCCAGGGAAAGCGGGGCTCCAAGCAAGAGGGTCTGGGCTTGGGCTCCAGTGGTAGGACTAGGGACGGGATAAAACCCCAAACCCTTTCCCCAGATGAGGGGATGTGGATGAGCAAAGTAGCTCAGGACGGGGCTGAGCAAGCAGTAGCCCTGATTCCTCCTGAGACGGAGGCCTGGCCCAGGAGCTCAGGGAAGGAGAGCCCAGCAGGCAGTGAACATCTACCCAGTGGTGCCAGAGACAGTGCAGGCAGCCCAGAGGAGACAGGACAGGCTGGGGTTTCCTGGGGAGGGTGGGGAGACTTCCTGGAGGAGGTGAGGCGTTAGAGTAGATGCTGCCCGTCTGACCTCAGAAGTTCTTTCTAGAGGGCTCCTGTAGGGCCCAAAGGCAGCACTGCCCCAGGGAACGACTCCCAGGCCACAAAGTACAGAATCCTGCCGGCGCAGCGCTTGGCCGCCCTGAACACAGTCCTGTGGGATGAGCAGACCAGTGCCTGGTTCGACTACGACCTTGAGAACAAGGAGAACCGGGAGTTTTACCCATCCAACCTCACTCCACTCTGGAACGGGTGTTTCTCTGACCCTGGCGTGGCGGACAAGGCTCTGAAATACCTGGAGGTGAGGGCACAGAAGGTGGCTCTGGCCCACTGCAGGCAGCACTGCCCCCTCCCGACCCTGAGCAGGACCTGCAGGGGAGGCCGCTTCCTCCGGCTGTGCCCCTTGTCCCAGCCGGCAGGTCCCGCGGAGCCACCGGGGGGCAGCTGTGAGCCGAGAAGAGAAGGGCCAGGAAAGGGACATCTGGCTTCCCGCCGGGCCCAGCGTCCTGGCTCCCAGTCCAGCCCCACCCACAGTCACGGGAATGTCTGGAACCTTCTAGGGCAGCCAGATCCTGATCTACCAATATGCCCCAGAATTGGATCCGAACCAACTTTGATGTCTACCAGCAAGTCAGCCATGTATGAGAAGATGAGCTGGCCTGAGCCCTCCCCGTACCCCCAGGGCGTCCCCGTGGTGAGGCGGGAGGGTCAGGCTTGGCAGGGCTCAGGGCAAGCGCAGCTGGGATGGTGGCGGCGCCCAGTGGGCACTCCTGGGCACTGCAGGGGCTGCTGGGAGGCAGAGCGGCTTCTCCCGACAAGGATCCCGTTGTTTGTTGTCCCTGTGGCTGGGGGTGGGTGGGGTGGGGGCAGTGCCTGACCTACGGCCCGCCCTCTTATTCCCAGTATGACATTAGCAACGGTGGAGAGCCCGGTGGCGGAGGGGAGTATGAAGTTCAGGTGAGCAGGCCAGGGGTGGGCTGGCCATCACCCTACAGGAAACTCCTGGGCTCTGCTGCCCACGATCCCCGCCCCAGGCCTCAGTGTGCTCACCTGCATGTGGGCCTGGAGGAGGAGCTGACTGGTGCTCCCTGTACCGCTAGGGTTAGGCAGGGCCAGTGCCCCTGGGAAGAGAGCCCACAGCCCCCACTGAGAGGTGACAGCGTGCTGGCAGTCCTCACAGCCCTTGCTCGCTTTTGGCGCCTCCTCTGCCTGGACTCCCACTTTGGCGGCACTTGAGGAGCCCTTCAGCCCACCGCTGCACTGTGCGAGCCCCTTTCTGGGCTGGCCAAGGCAGGAGCCCACTCCTTCAGCTTGCAGAGAGATGTGGAGGGAGAGGCGAGAGCGGGAACCGGGGCTGCGCGCGGCGCTTGCGGGCCAGGTGGAGTTCCGGGTTGGCGTGGGCTTGGCGGGCCCGCACTAGGAGCAGCCGACCGGCCCTGCTGGCCCCGGGCAATGAAGGACTTAGCACCCGGGCCAGCGGCTGCGGAGGGTGTACTGGGTCCCCCAGCAGTGCAGGCCCACTGGCGCTACGCTCGATTTGTCACCGGGTCTTAGCTGCCTTCCCCCAGGGCAGGCCTCGGGACTGCAGCCCGCCATGCCTGAGCCTTCCCCCGCCTCCCTGGGCTCCTGTGCAGCCCGAGCCTCCCCAAGGAGCACTGCCCCCGCTCCACGGTGCCCAGTCCCATCGACCACCCAAGGGCTGAGGAGTGCGAGCGCACGGCACGGGACTGGCAGGCAACTCTACCTGCAGCCGGGGTGCGGAATCCACTGGGTGAAGCCAGCTGGACTCCTGGGTCTGGTGGAGACGTGGGGAACCTTTATGTCTAGCTCAGGGATTGTAAATACACCAATCGGCACTCTGTATCTAGCTCAAGGTTTGTAAACACACCAATCAGCACCCTGTGTTTAGCTCAGGGTTTGTGAGTGCACCAATCGACACTCTGTATCTAGCTGCTCTGGTGGGGCCTTTGAGAACCTTCCTGTCCATACTCTGTATCTAACTAATCTGATGGGGAAGTGGAGAACCTTTGTATCTAGCGCAGGGATTATAAATGCACCAATCAGCGCCCTGTCAAAACAGACCACTGGGCTCTACCAATCAGCAGG
Organism: Homo sapiens; assembly: GCF_000001405.40. Classification (NCBI taxonomy): domain Eukaryota; kingdom Metazoa; phylum Chordata; class Mammalia; order Primates; family Hominidae; genus Homo; species Homo sapiens. The sequence goes on along the minus strand of NC_000011.10, from coordinate 118,688,579 downwards.
ATGTGGGTGGGGCCAGATAAGAGAATAAAAGCAGGCTGCCCGAACCACCAGCGGCAATCTGCTGACGTCCTCTTCCACACTGTGGAAGCTTTGTTCTTTTGCTCTTTGCAATAAATCTTGCTACTGCTCACTTTTTGTGTCCACACTGCTTTTATGAGCTGTAACACTCACCACGAAGATCTGCAGCTTCACTCCTGAAGCCAGCGAAACCACGAGCCCACCGGGAGGAACGAACAACTCCAGACGTGCTGCTTTAAGAACTGTAACACTCACCGTGAGGGTCCGTGGCTTCATTCTTGAAGTCAGTGAGACCAAGAACCCACCAATTCCGGACACACCACCAAGGGTTTGGGGCTTCCCCAGAAACCTGGCCCCACTGCCCTGCCTCTCCCAGGAGGGCTTTGGCTGGATGAATGGCGTGGTCCTGATGCTACTGGACTGCTGTGGTGACCGGCTGACCTTAGGGGCCCAGCTGGCTTTCTTGGAGCCCCACTGTCTGGCGGCCACCCTTTTTCCCAGCCTCCTGCTCAGCCTTCTGCCACAGTGACAGCCCTCCCCTCCTCACCTGGCCCCAGCTCCTGTCCCATTAAACCTCTGCACCAGTTCCTGTCTTCCCCTGCCTCTTCATGCCCTCCTACCTCCCAGCCTGTCCTCTGATCAGAGTGAGGTGGGGGGCAGGGTCATGACCTGGAGGGCATGGGTAGGGGCCTAGCTCCCTCCTGGAACCTTCAATAGGGTGGAAATCCTGCTCTGGGGGGAAGACCTATCCCTCCTACCCCAAGTGCCCCAGCGCCAAGCCCCACACCTCCAGCCTTCCACTCACTTCCTTAGTCTGAAGGCTTTACAAATACTGAAAACCCCAGCCTGGGCCCAGGCAACCAAGGGCTCAATGCTGGGAAGGAGAGCAGGGGAGGTGGGGCCCGAAGAAATATGTATAATTTATTTCTGCCCCTGATATTATTCCTTCAAAGGAGTCTGAATTTGAATGGATTGTCTCTGATCT